>NW_017852933.1:963557-1284743 GCF_000001405.40 Homo sapiens | reverse complement strand
GGCCTGGGAAATCACGAAGAGACACAGTCGGGAAAGTGGGCCTCCAGAACAGAGAACATACTCACTTTTCCAGGCCCCACCCATGTCTATTACCCAGTTAGGAGGAATGAGCTCATTTCTGTGAACGTGAGATGACCCTCGACCCCGTGCTCCTATCACACGCCATTAGCTTTGTCCCACATCCTTTCAATCCGCTCCTCTAAGCGCGGTCCTGAGCTTTGGTCCCAGACGCGCAGAAGGAAGCGGCCTGAATCTTACCCAGTCCTCGACGCGCCCAGCGTCTTGACTGCAGAGGACGAAGCGGCCGCATCTCCCGACAAACAACGTGTGAAGCAGCGGTGCCGCCATTGGGCCGAACTAACGCGACCGCTGCGCCTCAGGCCGGATGCCCAGCTCCTTCCAGCCACAGCCTCTGTCCCGGAAGTTGCGCGTGCCAGCGCAACCTTCAGACAATCAGGGGCCCCGTGTGGGGAGGGCGTATGCTCTCGGCGGGCTAGAGCGCCGCTAAAACGCGCTCTTCGTTCTACTTGGAGGACTTGTTCCAGCCAGCGTGAGTGCGCGAGTGTAAGGAGAGACGGGAAGGATCGGCTCCATCCAGCCCTGAGGATCCCAAAGAAAGGGTGGAAACACCCTGGATGTGCTAAGCTGTGGCCAGGTACACTCAAGTGTTAATTTTTTGGAGTCAAAGCCTCCCTCAGTCAGATCGAAGAAACTGAAGCACTTGTGACTGACCCAGATCTTCACGGAGGAAAGGGGATTCGAACCCGGCTGACCCAGGAGCCTGGGCTCTATACTCAGTGCAGCATTCTCACAGACACCCAAGATAACGTTATCCTCATGGAAACGAGCTCGACGAAGTGACCTACCCCAGAGCCTCAAGGCTGTGATGATGCTGGCATGAGAAACAACAGGAGAGTTACCAAGAGGTGTTACCCCCTTGACTTTATTTATTTATTTATTTATTTATTTATTTATTTATTTATTTTCTTTTGAGACCGAGTCTTGCCCTGTTGCCCAGGTGGAGTGCAGTGGCGTGATCTCAGCTCACTGCAACCTCCGCCTCCCCAGTTCAAGCAATTCTCTTGCCTCAGCCTCCCAAGTAGCTGGGATTACAGGCGCATGCCACCACACCCGGCTAATTTTCGTATTTTTAGTGGAGACGGGGTTGCACTGTGTTGGCCAGGCTGGTCTTGAACTCATGACCTCAGGTCATCCACCCGCCTCGGACTCCCAAAGTGCTGGGATTACAAGCGTGAGCCACCGCACCCGGCCAAACTTAAATTTTTAAAAGAGGAACAGAAGTCAGCCAGACCAACAAAAGAGCGACTGGTGTTCCAAGCATAGGAAACAGAGGAAACAGAGGCCAAAACCTCGGGACTGTGGAGGATGTAGAGGGAGAGCCGGGGCTGCCCCTACTCTCAGGGAGGGGGAAAGGTTGCAACTTTGGAAACTGTACAGGCCTATCAAAAATACAAAAATATCCAGCCTGGGTGACACGGTGAAACTCCATCTCTACAAAAAATTTAAAAAATAAAAATAATAAAAATTATCTGGGTGTGATGGCACACACCTGTAGTCCCAGCTACTCGGGAGGCTGAGGATTGCTTGAGCCTGGGAGATAGCACCACTGCACTCCTGCTTGGGCAACAGAGTGAGACCCTGTCTCGAAATAAATAAATAAATTTTTTAAAATGCATATGTATGGGCCCGGCGCAGTGGCTCATGCCTGTTATCCCAACACTTTGGGAGGCCGAGGCAAGTGGATCACCTGAGGCCAGAAGTTTGAGACCAGCCTGGCCAACATGACAAAACCCTGTCTCTACTAAAAATACAAAATTAGCCAGGCATGGTGGCAGTGCCTTACTAATCCCAGCTACTTGGGAGGCCGAGGCAGGATAATAGCTTGAACCCAGGAGGCAGAGGTTGCAATGAGCCAAGATTGTGCCATTGCACTCCAGCCTGGGTGACGAGCGAAACTGTGTCTCAAAAAAAAAAAAAAAGTGTGTGTGTGTGTGTGTGTGTGTGTGTGTGTGTGTGTGTGTGTGTATGTATCTCTCTCCAGGAGTTCAAGACCAGCCTGGGCAGCATATGGTGGTGCATACCTGTAGTCTCAGCTACTTGAAAACTGAGGAGGGAGGATCGATTGAGCCCTGGAGGTCAAGGCTGCAGTGAGCTGTGATTGCACCCCTGCACTCCAGCCTGGACAACAGAGCTAGACCCTATTTCACAAAATAAAATACAGCAATTTGGTTTTTTTGTTTTTTGTGTTTTTTTTGAGACAGTCTCGCTCCGTCACCCAGGATGGAGTACAGTGTCGTGATCTCGGCTCACTGCATCCTCCGATTCCCAGGTTCAAGCGATTCTTGTGCCTCACCCTCCCCAGTAGCTAGGATTACAGGCATGCACCACCATGCCCTGCTAATTTTTGTATTTTTAGTAGAGACAGGGTTTCACCATGTTGGCCAGGCTGGTCTCGAACTCTTGACCTCAAGTGATCCACCCACCTTGGCATCCCAAAGTGCTGGGATTACAGACATGAGCCACCACGCCCCACCAGCAGTTTGTTAAACATAAACCATAGCTCTGTTTTGCAACAGTGTAAAATCAGTAACTGTCTTTCCTGAGTCTCTATTTGGTCCTTACTGAGTTCCTTGGGAATGTTGGACAGGAATCATCTGTGTCTCAAGGACAGAGGAAATAATTGCACCCTAGTTCACAAAGATACTTCAAGATAACTGTTTAAATGAGAATCTCTTCTTCACTTCCAAGGCAAAGCGAAGCAAAAACAAAAAGCAACAATAGCAAAACAGCAATTTGACAATTATCTGTTTTGTTTTGTTTTGGTTTGAGACAGGATCTCATTGTCTAGCCCAAGTTAGAGCGCAATGGCGCGATCACAGCTCGTTGCAGCCTCGGGCTCCTACAGCTTATGCAATCCTCTCACCTCAGCCTCCCAAACCCACACCACCAAGCCCAGCTAATTTTTTGTATTTTTGGTAAATACGAGGTCTCACTTTGTTGCCCAGACTGGTCTTGAACCCCCGGCCCAAGTGATCCTCCCACCTTGGCCTCCCAAAGTGTGTCTCCCCACCTACACTCCCATTCTTTCCCTTAAAAAAAGTCTGAGTCTGGGTGCAGTGGCTCACACCTGTAATGCCAGAGCTTTGGGAGGCTGAGGCAGGAGGATACCTTGAAGCCAGGAGTTTGAGACCAGCCCAGGCAACACAGCCAGACTCCGTCTCTACAAATAACACTTTTAAAAAACTTACCCAGGATACCCAAAGGACTATAAATCATGCTGTTTTAAAGACACATGCACACATATGTTTATTGCGGCATTATTCACAATAGCAAAGACTTGGAACCAACCCAAATGTCCAACAATGATAGACTGGATTAAGAAAATGTGGCACATATATGCCATGGAATACTATGCAGCCATAAAAAATGATGAGTTCACATCCTTTGTAGGGACATGGATGAAATTGGAAATCATCATTCTCAGTAAACTATCGCAAGAACAAAAAACCAAACACTGCATATTCTCACTCATAGGTGGGAATTGAACAATGAGAACACATGGACACAGGAAGGGGAACATCACACTCTGGGGACTGTTGTGGGGTGGGGGGAGGGGGGAGGGATAGCATTCGGAGATATACCTAATGCTAGATGACGAGTTAGTGGGTGCAGCGCACCAGCATGGCACATGTATACATATGTAACTAACCTGCACATTGTGCACATGTACCCTAAATCTTAAAGTATAATAATAAATAAAAAATTAAAAAAAAAAACTTACCCAGGCATGGTGGCACATGCCTGTAGTTCCAATTATTTGGCAGACAGAGGTGGGAGAATCACTTGAACCCAGGAGTTGGAGGCTGCTGTGAGCTATGACTGCACCACGACACTCTCTGGCCTGGGTGACAAAGCAAAATCTCATCTCTTAAAAAAAAAAAAAGGGAAAAAAAGCTTGACATATATAAAATAATATGTTAATGTAAGTTATAAGAACATAATGGGCTGGGCGCAGCGGCTCCCGCCTGTAATCCCAGCACTTTGGGAGGCCGAGGCAGGTGGATCACGAGGTCAGGAGATCGAGACCATCCTGGCTAACACGGTGAAACCCCGTCTCTACTAAAAATACAAAAAAAAAAAAAATTAGCCGGGTGTGGTGGCGGGCACCTGTAGTCCCAGCTACTTGGGAAGCTGAGGCAGGAGAATGGCATGAACCCAAGAGGTGGAGCTTGCAGTGAGCCGAGATCGCACCACTGCACCCCAGCCTGGGCAACAGAGTCAGACTCCGTCTCAAAAAAAAAAAAAAAAAAAAGAACATAATGAACACCTGTGAACATATCACCCAATTTAAGAAGCCGAACATTAACTAGGACAATTGACACTTACTGTGTGCTGCTCTCAGATCCCACCTTCTACCTGCTTTCCTCCCAAAAATAGTCACCATCATGATTTTTAAAAGTCATTTTAGTTTTCTTTGCATAATTACCATATTTATACTCCTAAACAATGCACTATATTTACTTTTATTTGTCTTTGCATTTTATAAAGTTATCTCCATGCTGTATTATACTGCTGTTTGTTTTCAACATTATGCTTTTTTTTTTTTTTTTTTTTGAGACGGAGTCTCCCTCTGTTGCCCAGGCTGGAGCGCAGTGGCATGATCTCTCGCCGTCCTCCCACCTCGGCCTCCCAAAATGCTGAGATTATAGGCAAGCCACCGCGACCAGCCTGAATATTCTTGTATCGTTTCCTGATGTATGTGTACAAGTGTTTTTCTAGGGTGGAACTGTTGGGTTGGAGGGGGCACAAAAAGCTTTTAGGAAAGGAGAAAGGAACAAATTGGATATCTACGATTTTTTTTTTTTTTTTTTGAGACAGAGTCTCTCTCTGTTGCCCAGGCTGGAGTACAGTGGCACAAGCTCAGCTCACTGCAACCTCTGCCTCCCGGGTTTAAGTGATTCTCCTGCCTCAGCCTCCTGAGTAGCTGGGACTACACATGCCCGCCACCACACCTGGCTAATTTTTGTATTTTTAGTAGACATGGGGTTTCTCCGTGTTGCCCAGGCTGGTCTCAAATGCCTGACATCAGGTGATCTGCCTGCCTCGACCTCCTAAAATGCTGGGATTACAGGTGTGAGCCATCGTGTCTGGCTATTAGTTTTCCTATTTAGAAATTGTTCATCTGGATCCTCCCTACCTTTCAGCCATTTGCAATACATTTGTTGAGCATAAAGAGTGACCTTCTTGGCTGGGCGTGGTGGCTCACGCCTGTAATCCCAGCACTTTTGGAGGCCAACATGGGTGGATCACCTGAGGTCGGGAGTTCGAGACCAGCCTGACCAACATGGAAAAACCCTGTCTCTACTAAAAATACAAAATTAGCCTGGCATGGTGGCACATTCCTGTAATCCCAGCTACTCGGGAGGCTGAGGCAGGAGAATCACTTGAACCTGGGAGGCAGAGGTTGCAGTGAGCCGACATCACTGCCATTGCACTCCAGCCTAGGCATCAAAACTCCCTCTCAAAGAAAAAGAGCAACTTTCTCAAAGAAAAAGAGCAACTTTCTTGTCCACAGCAAAGAATCACTGGAAGCCATTTGATGCAATATGACCTCATCTCTCTAGCCAGTGTCGATTGGGTTACAGGAGGGCACCAAGAAGCTTCGAAGGCTGTGCCAATGTACACTTCCAGCAATATCTTCTTAAGCTTGAGTGCAGCTCCTTATTTTCCCAAAGCACAGCTAAGACTAAGGCTGCCAAGTTTTTAAAAAGATTTAAAGGAAACTCTGAGCATTATACAAGAAAAATACTGGCCAGGCCCTGTGGCTCATGCCTGTAATCCCTGTACTTTGGGAGGCTGAGGCGGGTGGATCACTTGAGACCAGGAGTTCAAGACCAGCCGGGCCAACATGGTGAAACCCCATCTCTACCAAAAATACGAATTAGCCAGGTGTGGTGGCAGGTACCTGTAATCCCAGCTACTCGGGAGGCTGAGGCTGGAGAATCGCTTGGACCCGGGAGGCAGAGGTTGCAGTGAGCTGAGATCGCAACACTGCACTCCAGCCTGGGCAACAGAGCAAGACTCGGTCTCAAAAAAAAAAAAAAAAAAAGGAGAAAAAGGAAGCCTTAAAACTAAATGCATAATTTCCTGTTGTAATTCTTTGGCCATGTCCGTTCTTTGTGGAGCCTCTATTCAGTCAAATTGTCCTGTGGGCCAACTCATCTTGGCAGGATAAAAGCCTCCTTATCCAGTCTTGCCTTCCCCAGAGAAAATAAAGGGGGTGGGGGAGGGCCAAAGAAAATTAAGACCCTCCCCCTCCAAAAAGAGAAACAACAAAAAGCATGCAAGGATTAACATGCTATCTGCAAAGTCACCACCCTGCCCACAGTGTGGCCTTTCACTTCACTGAGTAATATATTGTTTGTAATACAACAATGTAATCAGCTTCTTCATTCCAGAACAAAATTTTGCTTTACTATCGTCATATACCCAGAAGACCCATTAAACTGTGTTTTCAAAAGAGCAGCCTTTCCTTAGAGATAAATTTTACAGCTACCCCTAGAGTAGTTCTGTTGGCCAAAGCCTCTTAGCTTGCTAGTGAAAGAAATGAAGTCAAGCCAGCTTAAGCAGAAAGGAGAATTTGTTCTGAGGATACAAATATATAGTAAGGTACCAAAAAAGAATTTATCATTGGCCAATTTGGATAAGGTGCCCTCCTGTAACCCTCCTGTAATCTAATCAACACTGGTAGAGAGATGAGGTGACAGTATACCAAATGGCTTTTGATGAATCTTTGCTGTGAACTAGAAGGGATTAAGTTATGCTCAACTAATGGTTTGCAAATGGCTGAATGGTAGGGAGGATCCACACGAACAATTTCTAAATAACAAAACCAATAGCATGTATCTCATTTGTCCTTTTTCCTTTCCAAAGAGTCAACAATTAATGTATGAGTCAATTATCTTTATAAAAACTACATTCATTAACACAAATGCAAGATCTCAACTATATATCTTTAGTTATATACATGTATACACATATATGTGTATGTATGCATACATTATCCTCAAAGACAACTAATTTAGAGCGTTCCTCATCCCAGTATCTCAGAGAAATACAAAGCAGTTTCTTAGACTTGGCATCATTGAGATTTTGGGCCAACCAGATACTTCTCTGTTGGGTGGGGAGGAGGCTGTTCTGTGCATTGTGGGATGTTCAGCAGCATCCCTTGCCTCTACGCAGTAGGTGACAGTAGCATTCCCCTCCTCCCCACTGTAACATTCAAAAACATCTCCAGATGTTGCCAAATGTCCCCGGGGTACAAAACTCTTCCAATTAAGAACCACTGGTATAAACAAGTCAGCTGGGAGTGGTGGCACACACCTGCGGTCCCAGCTATATGGGAGGGTGAGGCAGGAGAATTGCTTGAGCCCAGGAGTTTGAGACCAGCCTAGCCAGAATCTCTGCCTAGCCTAGGCAGACCTCTACAGAAAAATACAAGAATTAGCCATAGTGTTGGTGTGCACCTGTAGTCCCGGCTACTCAGGAGGCTGAGACGTGAGGATCAGTTGAGCCCAGGAGGTCGAGACTGCAGTGAGCTATGATCTCCCCACTGCATCCCACAACAGGGACCCTATCTCAAATAATTAATTAATTAATGGAAGAAAGAAAGAAATCCTAGCTTTGTCATTTACTCTATTACTTTGGGCAATTGCCTTATGTTTCCAGAACTTCAATTTTCTTATGTACAAAATGGGAATAACTTTTTGAGCTATTTTAGAGCTATCGTAAGGATCAGAGCACATAATCACAAACCACAAAATATGTCACAGTGTACAGGACAGGGCAGGTTCTCTGTAAATGACAGTATTTGCCCATTTATTTTTCTGTAAATATGAAATATACTAGGATACTTGATGTGGTTACAATCAGGTGGAAACTGACCTATGAGGGAGACAGACAGAAAGGCACGGTCTTTTTTGTTTGTTTGTTTGTTTGTTTGTTTTTTGAGACGGAGTCTCGCTCTTTCGCCCAGGACGGACTGCAGTGGCATGATCTCGGCTCACTGCAAGCTCCGCCTCCCGGGTTCATGCCATTCTCGTGCCTCAGCCTCCTGAGTAGCTGGGACTACAGGCGCCCGCCACCGAGCCCAGCTAAATTTTTTGTATTTTTAGTAGAGACGGGGTTTCACCATATTAGCCAGGATGGTCTCGATCTCCTCACCTCGTGATCCACCTGTCTAAGCCTCCCGAAGTGCTGGGATTACAGACGTGAGCCACTGCGCCCAGTCAACAGATAGGTACAGTCTTTATCTGTTCGTGCGGCTATAAGAAAGTACCAGAGACTGGGTTATTTATAAAAAACGGAAATTTTGGCCAGGCACAGTGGCTCACGCCTTTAATCCCAGCATGCTGGGAGGCCAGGGCAGGTGGATCGTGTGACCTTAGGAGTTCGAGATCAGCCTGGGCAACATGACGAAACCCTATCTGTACAACGCTATGAAAAAAAAAAAAAGCTGGGTGTGGTGGTGCATACCTGTAATCCCAGCTACTCGGGAGGCTGAGGTGGGAGAATCACTTGAACCCAGGAGGCAGAGGTTGCAGTGAGCCGAGATCGTGCCACTGCACTCCAGCCTAGGTGACAGAGACCCTGTCTCATACAAACAAACAAAACCCAGAAATTTCTTTCTCACAGTTCTGGAGGCTAGGAAGGCCAAGATTAAGTTACCAGCAGGTTGGTATCTGGTGAGGGCATGGTGGCCATTTCCAATACGGCACCTTGCTGCTATGTCCTCCCGGGGGGACCAGTGCTGTGTCTTCAAGTGACAGAGGGATGTAAGGGCAATGAAAGGGCCTAGCTCGTTCCCGCCAACCTTTTTATGAGGTTACTAATCCCATGCCCTCATGACTTAATGATGCCCCACCTCTTAATACTACCAGACTGGTGGTTAAGTTTTAACATATGAATCTTGGGGAACACATTCAGACCACAGCAGATATATTGTAGAAAAGAATAGTCCGTAAATTCCCCAGCAGTAACACTTCACATATTTTGCCTCTTATTACTTGGAGTATACTGTGTTTCATATGGCTTTTTAAACTTTGTAAAAACTGCAGCAAGTGCCTGATTACTTAGGGCTTCTTTATCTAGTGACAGACTATTTAGTCCATTAATTTTGTGCTGTACAACAGGAAAGAGAAAGAAAATGACTTCTGCAGAGACTGAATCATCTTTATGTCCTCTATGGTAGTTGGCACTTAGTAGATATTAAATAAAAAACAGGCTGGGCAAGATGGCTCATGCCTGTAATCCCAGTAATTTGGGAGGCTGAAGCAGGTGGATCACTTGAGCTCAGGAGTTCAAGACCAGCCTGGGCAACATGGTAAAATCCTATCTCTACAAAAACTATAAAAAGTAGCGGGATGTGGTGGCATGTGCCCATAGACCCAGCTACTTGGAAGGCTGAAGTGGGAGGATTGCTTGAGCCCGGGGGGTGGAAGTTGGACTGAGCCAAGGTCCAGCTCCAGCCTGGGCCACAGAGGGAGACCCTGTCTCAAAACAAACAAACAAACAAATCTCTTTAACTCCCAAAATGGAAAGTTCTCCAAGATATATGTTAAGTGATTAAAAAAAAAAAAAAAAGGGCCAGCCTGGCATGCTGGCTCATGCCTGTAATCCCAGCACTTTGGGAGGCCAAGGAAGGCAGATCACCTGACATCAGGAGTTCGAGACTAGCCTGACCAACATGGGGAAACCCCGTCTCTACTAAAAATACAAAATTAGCCAGGTGCGGTGGCACATGCCTGTAATCCCAGCTACTCGGGAGGCTGAGGAGGAGAATCGCTTGAACCCAGGAGGCGGAGGCTGTGGTGAACCGAGATAGCACCACTGCACTCCAGCCTAGGCAACAAGAGCGAAACTCCATCTCAAAAAAAAAAAAAAAAAAGGAAACCGCATCTCTACTAACAATACAAAAATTAGCTGGGCAAGGAGCTAAGTGATTATAGTACCAGCTACTCAAGAGGCTGATGCAGGAGAATCACTAAACCGCATCTCTACTAAAAATACAAAACTTAGCCAGGCAAGGAGCCCGGTGACTATAGTACCAGCTACTCAAGAGGCTGATGCAGGAGAAACACTTGAACCCGGGAGGCGGAGTTTGCAGTGAGTTGAGATTGCACCACTGCATTCCAACCTCGGCAACAGTGCGAGACCCTGTCTCAAAAGAAAAAAATAATATAAAGTGACCAGGTGTGGTGACTCACACCTGTTATCCCACCACTTTGGGTGGAAGCAGGAGGATCACTGGAGCCCAGGAGTTTGAAACCAGCCTAGGCAACATAGTGAGACCCTGTCTCTATATTAAACACACACACACATGCACACACACACACACACACACAAAGGCAGCCAGACTATGCACTAGGAACTGCCCTGGGAATCCCTTTGCATTCTCACAACAATCCCATTTCACAGATGAAGAAACCAAGGCACAGAAATATTAAGTAATGTGTCCAGGTGCGGTGGCTCACGCCTATAATCCCAGTACTTTGGGAGGCTGAGGCAGGCAGATCACGAGGTCAGGAGTTCGAGACCATCCTGGCCAATATGGTGAAACCCTGTCTCTACTAAAAATACAAAAATTAGCTGGATGTGGTGGCAGGTGCCTGTAATTCCAGCTACTCAGGAAGCTGAGGCAGGAGAATTGCTTGAACCCGGGAGGCGGAGGTTGCAGTGAGCCGAGATCACACCACTGCACTCCAGCCTGGGTGACAGAGCAAAACTCCGTCTGAAAAAAAAAAAAAAAGAAGAAGAAGAAATACTAAGTAACTTGTCTGAGGCCACTTAGTTACCAAGACGTGGGAGCTGGGACTTGAACCCAGGCAGTCTGCAGTCTGACTGGATTCATGCCTGCAGCCTCTGCACTCCTGCTACTTACTGTGTGAGAAGCGCCTGTTCTGTGGAAGGTTGTGGGCTGAGATCTTTCCATTAGTTCCACTCATTTACCCCCAAGGCTGTTCTTAAAGACAGGCATGACAGTTATGCCCATTTTACAGATGCGGCCCTGAGGCTCACAAGGGCACGCCACTCGCCCATTTCCACAAAGCTATAGCTCGTTAGCGGAGGGCAGAATTCGGCCGCCTCTCCCCTAGCTCGAAGGCTGTGATTGACACAGAGGTTTTTTTGTTGTTGTTGCTGTTGTTTGTTCTTTTTTCTTTTTTTTTTTTTTTTTTTTTTTTTGAGACGGAGTCTCGCTCTGTCGCCCAGGCTGGAGTGCAGTGGCGCGATCTCGGCTCACTGCAAGCTCCGCCTCCCAGGTTCACGCCATTCTCCTGCCTCAGCCTCCCGAGTAGCTGGGACTACAGGCGCCCGCCACCACGCCCGGCTAATTTTTTGTATTTTTAGTAGAGACGGGGTTTCACCGTGTTAGCCAGGATGGTCTCGATCTCCTGACCTCGTGATCCGCCCGCCTCGGCCTCCCAAAGTGCTGGGATTACAGGCGTGAGCCACCGCGCCCGGCCCTTTTTTTTTTTTTGAGACAGGGTCTTGCTCTGTCATCCCGGCTGGAGTGCAGTGGTGCGATCTCAGCTCACTGCAAACTCTGCCTCCAAGATGCAAATGATTCTCGTGCCTCAGCCTCCCAAGTAGCTGGAATTACAGGTGTGCACTACCACGCCCAGCTGTTTTTTGTAGAGATGGGGTTAGTAGAGATTTGTTTAATAGAGATGGGGTTTCACCATGGTCTCTACTAAACCCTGTCTCTACTAAAAATACAAAAATTACCCAGACGTGGTGGCACATGCCTGTAGTCCCAGCTACTCAAGAGGCTGAGGCAGGAGAATCACTTGAACCTGGGAGGTGGAGGTTGCAGTGACCCAAAATCATGCACTCTAGCCTGGGGTCTCGCTTTTGCCCAGGTTAGAGTGCAGTGGCACAATCACAGTGGCTCACTGCAGCCTCAAACTCCTGGGCTGAAGGGAATCCTCCCACCTCAGCCTCCCAAGTAGTTAGGACTATAGGCATGTGCCATCCTGGCGAGTTAATTTTTTGTGTGTTTTTATTCTCTCGAGACAGAGTCTTGCTCTGTTGCTCAGGCTGGACTGCAATGGCGTGATCTTGGCTCACCGCAACCTCCACCTCCGGGGTTCAAGCAATTCTCCTACCTCAGCCTCCCGAGTAGCTGGGATTACAGGTGCGTGCCACCATGCCTGGCTAATTTTGTATGTTTAGTAGAGACAGGGTTTCGCCGTGTTGGTCAGGCTGCTCTCGAACTCCTGACCTCGTGATCCACCTGCCTCGGCCTCTCAAAGTGTTGGGATTACAGGCATGAGCCACTGAGCCTGGCCTGGTGAGCTAATTTTTAAATTTGTTATAGAGACAAGAGAGACAAGAGTCTCTCTTATGTTGCCCAGGCTGGTCTCGACCCCCTGGCCTCAAGTGATCCTCCCACCTCAGCCTCCCAAAGTGCTGGGATTACAGATGGGTGTCACCGCACCTGGCCTCTGAGGAGGATTTCATTATAAACCTGCCCTGAAGGGAGGGAATCCAATTTTACGAGAGGGTGTAGCCTGGTGAGGCCTGGATGACCTCCGGAGGCAGGGGCTTGTGCCTGGGCTGAGGCCTAAGGGACAATGGGCAGACATGAAGTTGCCCCAGGCAGAGGGTACAGTGTGGGCAAAGTCAGGAAGTGGCAGGGCTTGGATCACTCCAGGAAGAGAGAGGAGTCATGTGTCACAGGAGCTCGAGACCCAGAGAGTGAGGCAGGCAGGCAGGGACCAAGCTTGGGCACAGCCAGGAAGGCAGGACAGGGCATGGTGGGGCCAATGGAATCATTACCCAAGACGGGCATTTTCAGGGAAACAGCTTAGATAAGGCCAGGCGTACAGTAGCTCCCACCTGTAATCCCAGCATTTGGGGAGGCTGAGGTAGGACTGCTTGAGCCTGGGAGTTCAAGACCAGCCTAGGCAACATAGTGAGACCCCATATCCACAAAAAATTTAAAAAAGGAGTTTGTGTTCCTGTAGTAGCATACTTGGGAAGTTGAGGTGGCAGTATCACTTGAGCCCGGGAGTTCAAGGCTAAAGTGAGCTGATTGAGCCATTGCACCCCAGCCTGAGCGACAGAGAGATATGCTGTCTCAAAGGAAATACAAACTAAAAAACCAGCCGGACATGCTGGCGTGTGCCTGTAGTCTCAGCTACTTGGGACACTGAAGTGGGAGGATCGCTTGAGCCCAGGAGTTCAAGGCTGCCGTGAGCTATGATTGTGCCTCTGCAGTCCAGCCTGGGCGACTGCAGACTGCAGGACTTTTTTAAAGACCCTGTCTCTTAAAAAAAAAAAAATCTTAGATAAGAGGATGCTGTGCCTCCCTGGGGGTCTTCAGTCACCCATGGTCCTGGCAAGAGAGGAGGGCCAGGAGAGAGCTTCACCCACCTGCTGTCCTGCCCATGTGACATCCGCAGGTGCTGCCATGGCCACGACTGATGTTACACTCGAGCTGAGGAGGCCGGCTGCAGCCCCAAGACAGAGCGCTACTCCTGGCAGTGCGTCAATCAGAGCGTCCTGTGCGATGAGTCCCCAGCAGCACCATGCCACCCACCCCGAGTATCCCCTGGGCACCCTGGCATAGCCAGATGACTTCCGTGCCCCTGTTGCAATAACCACTGCTTCCAAGTCTCTGTAGACCACCCCTTGGGTATATCTCATGTAAGTGATATTTATTTTATTTATTTTTTGAGTCAGAGTCTCACTCTGTCACCCAGGCTAGAGTGTGCTGACGTGATCTTGGCTCACTACAACCTCTGCCTCCTGGGTTCAAGCGATTCTCATGCCTCAGCCTCCCAAGTGGCTAGGACTACAGACATGCACCATCACGCCCAGCTAATTTTTGTATTTTTTTCAGTAGAGGTGGGGTTTCCCCAAGTTGGCCGGGCTGGTCTCAAACTCCCCACCTCAAGTGCTCTGCCCGCCTCGGCCTCCCAAAGTGCTGGGATTACAGGCATGAGCCATGGTGTCTGGCCCTAATGTGAGTGATCTTTAACACTGAGCACTTGAAAAAGAAAACCCTGAAGAAACCTAATTATTCGATGTCTGGACGACAAGGAAGAAGATAGAAATGGCATCAGATAATAAACAGTGTAAATGTTTGTTTATCAGAAAGGGGCTGGTGGTCGGGACAAGTAGGAGGATCGCTTGAGTCCAGGAGTGCATCTCTACAAAAAAGTTAAAGGATTTTTTAACATTGGCCAGGCGTGGTGGCACATATCTGTGATCCCAGCTACTTGGGAGGCTGAGGCAGGAGGATTGCTTGAAGCCCAGGAGGTTGAGGCTGCAGTGAGCTGTGATCGAGCCACTGCACTCCAGCCTGGGTGACACAGCAAAATCCAGTCTCAAAAAAAAAAATAATAATATTTTACATAACCAACCACTTCTAAAGATTAAAAAAAAACCCCTATGATTAAAAACCTCAGGTCCCTCAGGCAATCATACCAGATATCGAAACAAAGCAATAACATAAGGACTGCAGTATTTATTTTATTTTTATATTATTTATTTATTCTTTGTTAGTTTTTGGAGTGTGGGTTTTGTTTTGTTTTTTGAATTTTTTATTTTGTTCTACTCGGTTTTATTCTTATTGCTCAGGCTTGAGTGCACTGGCCTCTTCTCAGCTCAACCTCCGCCTCTTGGGTTCGGGTAATGATGGTTCCACGTCAGCGGCCCTCCGCCTCTTGGGTTTGCGTGACGGTTCCACGTCACCGACCCTCCGCCTCTTGGGTTCGGGTGATGATGGTTCCACGTCAGCGGCCCTCCGCCTCTTGGGTTTGCGTGACGGTTCCACATCACCGACCCTCCGCCTCTTGGGTTCGGGTGATGATGGTTCCACGTCAGCGGCCCTCCGCCTCTTGGGTTTGCGTGACGGTTCCACGTCACCGACCCTCCGCCTCTTGGGTTCGGGAGGTGGTTCCATCTCAGCCGCCCTCTGCCTCTTGGGTTTGCGTGGTTTTTCTGCCTCAGCCTCCTGAGTAGCTAAGGGAGGTGTCTTGAGATTATCATCGGCTGAGGGTGGAAGCGGCCCCCGCAGACGCTCGGCAGGTGTCTTGATATTATCATCTGCTGAGGGTGGAGCTGAGGGTGGAAGGGGAGTGAGCTGACGCTCGGAAGGTGTCTTGAGATTATCATCCGCTGAGGGTGGAAGCGGCCCCCGCAGACGCTCGGCAGGTGTCTTGATATTATCATCTGCTGAGGGTGGAGCTGAGGGTGGAAGGGGAGTGAGCTGACGCTCGGAAGGTGTCTTGAGATTATCATCCGCTGAGGGTGGAAGCGGCCCCCGCAGACGCTCGGCAGGTGTCTTGATATTATCATCTGCTGAGGGTGGAGCTGAGGGTGGAAGGGGAGTGAGCTGACGCTCGGAAGGTGTCTTGAGATTATCATCCGCTGAGGGTGGAAGCGGCCCCCGCAGACGCTCGGCAGGTGTCTTGATATTATCATCTGCTGAGGGTGGAGCTGAGGGTGGAAGGGGAGTGAGCTGACGCTCGGAAGGTGTCTTGAGATTATCATCCGCTGAGGGTGGAAGCGGCCCCCGCAGACGCTCGGCAGGTGTCTTGATATTATCATCTGCTGAGGGTGGAGCTGAGGGTGGAAGGGGAGTGAGCTGACGCTCGGAAGGTGTCTTGAGATTATCATCCGCTGAGGGTGGAAGCGGCCCCCGCAGACGCTCCCCGCAGACGCTCGGCAGGTGTCTTGATATTATCATCTGCTGAGGGTGGAGCTGAGTGTGGAAGGGGAGTGAGCTGACGCTCGGAAGGTGTCTTGAGATTATCATCCGCTGAGGGTGGAAGCGGCCCCCGCAGACGCTCGGCAGGTGTCTTGATATTATCATCTGCTGAGGGTGGAGCTGAGGGTGGAAGGGGAGTGAGCTGACGCTCGGAAGGTGTCTTGAGATTATCATCCGCTGAGGGTGGAAGCGGCCCCCGCAGACGCTCGGCAGGTGTCTTGATATTATCATCTGCTGAGGGTGGAGCTGAGGGTGGAAGGGGAGTGAGCTGACGCTCGGAAGGTGTCTTGAGATTATCATCCGCTGAGGGTGGAAGCGGCCCCCACAGACGCTCGGCAGGTGTCTTGATATTATCATCTGCTGAGGGTGGAGCTGAGGGTGGAAGGGGAGTGAGCTGACGCTCGGAAGGTGTCTTGAGATTATCATCGGCTGATGGTGGAAGCGGAATCCGCAGACGCTCAGCAGGTATCTTGATATTATCATCTGCTGAGGGTGGAGCTGAGGGTGGAAGGGGAGTGAGCTGACGCTCGGAAGGTGTCTTGAGATTATCATCCGCTGAGGGTGGAAGGCAGGTGTCTTGATGTTATCATCTGCTGAGGGTGGAGCTGAGGGTGGAAGGGGAGTGAGCTGACGCTCGGAAGGTGTCTTGAGATTATCATCCGCTGAGGGTGGAAGCGGCCCCCGCAGACGCTCGGCAGGTGTCTTGATATTATCATCTGCTGAGGGTGGAGCTGAGGGTGGAAGGGGAGTGAGCTGACGCTCGGAAGGTGTCTTGAGATTATCATCCGCTGAGGGTGGAAGCGGCCCCCGCAGACGCTCGGCAGGTGTCTTGATATTATCATCTGCTGAGGGTGGAGCTGAGGGTGGAAGGGGAGTGAGCTGACGCTCGGAAGGTGTCTTGAGATTATCATCCGCTGAGGGTGGAAGCGGCCCCCGCAGACGCTCAGCAGGTGTCTTGATATTATCATCTGCTGAGGGTGGAGCTGAGGGTGGAAGGGGAGTGAGCTGACGCTCGGAAGGTGTCTTGAGATTATCATCCGCTGAGGGTGGAAGCGGCCCCCGCAGACGCTCGGCAGGTGTCTTGATATTATCATCTGCTGAGGGTGGAGCTGAGGGTGGAAGGGGAGTGAGCTGACGCTCGGAAGGTGTCTTGAGATTATCATCCGCTGAGGGTGGAAGGGGATGGAGCAGACACTCGGCACGTGTCTTGAGATTATCATCCGCTGAGGGTGGAGCTGAGGGTAGAGCTGAGGGTGGAAGGGGAGTGAGCAGACACTCGGGAGGTGTCTTGAGTTTATCATCCGCTGAGGGTGGAAGGGGAGTGAGGAGACACTCAGGAGGTGTCTTGAGATTATCATCCGCTGAGGGTGGAAGGGGAGTGAGCACACACTCGGGAGGTGTCTTGAGATTATCATCCGCTGAGGGTGGAAGGGGAGTGAGCACACACTCGGGAGGTGTCTTGAGATTATCATCCGCTGAGGGTGGAAGGGGAGTGAGCAGACACTCGGGAGGTGTCTTGAGGCTCAGGGAGTTATCAGTTATAGAATGTTGTTGAGTTGGAGGAGGTGGCTGGTGGCCCATCCTGTTTTTTAAAGTTTCAGCTGTGAGGTAGGGCCAGTAGGGCAATCCTGAAGAATGACGATGCTCCGCTGCCGCCATTCTGACCTGTAGGGCCAAAGGAGGGAATGTTTTCACACATATTCATTTGATGGACAAAATTACCGCCACCAACACAGTCTGCACCTTCTGTTGCTGGTGATAGATTTTTGCACCTTTCCATCCTCCAGGTTTCAAAATAGAAGTATCAGTGTCATAATATCACCCTTCCACTGAGTACTGCCGACAGCTGGAGGGTAAAGGAAAGTCATTGGGACACACTGTTGTCTCCACATGCCACTGTGTCTGTCTGCAAATGTAGGCAGGCTGGGGTCCTGCCCCAGGGAAGACAGAGTCATAACAGAGTAATAAAGAAGCATGTTTGAGACACAGGAGTGTCTATGTCTATCCTCATTCCTCCCTCACAGCCATCACCAGAGCATGTTTCTTGCACCAGGTCAACAGACAGTAAGAGACAGTAAGAGAGGCATGAAAAGCCCACTGTCCACACATGTTGCAGCTTCTTTTTGGAGAATGTTTTCCAGGCCTTTTATGTTCTGTCTCTGATTCTCAGAACTCTGCAAGGTCAGTGTGACCACCCTGCTCCAAATCTAAGAAAACAGAGGTTTCCAGAGGAAGGAGAAATTGTGCCCAGGGTCACACAGCTTGCAAGAGGCAGAGTGGAAGTTGATTCCAGCTCTGCCTGCAGGACCCTCTCATTTCCCCTCTGTTTCCCTTCTTGACAAAGGATCTTCTTCACTCTGGAGGTGCCACCCATGAGAACAAAGAGCTCTGGAGAGATGTGGATTCCTGAAGAGCTGCAGGGGAACTGGGAGAGGGTTTTCTGACAGAACAATCTCACCTCAAGAAGTCACTTAGGCATGGCTGTAATATTTCTTTTCACTCCCAGGTAATACCAAATTGTAAGTGCACTAGGACATAAAGAATACTTTTGTCCATGGAAAAATGAGGTGGGAATTCTAAACAAAGCAAGTTTTAAAACTGTGTTTCACTTCAAGTGTACAAGTCCCATCACGTGTAATCATAGGACTCGGCAGCTTTTGAAGGTACAGAGGCCACACAAGAACCAGCTTAGCTGAGCATCATTTAAGGCCTTCATTTGGAATTGTCCCTGTGGGTAATAAGTTACATTCACTCTTCACTAGTTTACAGTCAGGGCCCATCTGCTATTACAAATACGGAACCTCTGACACTTAGAATATTAGATCAGGGGCCCCACTGGGTGGGGATGAAGGTGTTTTTGCGCAACACGGTTACCAACAGGGATGGGACTGTGATGCTTGTAGGCAGCCTTTCTCTCTGCCATCTCCCTCTGCAGGGCTTGAGCACAGAGCTGTAGGGAGAAAAATGTATCCATGTCCTGACCTGGCAGACTATGTCCAAAAGCAAGGAAAACAAGCAAACTTACCCAGTTGCAAAGAGCCTTTCTTGCAGAAGGGGGGATCTGAAAAAGCCAACACATGAGAAATTGAATGTTGAGAGAGTCTAAGGGCCGTGGCATCATCTGCATCAGCACTGAACTATCCTGCAACTGCAGGGAGGAAGCTCCTTACTTTGCATTTGTGGTAGTCCTCTGCTCGCCGCCGCAACTCTTGCGCACGTTGAAACATTTTCCTATGGATTACAATCACTTTCATCAGATAAAGCACCACTTTCAGGATGATTTTAAATAATCTGCCATGTTTCTGTTATCCTCACAACTGTACCCTTACACAATCTATCTCTACCTAGAAAACGTATTTCAGATGGCTAGAAGAGTACAGTCTGAGCCGGTCACGGTGGCTGACGCCTGTAATCCCAGCACTCTGGGAGGGCGGGGCGGATGGATCACGAGGTCAGGAGATTGAGACCATTGTGGCTAATATGGTGAAACCCCTTCTCTACTAAAAATACAAAAAATTAGCCAGGCGTGGTGGCAGGCACCTGTAATCCCAGCTACTCGGGAGGCTGAGGCAGGGGAATCACTTGAACCTGGGAGGCGGAGGTTGCAGTGAGCCAAGATCACGTCATTGCACTCCAGCCTGGGTGACACAGCGAGACTCCATCTCAGAAAAACAAAAACAAAAACAAAAAAACTGTACAGTCTGATCCAAACTGTTGCTGTATTGATTCCTCCTCTTGCTTACTGCCTGCTGACTTCTGAGATGATAGTTTCCTTCCCCATTCTCAGTACATCCCTAATTCATCCTTCATTGAGCATCTTTTATCATAAAGCTGTATTCTCTTTGTATTAATATCCTTACCGTGTTTCACAGGGCAGAAACAGCTGGGCTTATAAACAGGCATAGTCCTTTTGAAGGATGTGGTTGATCCTACAACAACACACTTTCCTAAGGATGACAACAACTCACCCCACCCCTAGAATGGCTGGTATGAACCGAGTTTCCACACAGTCTAGCTGGCAATGGGGTCAGGAGACGTTTTGCTACTTCACATCTTTTGGTCACTGGTAAATATTAAGGTACTTTGTTTTCTGTTTTGTGAACTCTCTCTCGCTCTCTCTCACGATATGTCTTCTGACCGTTTGTTTCTATTTCTGCATTTACTGGGTCTAAATACTGTACAAAGGTTAAAAACAACACTCCAATGGGCGTTTCCCAAGAGGGTGGGGTACAGTTTCTGAACTCACTTGTAGGTGTGTATTTCTTTCATATCCAATTTCCCATTTTCCTCTGCCTCTGATACCTGCCTCTCCTTTTCTGCATGCTCACATTCTTTCACGCTTAGTTTCCTCAGATTAGAAGGGAGAGAAATGCACACACATGATCCACCAGCCCGTGTGGGATTCCCTCTGCCCTTCTGGCATCTGAAGGCTGTGATTCAAAGATTCCCCCCTGCAACCTTCCCACAAATGAACCAACTGATTCTCACAACCGAAGGGAGAATTGACACCTCCCATTGAGGGACAAAAAAAAGTCACACTCTGGCCTGCTGGCAAGTCACCTGTCATTTCCAGCTCATCTTCATAGTTCCATAGTTAGTCCTATTCTTTAGTAAATATAAAGACTATTAAAAGCTTCTATGAGGTGCACTATGTGTGTCTCTGGGGTCAGTCTTGTGCTTGACACAGCGAAAGCTCATTTTAGTTCAGTGTGAAAAACCAGACCTCACCAATTCATCACAACTAACTCCATCGGAAGCAGAGGATTGCTCCTCATCTGACTCCTCCTGTGTGAGACCTGATTCTCAGTCAGAGGCTGATGCCGGAACTGAGACCATCAGCCATAGAGAGATCCTTCCAGAATAACCCCGCAGTTCACTACTGCACTTTGCCATGATTCAGGACTGGAACTCTTGTCATCAACTTTAAAGATCCTGGTTGAGAGAAAAGGCAATCTGAATGCTGGGCGCATCTATTGAATTAGAAATGATCGGAATGGCTCCTAAGTCAGGGTGTTATGTCCTGAAAATAGGTGACAACGGCAAACCATCCACCCTGGTGTTGACTGACTTTAACAAGGTTCAGTTCACAGAGATTGAGGGCAGAAAAAGGAAACGGCCTAAAAAGGGTAAGTTTGCTGTGTTGCCCTCACACCACTTGATTCATGGTCCTGATCCTAAGGATCTCACCTGATACTTGGCTTTATAGGAAGGATGTGTAAAATTCCCAGAACGCTAGGAAACAGGGGCGAAAACACTTCAAAGAGAAAGTTAATGAACTTGTTTCTGACCACAAGGCATCCTTCAGCACATGCTGTCTGGAGTGGCCTCAAACAAGGAGTGTGTGGTGTGGTGCTGAGAATGCAATGGGAGCAGGGTCCTGTCCCCACGCTAAAGAAGCTCACAGCTTAATGCAAATGAGAAGCCAGTGAGGACATCACTACTCCTGCTGTGCACTTGGGAACTAGAAACACAAAACCTGACTCTGGAGGGAAGCTAAGGAAGCATTCTACTCTTGAGTTGACATAAGTGCATCTGAAGCTTCTGATCTCCAATGAGAACAATGGGGGACACCAAACAGAATATAAAACCCATGATTGAATACATCAAATTGCTAACATGGCAGTAAACAGACATGAGGTGAAGATGGAGAAGAAGGAAACCCAGGACGAAAGTCAGCCTCGCATTTGGAACCCATTTCCCTGAGTTTCATTGCTGAATTCCAGAAGGAACTACTGAGATGCAAAGAAGCACAGCAGCTTTTGCACACATGCGTGGGATTAGATGGAAAACAAGTGGATTGAGGGTCTGCCAATGAAAGCGACCCATACTGAAGTCCGCTGGCTCTGGTTGAGACCCAGAAGAGTCATGCATCAGAATAAAGGTGGACAGGAAATACCCTGGCCTTTGTAGGGACTGAGCCTGCACCGACGACTTCAATTGCAGCTTGTATGGAGGACCCCTGACCATCCCCCAGAAGTAGACTCCCATCTCTTCTGCAGCAAGATAACATGCTACTAGGCCTCAATTCATTGCTAAACATTTTTTAACAAGTATCTCACATTTAACAAAAAAAGATCAGTCATATGGCAGCAAAATACAATGTCATATGACCAAAACATGAAAGACTGTGAAAATGAATCTGGAGGTGACCCAAGCATTGAATTCAACAATCCAGGCTGGGTGCGGTGGCTCACACTGGGAGGCTGAGGTAGGCAGATCACCTGAGGTCAGGAGTTCAAGACTAGCCTGGCCAACATGGTGAACCCCTGTCTCTACTAAAAATACAAAAATTGGGCCGGGCACGGTGGCTCACGCCTGTAATCCCAGCACATTGGGAGGCCGAGGTGTGCGGATCATGTCAGGAGTTCTAGACCAGCTTGGCCAATATGGTGAAACCCCGCCTCTACTAAAAATACAAAAATTATCCGGGCATGGTGGCATATGCCTGTAGTCCCAGCTACTCAAGAGGCTGAGGGATAAGAATCGCTTGAACCTGGGAGGTGGAGGTTGCAGTGAGCCAAGATCATGCCACTGCACTCTAGCCTGGGTGACAGAGTGAGACTCTGTCTCAAAAAAAAAAAAAAAAAAAAAAATTGGTCAAATGTGGTGGCACACACCTGTAATCCAAGCTACTCGGGAAGCTGAGGCAGAATTGCTTCAAACTGGGAGGCAGAGGTTGCAGTGAGCCAAGATTGCACCATAGCACTCCAGCCTGGGCGACAGAGCGAGACTCTATCGCAAAATTAAAAAAAAAAAAAAAAAAAAAAAAGGCTGGCTGTGGTGGCTCACGCCTCTAATCCCAGCACTTTGGGAGGCTGAGGCAGGTGGATTACCTGAGGTCAGAAGTTCGAGACCAGCCTGGACAACATGGTGAAACCCCATCTCTAGTAAAAATACAAAAATTAGCTGGGCGTGGTGGTGGGCACCTGTAATCCCAGCTACTTGGGAGGCTGAGGCAGGAGAATTGCTTGAACCCAAAAGGCAGTGAGCTGAGATTGTGCCATTGCACTACAGCCTGGGCAACAACAGCAAAGCTCCATCTCAGGAAAAAAAAAAAAAAAAAAAGAGAAAGGAAAACCAATGCCAGTACTAGCAACTCCTCTTCCTCCGAAAAAATGAAAACAAGAATGTAGGAAGGGAAAGGAATTATACAGCTTAAACTAATGAAGCAGAAAGGACAAACTCAATTTTGAACCCACTGAATTTGCCACAAATATTGTAGAAAATATTCTCAAGGACTTTACAGTTGTCTACTTTGATTGGCACATGGTTCATACAACAGTATTTGTGTCAAGGCACATCTTACTGTTTTCTGGCGGTCTTCCTCTTTCCATTGATTTTGTCATGATGGTTGATTTTCGTTGTCACCTTCCTCTTACGGATTTTAGCTCTAACTTTTGTTTCCACATGTCTCCGTAGAGTAATGACGTCTTTCAGGACAATTTTATTTCCTCGAAAGGAAGAAACTCTTTTCTTTGTGTGCATACAAATGGACCTCAGCCCTTGGTGAGAGTGAGGAGAGGAGAAGGTGAGAAACCTGAGGGCAAGAAGCTGTTCTTTCCCTTTCCAGGGCAAACTCATTTCCACACTATGCGGATTCCAACAGAGCCATACCTTCCTGTCTACGGCGGTTGGACCTCCAGGCTCTCTGCTGTACATCCGTGGATCCATCATGTCCATTTCGAGACCAGAAGATAGTCTTCAGGAGAGACACCTAGGAAATAATAATATAAGAATGACGGCTGGGCACGGTGGCTCATGCGTATAATCCCAGTACTTCGGGAGGCCGAGGCAGGTGGATCACGGGGTCAGGAGTTCAAGACCAGCCTGGCCAAGATGGTGAAACCCCGTCTCTACTAAAAATACAAAAATTAGCCGGGCATGGCAGCGGGCGCCTGTAATCCAAGCTACTCGGGAGGCTGAGGCAGAGAACCGTTTGAAGCTGGGAGGCGGAGGTTGCAGTGAGCCGAGATCACACCACTGCACTCCAGCCTGAGCGACAGAATGAGACTCTGTCACATACACACACACACACACAAGAATGACATGAGGCTGGCACGGTGGCTCACTCCTGTAATCCCAGCACTTTGGGAGGCCGAGGCAGGCGGATCACCTGAGGTCGGGAGTTTGAGACCAGCCTCACCAACATGGAGAAACGCTGTCTCTGCTAAAAATACAAAATTAGCCAGGCATGGTGGTGCATGCCTGTAATCCCAGCTAGTCGGGAGGCTGAGGCAGGAGAATCACTTGAACCCAGCAGGAAAAGCTTGTGGTGAGCTGAGATTGTGCCATTGCACTCCAACCTGGGCAACAAAATTGAAACTCTGTCTCAAAAAAAAAAAAAAAAAAAAAAAAAAAAAATAGGCCAGATGCGGTAGCTCACGCCTGTAATCCCAGCACTTTGGGAGGCCGAGGCGGGTGAATCACAAGGTCAAGAGATGGAGACCATCCTGGGCAACATGGTGAAACCCCGTCTCTACTAAAAATACAAAAATTAGCTGAGCATGGTGATGCACGCCTGTAGTCCCAGCTACTCGGGAGGCTGAGGCAGGAGAACTGCTTGAACCCAGGAGGCAGAGGTTGCAGTGAGCCAAGATCCCACCACTGCACTCCAGCCTGGTGACAGAGTGAGACTTCGTCTCAAAAAAAAAAAAAAAAAAAAAAATGACATGAATATACTTCACACAACTGAACTGTACACTTCAACACGGTTAGATGGTAATTATCATCTTATAAGTATTTTACCACAGGTTAACATGTTTCACAACTTGAAAAGGAAGTAATTACCTTCAGCTCTCTGAGTTCTAGAATTTGTAACATTTCATCCCCTGCTCCTTCCTGATCTGCACTGGAGCATCTTCCTTCTGTCCCTGCTCTACTCAGAGTTCACTTTCCCTTCCCTCACATCAGCTTCATTGAGGCTGGTTTGAACTTAACGCAAAACATTCTCACTAATGACTGAATTCCCACCAAGATTTCCATATTATCACAGTATGCTTTTAATCTTCTAAGATATTAAATATTTCTTCTCATCATAGCTAAAATGCAATGCAAATCCCATCTCAGATGTGGGTCAGATACCTATGAATCTCCTGAGGTGGTCATTGAAATGACTTTTTTCTTGAGACAGAGTGTCACTCTCAACCGTGCTGAAGTGCAGTGGCGCTACCTTGGCTCACGGCAACCTCCACCTCCCAGATTCAAGCGATTCTTGTGCCTCAGCCTCCCAAGTAGCTGGGATTACAGGTGCCTGCTACCATGCCTGGCTAATTTTTGTCTTTTTAGTAGAGATGGGGTGTCACCATGTTGGCCCATCTGGTCTTGAACTCCTGACCTCAAATGATCCATCTGCTTCAGCCTCCCAAAGTGCTGGGATTACAGGCATGAGCCACCACACCTGGCCTGAAATAATATCTTTCAAATTCTTTGTAGAATTTGTTTTTTCCTGATTTCTGCACATAGGATAAAAAAAAAATCATGTACTAGGATTTCGAGAGAAGCAATGGGTAATCTAAAAAGATGAAAAGAGCAACCACGTCAATCCCACAGCTACTGCTAGATTTCATAGGAAAGGTAGCTGGCCCAGTTTGGAGCTAGGGGAAATGTCAAACACATGAAGAAATGAGAAGCCAAGAAATGCCATCACGCATGAATGCTTCATGGCACCCATGATGTCCCTGCTAAGGAGGTAATGGTATAGATGACTAGATGACAAGGACAAAGATGAGAGGTGCGAAGTTGTCCAAGTCCAACAGCTCAACTGAACTTTCCTAAGTGGAATTGTTAAAAAGTGGTAAATTTAAAAACTTCCCCTGGCTCACGTGGTGGCTCACGCTTGTAATCCCAGCACTTTGGGAGGCTGAGGTTGGTGGATCATTTGAGGTCGGGTTTTGAGACTAGCCTGGCCAACATGGTAAAACCCCGACTCTACTAAAAATACAAAAATTAGCTGGGCATGGTGGTGGGCACCTGCAATCCCAGCTACTTGAGAGGCTGAGGCAGGGGAATCACTTGAAGCCAGGAGGTGGAGGTTGCAGTGAGCCGAGGTCACACCATTATACTCCAGCCTGGGCAACAGAAGGAGACTCGTCTTCGGGGTGAGAAAAGAAAAAAAAAAAAGAAAAAAGCTTCCTCCAATTTATACCGAAAATTCTCTGTTCAGGACTAAGTGGCATAGAGAATGTTAAATGTGCCTAGATATCTTCATAACTCATATATTTTCTGTTTTCTACATATCTTGAAAGGCAGTGCCAAATGACGTGTAATTATCTAGGTGGTAAAACTGAAACATACTTCCTCTTCCCTTGAATATAAAAAAGCATTGTGGTATTAGTACTTTTATCTTGGATCATTGTTCAGAAGGAGGTTCAGCCCCCAGACAACCACATTTTTACTGTCATGAATGGCAAGACAAAATGTAGAGCTCAACTTACCCAAAGGAAAAAAGGCTCAAAAGACAAATTATGGCACAACTTAGCAGCCAAATTCTTACCAAGTACAGACTTTTGACATACTGATCTCTCTCCAGTTCCAAGTCGGAACATGCACTTTGAATGATGTCATTCAAAATTACCCTGCCCAGACACACTTTTCATTGATTCTCTTGGAGGGCAGTTCTAAGAGTCTCTGGGGCTTTCTCTGCATCATGAGACGCAGTGCAGTTCTGCCCTTCACCTTCCGGCAGTTTGTCACCTCGTCCCTATGACCTCACAGGAACTTTGTCTCAGGCCAATTGTTTGTTCCTTGGCCTCTTTCATTTCCCCTAAAAATCATTTGCTGCCCCTCTAAATGGCCTACATCTCCATCTATCTCCCTCTCCCCTCAGAAGAGGGTGCTCTTTAAGCATCAGCCATCCGGCCCTTCTAGCAGTCTCATTTTTCAGCTGGTTCCCATGTTTATGCCTGTTCTATGTTTTTCTTTTCCTGTTAAGCTGTCTGTTGTCAGCTCATTTCTGCAGTGAATCTTCAGAGAGGAGATTGGAAGCTTTCCTTCCACCCATACGATAGAACTATAAAGCAGAAGAGTTTAGAAAGAATTTCCTATTTAAGTGACGAAACCTCATACTCCATTTGTGATAAATAGCACAAAGGTTAAAAAAACTTATTTTTGACCAAAAGCTCTGTTGACATTCTATTAAACAAACACCGACCTATTTAATTTTCATAATGCAAATGGCAGATGTTTTCATAATTCTTATACTAATAAATCATTTCCCTGATTTTTTGGGTAAAACCACATATTCATAATGAAGTCCAGAAATGTGAATTGTTTTATATAATTTATTCTTATTTGTGATTACAAGTATACCTCTACAGAAAGTTAGTATACTCACCCAAAGGTAAACTATCCAGAGGGTAATGACAACTTTATAACTTGTCGGAAATGCAATAATGACATGTAACCAAGGACTTCCACCAAAGTCAGTCCCACGATGATGATGGTCAGCCAGAGTATTGATAACCTGGAATAATAATAGTTGAAATAATGAAAAGGTCAATGACACTGACAATATTTCACTCAGAAAGAATCATCCTTAGAAACCGTCAACCTCCTCCAAAAGGTAACCACATCCCTCAGATATCACCGTGGGATTCCACTGCTACAAAAAAGAACAGAAGTTAGAAGTCACATGTTTTTCAGATGGCTGGTAGTGTTTTCAGGCATTGCAAATGTGGGGTGTTGTCTTTCTTGGTATAAAGCAGGGATATCCAATCTTTTGACTTCCCTGCCTATATTAAAAGAAGCAAAGTTGTCTTGAGCCACACATAACATACACTAACACTAACAATAGCTGATGATCTAAAAAAAACCTCTTTTTTTTTTTTGAGACAGAGTTCCGCTCCACTCAGTCGCCCAGGCTGGAGTGCAGTGGTGCAATCTCGGCTCACTGCAACCTCCAGCTCCTGGGCTCAAGCCATTCTCCTGCCTCAGCCTCCCGAGTAGCTGAGATTACAGGTCTCTGCCACCATGCCCGACTCATTTTTGTATTTTTAGTAGAGATGAGGTTTCACCATGTTGGCCAGTCTGGCCTTGAACTCCTGACAGGCGATCTGCCTGCCTCGGCCTCCCAAAGTGCTGGGATTACAGGTGTGAGCCACCGTGCCCAGCCATTTTTTTGTTTTTGTTTTTGTTTGTTGTTTTTGAGATGGGGTCTCACTCTGTCACCCAGGCTGGAGTGCAGTGGTGTGCTCCCGGCTCACTGCAACCTCTGCCTCTCAGGTTCAAGTGATTCTCCTGCCTCAGCCTCCTGAGTAGCTGGGAGTACAGGTGCCTGACAGTGCACTCAGCAAATTTTTGTATTTTTTGTGGAGATGGGGTTTTGCCATGTTGGTCAGGGTGGTCTCGAACTCCTGACCTCAGGTAATCTGCCCGCCTCAGCCTCCCAAAGTGCTGGGATTACACGCATGAGCCACTGTACCTGGCCAAAATCTCCTAATGTTTTAAGAAAGTTTACAAATTTGTGTTGAACTGCATTCAAAACTGTCCTGGGCCACATGCAGCCCGTCACTCATGGGTAAGACAAGCTAAGTATAAAGTAATTATCTTATCTTTTCTTTTCTTTTTGTTTTGAGACAAAGTTTTGCTCTGTCACCCAGGCTAGATTGCAGTGGCATGATCTCAACTCACTGCAACCTCCGCCTCCCGGGTTCAAGCGATTCTCCTGCCTCAGCTACTGAGTAACTGGGATTACAGGCGCCTGCCACCACGCTCGGCTAATTTTTGTATTTTTAGTAGAAACAGGGTTTCACCATCTTGGCCAGGCTGGTCTCCAACTCCTGACCTCATGATCCACCTGCCTTGGCCTCCCAAAGTGCTGGGAATACAGGTGTGAGCCACTGCACCTGGCCAGTAGTTATCTTTTCTTTAAAGTTATTTACTTGTTTTTTAAATTGATGTATAACATTGGATGCATTTATTATATATCACATGGTAAAAGAATCCCTCTAAATAATACTTCTCTCTTGGATTATATGAATCTTTGTCATTTAAATCTCAGCATAAGTAAAAAAAAAAAAAAATACAATGAAGAGATTACTTCATTCACAAATAAGTATCAAATTTTAGTGCTTAAAAATTAACAAGGTGGGCTGGGCGTGGTGGCTCACGCCTGCAATCCCAGCACTTTGGGAAGCCGAGGTGGGTGGACCACGAGATCAGGAGATTGAGACCATCCTAGCTAACACGGTGAAACCCGTCTCTACTAAAAATACAAAAAATTAGCAGGGCATGGTGGCACATGCCTATAGTTCCAGCTACTTGGGAGGCTGAGGCAGAAGAATCACTTGAACCCGGGAGGCAGAGGTTGCAGTGAGCCGAGATCGCACCACTGCACTTCAGCCTGGGTGACAGAGCGAGACTCTGTCTCAAAAAAAAAAAAAAAAAAAAAAAAAAAAAAAAAAAAAAAAATTATCAAGGTGGAGATCATGAAAATGGCATGAATAGTGTGGGATTTCTCTAAGATTGTTGATATTAATTCCATTAGACTCTTATGTGAGTGAAGACGAAGACTTCCCCTGAGTAAGTTCAGACAGCTTGTGATAACATTTCTACGTCGATTCCTCAGGATTTAACTATATATTCTTGAAAACATCTCAATTTTAAATGTTTCTTTCAAGATGGTGAATTAAACAGAGATAGCCCTTCAACAGGTTGAACTCAGCATATGCTGAGTCTGAAATGGAAATGATGAAGTTAGAGAACCATACAACAATGGTAATGATTTCAGAAACATGGTGTTGAGCAGAACAAAGCAGACACAAAAGAGTACCTATGGCATGGCATGCATCTGTATACGCGAAATTCCAGAATAAGCAAGCTAACCTATGATAAGAAAGAGACTGGCTGGGAAGACTGAGAGTTCACTTTCTGGGGTGACATAATAGTGTAGATCTTGGCTGGGCATGGTGGTTCACGCCTGTAATCCCAACGCTTTGGGAGGCCGAGGCGGGCGGATCACCTGAGGTCGGGAGTTCAAAACCAGCCTGACCAACATGGAGAAACCCTATCTCTACTAAAAATACAAAATTAGCTGGGAGTGGTGCCACATGTCTGTAATCCCAGCCACTCGGGAGGCTGAGGCAGGAGAATCGCTCGAACCTGGGAAGCAGAGGTTGCGGTGAGCTGATATTGCCCCATTGCACTCCAGCCTGGGCAACAAGGGAGAAACTGTCTCAAAATAAATAAATAAATAAATAAAATAATGTAGATCTTGAAAGGGGGTTGGTTTATGCTGGTGTATGTACTTTCCAAAGTTAGTAAACTTACACTTAAGGTTATATATTTTGGCCAGGCGCGGTGGCTCACGCCTGTAATCCCAGCACTGGGAGGCTGAGGCAGGCAGATCACGAGGTCAAGAGATGGAGACTATCCTGGCGAACATGGTGAAACCCCATCTCTACTAAAAACACAAAAATTAGCCAGGCGTGGTGGTCTACTAAAAATACAAAAATTAGCCAGGCGTTGTAATCTGAGCTACTCAGGAGGCTGAGGCAGGACAATTGCTTGAACCCCAGAAGCGGAGGTTGCAGTGAGCCGAGATCTTGCCACTGCACTCCAGCCTGGGCGACAGAGTGAGACTCTGTCTAAAAAAAAAAAAAAAAAAAAAAAAGTCATCAAACCAGATGACACAAATCAAATGACATTTCACTTTGTTTTGGTCCATTTTCTTTGTTAAAAACAAGAGTGCAGCGGGGCCATCTCGGCTCACTGCAACGTCCAGCTCCTGGGCCCAAGCGATCCTCCCACCTCAGCCTCTCCAGTAACTGGGATAACAGGTACGCACCACCAGGCCCGACTAATCTTTATTGGAATTTTTTGTAGAGATGGGGTTTCGCTATGATGCCCTGGCTAGTCTTCAACTCCTGGACTCAAGTGATCTGCCCACCTCGGCCCCCTAAAGTGCTGGGATTACAGGCCTGAGCTGTGTAATTTCATGCCACGTGATACAGCCCAGTAAAAAGGAAGAAACCCCACGGGTCCAGCGTCTACTCACAGAGATGCACTGATGGCTGATAAATTCCAGTAGGAGCCCAAAGAGGAGCCAAAAGAGCATCCACCGCACCCGCATGTCCTGGTCCTTTCAGGGCGCCCTGAGGCGGCCAGGACAGAGGTGGAGGTGGCTTAGGGCAGGGGGGAGGGAAGGGGACGGGGACCGGGGCCGGATCTGAGTTGGGGAGGGGAGGGGGAGGGGAGGGGGAGAGGAGGGGGAGGGGAAGGGGAGGGGAAGGGGGGAAGTAAGGGAAGGGAAAGGAGGAGAAGGGGGCTGTTGGGCACCTGGAGGAGGTGGAGGAGGAGGAGGAGAAGAAGAAAGGGGTCTGGGAAAGGATCCGGTTCAAATTAAGTTCTCAAGCGCTGGTGGAAGGTTTAGCTACAGGTCACGGAGAAGATCAGGGAAGCAACAGGACACGCGGGGCAAGGGAGCGTGAGGCTTAGGAGCAATCAGAGGGAGACAAAAAGGTTCTGCTATCCACCAAACCTTCTTCGGTCTGGGCCCTCCCTTACCAACCCTGGGGCTTTATACTCCCTCTCCACCAATCCCTGATGACCCCGGTGGTGCCTCACAATGGACAGTGCCTCACAATGGACAATGCCAAGTAGCGCCCGCATCATTCCAATGACCCCTCCCCCATCTCAGTCTCCCACACTCCTCCCAAAGACAGGTCCTCTCTGGAACCTTCACAAACCTGATTTCTGGTCCTCCCCAACCAGCTCCCTGTCCCTGCTTCTGGGCGCTCCTTCCTTCCTGAGCTCCCAGGGTTCCTCAAGGTCACTTATGGCGACAAAACATAAAAAACAAATGATGGCAGGATGGCAGGAAGAACCTCATACCCAAGCAGAGTGCCAGGTTTTACAGCCTCCGCTCAGCCATTCATATCCTAAGCAACAAAACATCAGCAGGGTGCGGAAGGTCCCGATAGTAAACCATCTCCATCACATCCATGTAGCCATCCGTCCATCAACCTGTATCTCGGGAACAAATGTAGATACATTCATTTTAAGCATGCCTGGTACATTTACAAAAATTAACCTGACTTATTTTGTTCCAGCAAATCTCAATATATTTGAGAGCAATCAAATCACACAGCATGTTTCTGATCATATAACTGTGCTAGAAGTCAATGATTAAAAGCTAATTCAAAATTATTATTTGCTTGGAAATTCAAAGTGCCCTTATAAGACATAAACATAAGAAAGAATCCAAAATGAAACAAGATTGCCTTTCAACTCAATGATGAGATCATAACATGGCAATAAAATGTCTCCCTCTGGCCTGGGAATTCCTCTTTGTGGCACAAGGTTGTGTGATCTCAAATCACCGCTAACCCACCTAGACATTTTAACATCCGAAACCGAGTGATGACGTCCTTATCTATATCATCTTACTGCCTGTGTGTGTGGACTTTAAATTCTGAACCCAAATGAGGGGGAGAAAACCAAGTTGACTTTCATGACTGAGCTCTCAGGGACGTCCAAGGAATCTGTGCATTTCAAGAAACAAAGTTCATCAGCTTCTCTCCTAAGGTATTTGCCCACAATACCCAGAGGGCTTGGCAGCATCATGTGTGATGGGTGGGGAGCTCCAAGCAGGTGGGCAGGACCCAGGGGCCTGGTGACCAGGACAGACCCCCACTGTCCATCACCTTTCCTGGCCCTGTCCTCTGCTAAACTTCCCACAGGCCTTCTGCCCGATCACACAGAGTATGCCCAAACTCTCTCAGGCCTCTGGCAGCTGAAAACCACTGCTTTAAATCCCTTTACCATTTACTATGACATAAGGTTATTGTAAACAGGAAATATTCTATTGATGCTACAAATGGAAAGCCAATGCCTTTACCATAAATAGAAAAACAACCCTAAGAAGCAAGCAAAACAAAAACAAAACAGGGGCTGGGTGTGGTGGCTCACGCCTGTAATCCCAGCACTTTGGGAGGCCGAGGTGGGCGGATCACAAGGTCAGGAGTTCCAGACCAGCCTGGCCAATATGGTGAAACCCTGTCTCTAATAAAATACAAAAATTAGCCGGGTGTGGTGGTGGGCGCCTGTAGTCCCACCTACTTGGGAGGCTGAGGCAGGAGAATAGTTTGAACCCGGGAGGCAGAGTCTGCAGTGAGCCGAGATTGCACCACTGCACTCCAGCCTAGGCGACAGAGCGAGACTCTGTCTCAAAAACAGCAACAACTACAAACAAACAAAAAACAGGGTTAACAAAAGTATGGAATTCAATTCTTTTTATATGCTGCAGCCATGTTCCTGCCCTAGATTTGGCTGGGCATGGTGGCTCACGCCTGTAATCCCAGCACTTTGGGAGGCTGAGGCAGGCGGATCACGAGGTTAGGAGTTCGAGACCAGCCTGACCAACATGGTGAAACCCCGTCTCTACTAAAAATACAAAAATTAGCCAGGCATGGTGGCACACGCCTGTAATCCCAGCTACTCAGGAGGCTGAGGCAGGACAATCCCTTGGACCCGGGAGGCGGAGGTTGCAGTGAGCCGAGATCGTACCATTGCACTCCAGCCTGGGTGACAGAATGGAATGAGACTCTGTCTCAAAAAAAAAAAAAAAAAAAAGCAGCCCTAGATTTCGGTTGTGGTGGTTGTAAAAGGAGAGACCAAGTAAGTGGGGGTTGAAGTCAGATTAGAGCAAAAGTGAATGGCAGAGAGTACTATAATGTCCATGAAGGGCTGCTAGAGTCACCGTGATCATAGCCCAAGCAGAGATAGGGAAAGGAAGATGTGAGCAGAGTTTGGGGTCTCGAACAATGGAGGTTATTCGTGCAGCCCAGGAAAGGCTCCCCAAAGCCAGGATCAACCTCCCTTGGAGGCGGTCCCTCATGGAGGCATGGTCAGGCACCTTAGATTTGAGACCAGCTATGTTGCTGCTGACCAGCTGTGTGACCCTGGGCTGGTTTCCTTCCACACAATGGGAGTGCCAATGGCTGCATGCATGCAAAGACCGTCTGAGGATAGGAGGAAGCAATCTGTTGAGCACCCGTGTACCTGAGTGTCATCACCTCCCAAGGGCATCCTTCGTTCCAGAGCTGGCACCTTGGAAGGCCCTTGGTCACTGAAGGCAGTGATGATGGTAACAGCAGTAAATCATCATTTACGGCTGATGAGGGAAGGCCAGGGGTAGGGCTCCTAGGTCCTGGATAAGAATGAGGGTCTGGGCACTCCTGGGGACAGCTGAGTGGTAGGACTCCTGGGTCCCCAGGGGGCAGGTCCATCTTCAGTGGCATTGGGCCTAGGCTGGGATGCTGAGTTATCCACTGGAGCATCAGCAGTACAGGCAGGCACAGAGGCAGTGGATCCATCGGAGGTGGCAGGTGTAGGATCGTCTGGTGAGCAAGTAGAGTCACCAAATCTGGCTGACCACTACCCCCACTACCCCCACTATCCCCACAGACGATGCCCTGTCCCTTGCCTCATGCTCCGGCAGGGTACAGGCTCGCACCTGGGGCCTCAAGGAGCATCTCTCTAAGACCTCTGTGTCCTGGTCATTGAATGGGCACTTGAGTCACCCAGGGCCATTGGAACAAAGAGGAAGAATCAGGCCCCACGATGTTTTGGGAGAGTGTTTAGCACAGGAAAATGCGCAGAATACACGCACGACACGGGGGCACTGTCAGTGTGGGAGCAATGGTTTACAACCTCCAGCCCTAATCTGAGCACTCTCACCTGTGCAATCTGAAAGGAACAGGAGACTTGCAGGAAAGACAGTGCCTGGATTTAACTTAAAGGAACTAAAAATGTTGGAATTTTTACTCTTGATATCCTTCCAAATCAACTCTCTCAATGTTCCCATCCTCAAAACTATCATATGGGGTAACTGAGGCAGTCAGAGATTTACTGACTCAATGTCACTCAATTGATTCTGAGTTCACTGCTGATTACATCCGACCAAACTGCTTTTTCTGAAGTCTACTCCGTTTAATCATGCTGGTGATGATTTTGTGCGGCTCTGGGACAAACTCCACCTGGCTGAAGATAAAGCAAATCTGCGGTGACTTAGTCCTCCTGTCATTTCCCATCAGTTCCCCACTCTCCTCCTCTGCCCCTCCACAGTCTCCCATGCAGGCTGACACCATATGACGGCCTTAATGGAGTCCACCGAGTATTTCAGGTTCTCTCCTGGGCCACTTGAAAGTGGATGTACCCATGGGATTTGCTTTGACCCAGGAGATGTGCGTGGAAGTGAAGCGTGTCACCTCGAGGCAAAAGAGTTGGGAGCCATTGAGACGGGCCACTCTCTCCTTCATCTCTTAGAGCAGCTGACAGCTCCCATATGGAGGCTGCTCCTTTATTCTCGTGGCAGGATGAGGGCATGTGGGGCACAGGGCACAGGAGAGCCATGGAGGATGTGCAGCATGGGCAGGAAAAGAGCCTTCAGTGGTGTACATTTCCATAGTTTGGGGCTGTTTCTTACCTACAGTGATACCTAGCCCATCCTAGCAGGCATGCACCATCTACTCCACACTCTGTGATGCAGACTAGCCTGCCGTCAGAACACGAACTGGTGGTCAGACACAGGTAGGTTTCAGTTCCAGCTCTGCCTCTTATTGACTGCAACCTCAGGCTTAACTTTCAGTCTCTGAGCCTCAGTTTCAACTCTGTAAAATGAGGTGGCTATACCATCTCAGGTTGCAGAGAGAATTAAATGAAATATAAGTGCATGTAGAGCATTGAACCCAGGGCCTGGCACACACAGTGAGTACACAATGTTAGCCAGGTAGCTTCATAATGCATACTGATTGTCAATATTCAGACAATGCAGTAAAGTGTTACCAAAAATAAAAGTAAACTTATTTGCATATGTATTCTTTCAATCTTTATTTTTAAACAGGGTAAAACTATGCATATTCTTTCATAGCCAGTGTTTTTCTCTTCATAGTATATTGTTAAAATAATTTTACTTGGACCGGGTGCAGCGGCTCACACCTATAGTCCCAGCACTTTGGGAGGCCGCGGTGGGCAGATCACGAGGTCAGGAGTTGACACGAGCCTGGCCAATATGGTGAAACCCCATCTCTACTAAGAATACAAAAATTAGCTGGGCATGGTGGCACACACCTGTAGTCCCAGCTACTCAGAGGCTGAGGCAGAGGAATTGCTTGAACCCGGGAGACAGAGGTTGCAGTGAGCCAAGATTGTGCCATTGCACTCCAGCCTGGGGGACAGAGTGAAACTCTGTCTCAAAAAATATGTGTGTGTGTGTGTGTGTGTGTGTGTGTGTGTGTGTGTGTGTGTGTGTGTGTGTATCTATATAAATCTCAAAAATAAAAGATCATTTTTGAGATTATCATTTTAAAAGACAAGATAATGTTCAACTTAATGACTAATTTAATTATTACTATTGGACTTTTTGTAGACTGCACAGAGCATTCAAAACAAATGAAGGAGAATAAAAAATATGTATTACATGTTATAAAATAAATGTGATGTGGTTAACTCTTTTATTCAAAGTTATAGAACATACATATGTACTATAGAATGTATTATTATGAGTCATGTTAAAAAGTAGTTTAGAAGCTGTTGATTTGAATTTCCTTTTCAAATTTTGCAGGATAATTTTTTTTTTTTTTTTTTGACAGAGTCTCGCTCTGTCGCACAGTCTGGAGTGCAATGGCGTGATCTCGGCCCACTAAAACCCCCACCTCCTGAATCTAAGCAATTCTCCTGTCTCAGCCTCCTGAGTAGCTGGGACTACAGGCTCACACCACCATGCCCGGCTAATTTTTGTATTTTTAGTAGGGACGAGGTTTTGCCATATTGGTCAGGCTGGTCTCAAAGTCCTGGCCTCCGGTGATCCACCAGCCTCAGCCTCCCAAAATGCTGGGATTAGAGGCATGAGTCACCATGCCCAGCCTAAACTTGGCAAGATAATAAATCACCTTTTTAAGTGTCGTTGGGCACTTGTCTGGTTGTTTTTCTTTAGGTTACCATGCCAGCAATGATTCCTTTTGAGTTTCTGACAGAAGATAGTGGTTTTCATCCAAATAAGTCAACTACTCTACCCCATCCCTAAGCCACTTGTATGGAAAGAAAAAGAGGAAGAAGCCAGTACTGTGACTGCGTAAGCTTCCCCCAGCATCACCGGCTATGAGATGTGTGGCAGCTGAGACCCGGGAACTGCTCAAGGGCACCAGGCCCCATCTGTCTGCACTCACTCACCTTCCTCAGGTACTCGCATGGGCATGTCACTGACTTTACATGCTGCTGCAGCTCCTTGGTGAGCTGGCCCTGGTCATGGGACAGGAACTGTGGGGTCAGGACAATAGAGAGCTTCACCATTTGCAGAATGAGAACAGGGGCTCATGATGAGTGCCAACCTATTAGATAATTTAAAAAAAAAAGTGTTGAATGAGTGGAAAAACAAGGTGATGTTTGAGTCTATAGTGGTCAAGGGCTTCAGAAAAGGACAGAACCAAGTTCAAATTCCTGTACTTTGAATTTCTACTTCATGCCATGCAAAATTACTTTACCCCTTTTAACCTCAGTTTTCTTCTGTGTGAAACAGGAACAATAGTTTCATTCGTCATTCAGTTTCTCTCAAGATTTCACGAGATCATACCTATAAAACATCCAAGTCATTTAAATGTATCATCATTTCTGTCATAATTAGTGGGATCCATTTCACTATTATTGGATATACAGTTCTGTGCCTGAAACCTACAAAAAAACAAAATGTTAAGTCTAAAAAGCATTAGTGATTTCTCATTTTTATATTACTAATTATAACCCTATTTAATCACACAAGGCCTTGTCCGCGGCAGGTGCTCAATAAACACTTGTCGAATCAATGCATGTGGGCTCCGGAGCCACACTGTTTAGATTCTATTCTGCCTCCACCACTTATCAGCTGTGTGATCTGGGTAAGATAATTCACCTCTTTATGTCTGCACTTCCCTCTCCATAAACTATATATAATGAGAATCCTTAGCTCATTCGGTTGTGGTGAGGGGTGAATGATTTGGCACACAGGAGGGGCTTGTTAAACATTAGCTGTGATGATCTCCTTCCAAATCTTCATTTTCAGAGCCACAGATGAGGCCATAGTGCAACCAGGTGACCTTAGAGTGTAAGTACACATGATCGCCAGCTATGCTCTATCTCCACCATAGGTCCAAGACTGGGTAGTTCTGGCCTGGAGGTTTCTGCTGCATCTGCCTTCTCAGTGTTCACCTAAGGACTTTTGTATTTTCCTCCTCGCATCCCCACAGATGGGGTTCAGGCTGCCGGACACAGCTGGGTGATGCCAGGGCAGTGGTCACCTGTGCCAGCCCCGTGAGGTAGCTGGAGGATCATTGTTCCTTCCTTCTCGGGCTCTGGGCAGATGCCAGGGCTGGGGTGACCCATGCCCTCAAGTTTCTTGCTTTGGTGGGCCACATTTTCCCTTGGCAAAGAGGGTAAAGGTCACAGGATGCCGGAGAGCTGTGACTTCTCTGTGCCCTGGGCCCAAACTATGAAGACCTGACACACTATGCTAAAAGTCCAACGCTGGGTGCTCCCCAGAGCTTCTTGCCTCACCGCTTCTGCTGAGGGAGGAATGAATACTATGTCCTCCCAGAGCTTTGGGAGCTTGTAGCAAGCAGCCTCCCCAGCGCAAAATCTCTTGGAAACCTCTAACTGTGTCTGAAACATTAGTGCAAATGTTGCATCCTATTTCCCATATGTCCGCATGTTTTAGAAAAAAACCCTCAATTTCCTAAATATGCAAGAAAAATCGGTATTGTAGGACAATGTGACTTTTTAAAGAATGTTATTTAAAAATCTTCCCCACCTCCTTTTCTGCCCTCCAAGACTGCCAAATACTTGTTGAACATATATTATTAAATGCCTACTACATGCCAGCCATGATTCATGGTCTTGGGGACACAGCAGAGAACGAACTGACAGGACTCCTCTCTTATGTAACTCACATTCTTATATGATAATGATAAGGGTTAACATTAATTAAGCTGTCACTGCATGTTAGTCACGGTGCAGTCATTCCCACACATTATTACACTTAAACCTGCTAGCAAGCTTGCAAGGTAGTTAGTTGTTTTTCCTTTAAAAACTGAGTCTCGGAATGATGAAGCACTCTGTCCAATGTCACACAGCTAGTAAGTGTGGAGACCTTGCATCCAATCAATGCCCGTCTCATTCTAAAGGCCATGTTATGTGTTCTCCAGCCCATGGAGAATAATTTTAACACAGTCAATGAAATTTCTACACAACAATGTTCTTGTCTCAAGTCCAAGAATGCCTCCTACACCTCCTATAATACTGGCTTTCTGGTGAGTAAAGATGCCATTCTCATGTGTAATCAGGTGGCAAATGGAGATATGACCAAAGTAACCACCTGCCTACACTCATAACCCTGTACACACTCTTCCTGTGTCGATTCAATTCAAGTACCCCTTTTGATCACTTAGCAAATCTGACCTTTAAAAGGGTTAGGGTTTTTATATCCATGTAAGTTTCTGTATTGCTTTGGAAGTCTCTGGTTAAATTAATACTCTTTTAATAGTGACCTGTGATTCTGTTTTGATCAAGTGTTTTCAAACTTGACATCTTTGATGGGTTTCTCCAGTGTCAAAATCCTAAATCAAGTCTTTTTGGCTTAAAACTAACTTTGGGATTTTTTTCAGCTGCATCCCTTGGGGAGTCTAAAGAATGTATCTCTCATCTTGTAGAGGTATTAAGTGATTCGATTTATTTGGTAGATTAAATGGGCAGGCATTGTCAAATGTGGCGATACTGCATGGGAGGGCACTGTCAAGTGAGGTGACATTAGATCTCATCTCAGTTATATTTATGGGTATGTTGTTGATATGCGTGTTCCAAAAATTGCATACATTTATACAAATTTAATATGATTTGTAATTTTGATAGTTATGCTAAATATTTGCTAAAGTTATATTTGTATAAACATGTCACGAATGGCTGGGCACTGTCACTCATGCCTGTAATCCCAGCACTTTGGGAGACAAAGGCACGTGGATCACCTGAGGTCGGGAGTTCCAGACCAGCCTAATAGAGTGAAACCCTGTCTCCACTAAAAATACAAAAATTAGCCATGCCTGGTGGCACATGCCTGTAATCTCAGCTACTCGGGAGGCTGAGACAGGAGAACTGCTTGAACCCAGGATGCGGAGGTTGTAGTGAGCCGAGATCATGCCACTGCACTCCCGCCTGGGTGACAAAGGTAGAATCTATCCAAAAAAAAAAAAAAAAGTTATTATTTCTGAAGATTGTATGAAATTTATAAAAGTCTGCTGGCCCTGATATGATGCTGTCAGTCATGATTCTGATTACTGTCTTAAAATGCTGCACATAAGTAATTAAATTTCCTTGTGAACTGGGAAGTTTCATCAGACTTTTATCATAACTATTGTTTCCATCATCCACAGTTACTGTTTTGAATTCTTCTCTAAAAATATTTGTAATTGGCAATAGTCCAAATTTTCTTTTGTTTTCTTTCCTGTTTTTGAGACACAGTCTGGCTCTGTCGCCTAAGCTGGAGTGCAGTGGTGGGATCTCGGCTCACTGCAAACTCTGCCTCCCGGGTTCACGCCATTCTCCTGCCTCAGCCACCCAAGTAGCTGGGACTACAAGTGCTGCCACCACATCCAGCTAATTTTTTGTATTTTTAGTAGAGACAGGGTTTCACTGTGTTAGCCAGGATGGTCTCAATCTCCTGACCTCGTGATCTCCGCGCCTCGGCCTCCCAAAGTGCTGGGATTACAGGTGTGAGCCACCGTGCCCAGCCTAATTTTTGCATTTTTAGTAGAGAGGAGGTTTCACCATGTTGGCCAGGGTGGTCTCGATCTCCTGACCTTGTAATCCGCCTGCCTCAGCCTCCCAAAGTGCTGGGATTACAGGCGTGAGCCACTGCAACTGACTTTTTTTCTTTTTTTTTTTTTTTTTTTTTGAGACAGAGACTCACTCTGTCACCCAGGCTGGAGTGCAGTGGCATGATTTTGGCTCACTGCAACCTCCACCTCCTGAGTTCAAACAATTATCCTGCCTCATCCTTCGGAGTACCTGGGATTACAGGTGCGTGCCACCGTGCCCGGCTCATTTTTGTATTCTTAGTAGAGACGGCATTTCACCATGTTGGCCAGGCTGGTCTCAAACTCCTGGCCTCAACTGATCCACTCTCATTGGCCTTCCAAGGTGCTGGGATTATAGGCGTGAGCCACCACAACTGGCTCAGTAAATACATTTTTTATTATCAAAAAAGAGTAGTGTATGGTTGGCGTATTCTGTGTAGAATGTATTTTATTGATGTCTCCTATTTTTATAATTTCTGAGTTAAGTACTTTTTAATTAATGCTTTTTAGTTTTGGGCAGATTCAGTTGACTAAAGCACCTCATTTCCCAGATACATGAAATAAAATATTTGGCTTCTTTTCCAATTTCACACTGATGTTATTTTGTGAAAATCAGTGCTTTAAGATAAATCGTTATACGTTAAGATAAACATGAGAAACTTGATCTAATATTTAATAGTTATTCAGTTCTACACTTTATTAACTTCTACACCAGCAGATTTAGACATTATGTAACCATCTCAAGAAGTTTCACTTGGATGTAATGCTTCACGCTTGTAATCCCAGCACTTTAGGAGGCTGAGGTGGGAGGACTGCTTAAGGCAAGGAGTCTGAGACCAGCCTGGGCAATACAGCAAGATCCCATCTCTATTTTAAAGAAAAGTTTCACTTTGGGAGGCCAAGGCGGGTAGATCACAAGGTCAAGAGATCGAGACCATCCTGGCTAACATAGTAAAACCCCATCTCTACTAAAAATATAAAAAATTAGCCGGGCGTGGCGGTGGGCGCCTGTAGTCCCAGCTACTCGGGAGGCTGAGGCAGAAGAATGGCGTGAACCCGGGAGGCAGAGCTTGCAGTGAGCTGAGATTGCGCCACTGCACTCCAGCCTGGGCGACAGAGCGACACTCCATCTCAAAAAAAAAAAAAAAAAAAGTTTCGGCAAATTCCATCTAAGAATTCCACCAGAGTTCTGTTGTCTCCAATGTCATCTTCCACAGATTTCAAGTTGTGAAGCCCTGAACTGTTAATTTATCTTGAGAATGTATATTTAAGCTTAATTTAAGACTATATACCTAAAAATTGAGCATGTAATTTCTATAATTTGTTTATGTAAGTTTCTGTAAGTCATAAGTATGTGGTTTCCAAGTGTATAATTTATCTGAATGTAATAGGCATTAATATATTTTACATTACTGGGACCATAGTACAGAAATTTCTAAATGGTTTGTAAAATAACTTGTTATTTGTGTTGTTGTAAAAGCAGTTAATACAATGGAAAAACTCGTAATAAGAAGATACAGTTTAACATCAAAAAGTTTACCCAAGGTAATTATGAGTACTACCTGGCAAAACTTCACGGAAGCTGTGGTATCACTTTTATGATGGAAGAATGGTGTTTGCATTTTGTGTAAAAGTACTTGCGGCTGGGCGTGGTGGCTCATGTCCCAGTGCTTTGGGAGGCGAAGGCAGGTGGATCATCTGAGCCCAGGAGTTTGAGACCAGCCTAGGCAACGTGGCAAGAGCCTGTCTCTCCAAAACCTACAAAATTTAGCCAAGCTTGGTGGTGTGAGCCTGTAGTCCCAGCTACTTGGGAGACTCACGCTGGAGGATCTCTCGAGCCCAGGAGGCAGAAGATGAATAAATAAATGGAAGCAACTGAATGGGATGAGGTCTCTCTTGAAGGAGAGAGCAAAAGAGATTTAAATAGTAACAATTATAATAAGGCTGGGCGCTGTGGCTCACGCTTGTAATCCCAGAACTTTGGGAGGCCAAGGCAGGCGGATCGGTTGAGGTCAGGAGTTCAAGACCAGCATGGCCAACACGGTGAAACCCTGTCTCTATTAAAAATACAAAATTAGCCGGACATGGTAGTGCGTGCCTGTGGTCTCGGCTACTCAGGTGGCTGAGACAGGAGAATCGCTTGAACCTGGTAGGCACAGGTTGTAGTGAGCCGATAAATATAAAAAGTATTAGAGTACTAACAGAGGAAAGTTTCCACTGATCACCTTTTAGCTTTAAATAATGCAGAAGCATTTGCCCAGTTTACTTGTAATTAAAAATCATGCATCATTCACAATTTATATCTTTTTTGTTTGTACAAAAATGAACACAAGTTATTCTCTTTTATCTGTATTGTGATTGGTTTGGTGAGAGGGAATTAGGCCACTTGAGAGTTTGTGTGTGTTTACAATTTTCTGGCCAGGCACGGTGGCTCATGCCTGTAATCCCAGCACTTTGGGAGGCCAAGGCGGGCGGATCACTTGAGCTCAGGAGTTCGAGACCAAATTGGGCAACATGGTGAAACCCTATCTCTACGAAAAATACAAAAATTAGCTGAGTGCCGTGGCTTGCGCCTGTCCTCCCAGCTACTTGGGGGGCTGAGGCAGTAGGATCGCTCAAGCCCAGGAGGTGGAGGTTGCAGTGAGCCAAGATCACGTCACTGCACTCCAGGAAGGGCAACAGAGCAAGACTCCTTCTAAAAAAAAAAAAAAAGAAAGAAAGAAAAGAAAATTAACTTTGGTATTTCAGGTTGTATTTAAATGGAGACTTAACATGAACTATGTTCATAACACTTGATCAAATTAAGTGTAGATCGTCTCTTTAATAAAGAGATCATCTGGAACTGCAATTTCTAACTCATACATCATTGCTACAAACCTTATTTGTTTACTGTTTCTCTTCCAGGGACCATCAGTCATCCTTTAAAATTCATTTCAAGCTCTGAAAAGATATTTTTTGTTACATGGGCAATTTACTTTTAGTACAGTAAAATGTTATGTGAATTTCTACAGTATGTTTGCCAAAATGAATTATATCTAGAATACGCTTAACAATATATTCTGGAGGCAGCTTTCATTTGAAATTAGGTTCACCTTCTGAGAGTATGAAAAAGTTAATGGGTTTTTGTGCCTGAAGATTTTGATGTTGCATTTGGCTACATTTAATCCACTTTCACCCATAAGTTTTAGCATCTAAAAAAATTAAATCACTGCTAATGCAATTAAAATGCATTATGAAATGCACTTCTGTCCAGGCTGGAGTGCAGTGGCACAATCTCGGCTCACTGCAAGCTCCGCCTCCCTGGTTCACACCATTCTCCTGCCTCAGCCTCCCTAGTAGCTGGGACTACATGTGCCCGCCACCACGCCCGGCTAATTTTTTTTTTTTTTTTTTTTTAATGAGGCGGAGTCTCGCTCTGTTGACCAGGCTGGAGTGCAATGGCATGATCCTGGCTCACTGCAACCTCTGCTTCCTGGGTTCAAGTGATTCGCCTGCCTTGCTGGGATGACAGACGTGCACCACAATGTCCGGCTAATTTTGTATTTTTAGTAGAGACATGGCTTCACCATACTGGCCAGGCTGGTCTTGAACTTCTGACCTCAGGTGATCCCACCTTGGCCTCCCAAAGTGCTGGGATTACAGGCATGAGCCACTGTGCCCAGCTTAAGATCTCTGTTTTAATGTTAATGCTGGTCAGTTGTGTCTGGATTCCAGAGGGAGGAAGGTAGAATGAGGCATGTTGACACCTCCCCTTCCCATCATGGCCTAAGCTGGTCTTTTCAGTTTACTTTGGAATGTCCTTGCTCAACAGGAAGGGTCCATTCAGTCGGATTGGGTGGCTTAGAATTTTATTTTTGGTTTACATCTCAACTATCACAGCAGCCGGGCGCGGTGGCTTCACAGCTGTAATCCCAGCACATTGGGAGGCTGAGGCAGGGGTATCACCTGAGGTCTGGAGTTCTAGACCAGCCTGACCAACATGGAGAAACCCCCCGTCTCTACTAAAAATACAAAATTACCCGGGCGTGGTGGTACATGCCTGTAATCCCAGCTACTCGGGAGGCTGAGGCAGGAGAATCGCTTGAACCTGGGAGGCGGAGGTTGTGGTGAGCTGAGATCGTGCCACTGCACTCCAGCCTGGGCAACAAGAGCGAAACTCTGTCTTAAATAAATAAATAAATAAATAAACAAACAAACAAACAAACAAACTATCACAGCATAAAGTAGGAATATTTCGTTACTGTCTAGTTAAACTGGTTAATGCAGAAAGGAAGTCTGGTAATTCCAGTTTTAAAGTAAAATTTTGGACATTGTAGGATTGATTATTTGGCATAGTTGTGATGTTTGTTCCTGCGTTATGGTTTTGTTGGCAGGGCAGCCTTTAAGGACCTGTATATTTTCTTCTAGACTCTATATATTCCCTGTGAGTATTAGTTGTATGGTCAAACTGGCAAATTTTACCATAGGTATAAATAATAGAGAATGTGGAAGAATAGTGAATAGTGTCAGAGATAGTTAAAAGTCCATACAATAGTAGAGAAGGTAGTAAGTAATAGTGGCTTGGACTAAATATTTGTTGAATAAATGTTTTAAAAAACAGGCTACCTACAATTTGTGTTGAAGATATGAATGAATGAAGTTTCCACACCTTTATGTGGAGACCTGATAAGTAAGCAACAATAAGGAAGGGTCCCCAGGTTGGGGAGAGCCCCAAGTTGAGAACAATAATGAACAATTATTGTATGAACAATTGTTAGAGACAGCTAATCACAAACAACCTGCGGGCACAATGACCTCATTCCACACGTAGCACCCTTCAGCAGGACCCTATAAAACTTTCCTCCAGCCCTTGCCTCTTTGCAGGTAGCCCCTTCTCTGCTGAGCTGCCCACTGCAACATATTTTCACAATTTCTCTAATAAATCTGCCCTTCTTTACCCACAACTATCTTGGTAAATGGCTTTACCACCTGCAAAACTGACCCTAGGTTGTTGCTACCCGATATGGTTTGGCTGCGTCCCCACCCAAATTTCATCTTGAATTGTAGTTCCCATAATCCCCATGTGTCGTGGGAGGGACCCGGTAGGAGGTAATCGAATCATGGGGGCAGGTTTTTCCCATACTGTTCTCGTGATAGTGAATACATCTCACTAAATCTGATGGTTTTATAAAGGGCAGTTTCCCTGCACGTGCTCTCTTGCCTGCTGCCATGGAAGACATACCTTTTTGCTCCTTCTTTGCCTTCCACCATGATTCTGAGGCCTCTCCAGCCTTGTGGAACTGTGAGTACATTAAACCTCTTTTTCTTTATAAATTACCCAGTTTCCAGTATTTCTTCATAGCAGTATGAAAAGTAACTAATACACTACCCGAGACATCTTAGGAGATTTGTAATAGCTGTAATGCCAGGTCCACCATATTTTTAGCATAAAGCAAATGTTTACGCGTGATATGACTGCACGGGCTTTCTTTCAGCTGGAGCCATAGCAACTCAAGTAGTAACCCTATCTTAGTCTGATTAAAAGTAAATATTAGTCTGGGCATGGTGGGACATGCCTGTAATCCCAGTACTTTGGGAGGCTGAGACAGAAGGATTGCTTGAGCCCAGGAGTTTGAGACCAGCCTGGGCAACATGGAAAAACACCATCTCTACAAAAAATACAAAAATTAGCTGAGCTGGTGGCACACACCTGTAGTCCCAGCACCTTGGGAGGGTGAGGCAGGAGGATCTCTTGAACCCGGGAGGTGGAAGCCGCAGTGGGCAATGATCATGTCAGAGGTGTGTGAACCAGAGCAACTCCATCTTAAATAGGAGCCGGGAAAAATGAGGCTGAAACTACTGGGCTGCATTCCCTGATGGTTAAGGCATTCTAAGTCACAGGATGACATAGAAGGTCAGCACAAAATACCAGTCATAAAGACCTTGCTGATAAAACAGGTTGCAGTGAAGGAGCTGGCCAAAACCCACCAAAACCAAAATAGAGACAAGACTGACCTCCCATCATCCTCCCTGCTACACTCCTACCAGCACCATGACAGTTTACAAATGCCACGGCAACATCAAGAAGTTACCCTATATGGTCTAAAAAGAGGAGGCATGAAAAATCCACTCCTTGTTTAGCATATCATCAACAAATAACCATAAAAATGGGCAACCAGCAGCCCTCACGGCTGCTCCGTCTATGGGGTAGCCATTCTTTTATTCCTTTACTTTCTCTCTTTTTTTTTTGAGATGGAGTCTCCCTCTGTCACCCAGGCTGGAGTGCAGTGGCGCGATCTCGGCTTACTGCAAGCTTCGCCTCCCGGGTTCATCCCATTCTCCTGCCTCAGCCTCCAGAGTAGGTGGGACTACAGGCACCCGCCACCACACTTGGCTAATTTTTTTGTATTTTTAGTAGAGATGAGGTTTCACCGTGTTAACCAGGATGGTCTTGATCTCCTGACCTCGTGATCCACCTGTCTCGGCCTCCCAAAGTGCTGCGATTACAGGAGTGAGCCACCGTGCCCCTCCTCCTTTACTTTCTTAATAAACTTGCTTTCACTTCACACTGTGGCATCACCCTGAATTCTTTCTTGCACAAGATCCAAGAACCCTCTCTTGGGGTCTAGATTGGGACCCCTTTCCTGTAACTATCATGCTACTGCACTCCAGCCTGGGCAACAGAGCAAGGCCCTGTCTCAAAAAAAAAAAAAAAAAAGGAACATGACTTAATACATTCATTTTGGAGGGTAAGTCTCTCAAAATAGGCCTTTCACTGGGGGAAAATGGTAAAAATACTCCCTGGTAATTCAAGAATTGGAGACTCCTGAGATGCTGCTCATATTAGCTGAGCACTTATCAATACTTCACTTTTTTCCATATATACTCAAGGAACAAGTGCTATTTAAAGTGTTTCACTCCACTGTGCTAGGTGCAAGACTATAAAGAGGTGTGAGGATCAACACTTTTATGAAAACCAGTGTCATTCTGGATATAGTTTCAGATGCTAGTGCAAAGGAAGCTCTTGGTATACGGAAAAAGTATTCAACAATAAATTAGGCATGGTTGCTTCCATTTTCTGCCTCACATACTTTTTTTTTCGTGGTTGAAGTGATATAATGTCTATGATATTTTAGATTGGCAGTTGCAAACTAGTGGTCCTCAGCGTGCTTTTTATGACACCTACAAGGTCTGAAGACTTTGATTTCATATTAAAAATCTGGGTTTCAGGCTGGGTGTGGTGTTGCATGCCTGTAATCCCAGCACTTTGGGAGGCTGAGGCAGGAGAATCGCTTGAACCAGGGAGGTGGAGGTTGCAGTGAGCCAAGATCGCGCCACTGCACTCAAGCTTAGGCAATAGAGCAAGACTCCATCTCAAAAAATGAATAAATAAATAAATAAAATCTGGGTTTCAGGCCAGGTGTGGTGGTGCACTCCTGCAATCCCAGCACTTTGGGAGGCTGAGATGGGCAGACAGCTTGACCTCAGGAATTCCAGACTAGCCTGGGCAACGTGGCGAAACCCCATGTCTACAAATAATACAAAAAAATTAGCTGGGTGTAGTGGAGTGTGCCTGTAATCCCAGCAACGTGGGAGGCTGAAGTGAGAGGATTGCTTGAGCCTGGGAGGTTGATGTTACAGTGAGCTGAGATCGCCCTCCTACACTCCAACCTGGGCAACAGAGCCAGACCTTGTCTTAAAAAAAAAAAAAAAAAAAAAAAAAAATTCTGGGTTTCTGGCATCTCAAAAAAAAAAAAAAAAAAAAAAAAAAGGAAAGGTCAGGGCACATGGCTGCTACAGTCCTCTATTAAGCAATGTGCCACAGCAGGGGTCCCTGACCCCTGGGCCATGGACATGTACTGGTCTGTGGCCTGTTAGGAACTGGGCCACAGAGCAGGAGGTGAATGGTGGGTAACAACTGAAGCTTCGTCTGTATTTCTGGCTGCTCCCCATTGCTTGCATTGCTGCCTGAGCTCTGCCTCCTGTCAGATCAGCAGCATCATTAGATTCTTACAGGAGCATGAACCCTGTTGTGAATTGCACACACGAGGGATCCAGGTTGCATATTCCTTATGAGAATCTAATTCCTGATGATTTGTGGTGGAACAGTTTCATCCCAAGACCATTACCATCCTGCGCCCCATCCCTTGCCGCCTGTGGAAAAATTGTCTTCCACAAAGCCGGTCCCTGGTGCCAAAAATGTTGGGGACTGCTGTGCTTTAGAATCTGCCATGAATCTGCAGCCTCTATTATATAGCTCCCTATAGACTTTGCTTCCTACCGTCTTACGTTCTGCCTTATAGGCATTTGACTTTGCAACCCTTGTTTTTGTTAGTATGCTACGCTGGTGACATTGACCAAATTGACCACACATTAATTATAAGCTTAGTTGGTGATGACCTCAACGGAATAACGTGACATAAGTATTGTGACAATACTTCTTGCATGTATCTGCAGGTGGAATTGTAAACCTGGTGGTCCGAGATGGTCTAATTCCATCTTCCTATGTATCTCCTTATATTAATAGTGGTAACATTTGTGGTGGTGATTCAGCATTTCAATGCCTCTTCTCATGGCAACAACAAACGTTTTCCTTCTGAATCAACATTAACCTAGATGTTACTGCGGATCAAAATTAGACTCTACATTTTCAACCACAGAAATACCGGGCAGTAAAAATTTTTCTTAATATTGATTGCCTACATAGGTTGTGTAATTAGCATATGTTTACAGTTCTATGATTTCTGCGTGGCTGCTACAGAGCTGGAGGGGGTAAAGCAACAGTATTTTCTCAGTTGTGCGAGCAGCATTACATTATAATAAATAGGTAATATTAAACTGGGCTGATGAGAGTTGCAAAAGACTACTTTAATGTTCATATGGAACCAAAAAAGAGCCCGCATTGCCAAGACAATCCTAAGCCCAATGAACAAAGCTGGAGGCATCATGCTACCTGACTTCAAACTATACTACAAGGCTACAGTAACCAAAACAGCCTGGTACTGGTACCAAAACAGACATATAGACCAATGGAACAGAACAGAGCCCTCAGAAATAATACCACACATCTACAACCATCTGATCTTTGACAAACCTGACAAAAACAAGAAATGCGGAAAGGATTCCCTACTTAATAAATAGTGCTGGGAAAACTGGCTAGCCCTATGTAGAAAGCTGAAACTGGATCCCTTCCTTACACCTTATACAAAAATTAATTCAAGATGGATTAAAGACTTAAATGTTAGACCTAAAGCCGTAAAAACCCTAGAAGAAAACCTAGGCAATACCATTCAGGACATAGGGATGGGCAAGGACTTCATGTCTAAAACACCAAAAGCAATGGCAACAGAAGCCAAAACTGACAAATGGGATCTAATTAAACTAAAGAGCTTCTGCACAGCAAAAGAAACTAGGATCAGTGTGAACAGGCAACCTAGAGAATGGGAGAAAATTTTTGCCATCTACTTATCTGACAAAAGGCTAATATCCAGAATCTACAAAGAACACCAACAAATTTACAAGAAAAAAAACAAACCCCATCAAAAAGTGGGCAAAGCATATGAACAGACACTTCTCAAAAGAAGACATTTATGCAGCCAACAGACACATGAAAAAATGCTCATCATCACTGGCCATCAGAGAAATGCAAATCAAAACCGCAATGAGATATCATCTCACACCAGTTAGAATGGCGATCATTAAAAAGTCAGGAAACAACAGGTGCTGGAGAGGATGTGGAGAAATAGGAACACTTTTACACTGTTGGTGGGACTGTAAACTGGTTCAACCATTGTGGAAGACAGTGTGGCGATTCCTCAGGGATCTAGAACTAGAAATACCATTTGACCCAGCCATCCCATTACTGGATACATACCCAAAGGATTATAAATCATGCTGCTATAAAGACACATGCACACGTATGTTTATCGCGGCAATATTCACGATAGTGAAGACTTGGAACCAACACAAATGTCCATCAATGATAGACTGGATTAAGAAAATGTGGCACAGATACACCATGGAGTACTATGCAGCCATAAAAAAGGATGAGTTCATGTCCTTTGTAGAGACATGGATGAAGCTGGAAACGATCACTCTCAGCAAACTATCACAAGGACAAAAAACCAAACACCGCATGTTCTCACTCACAGATGGGAATTGAACAATGAGAACACTTGGACACAGGAAGGGGAACATCACACACTGGGGCCTCTTGTGTGGTGGGGGAGGGGGAAGGGATAGCAGTAGGAGATACACCTAATGTAAATGACGAGTTAATGGGTGCAGTACACCAACATGGCACATGTATACATATGTAACAAACCTGCACATTGTGTACATGTACCCTATAACTTAAAGTATAATTTAAAAAAATAAGTAAATAAATAAATAAAAAAAGAAACAATTGCTGGCTTTGCAATTCTCTTTCCTCCAAAATCGCCAAGGCCTCAATTTACTCATTGCTGAAAAAGGACGACTCTGTATATTTTTAAATGAAGAGTGTTGTTTTTACCTAAATCAATCTGGCCTGGTATATGACAACATAAAAAAACTCAAGGATAGAGTCCAAAAACTTGCCAACCAAGCAAATAATTATGCTGAACCCCCTTGGGCACTCTCTTAATTGGATGTCCTGGGTCCTCCCAATTCTTAGTCCTTTAATACCTGTTTTTCTCCTTCTCTTATTCGGACCGTGTGTCTTCTGTTTAGTTTCTCAATTCATACAAAACCATATTCAGGCCATCACCAATAATTCTATATGACAAATGCTCCTTCTAACAACCCCACAGTATCAGCCCTTACCCCAAAATCTTTCTTCAGTTGAATCTCTCCCACTGTAGGTTCCCATGCCGCCCCTAATCCCACTCGAAGCAGCCCTGAGAAACATCGCCCATTATCTCTCCATATCACCCCCAAAAATTTTCGCCACCCCAACACTTTACCACTATTTTGTTTTATTTTTCTTATTAACATAAGAAGACAGGAATGTCAGGCCTCTGAGTCCAAGCTAAGCCATCATATCCCAGTGACCTGCACGTATACATCCAGATGGCCTGAAGCAACTGAAGATCCACAGAAGTGAAAACAGCCTTAACTGAAGACATTCCACCATTGTCATTTGTTTCTGCCCCACCCTAACTGATCAATGTACTTTGTAATCTGCCCCACTCTTAAGAAGGTTCTTTATCATCTCCCCCACCCTTAAGAAGTTTCTTTGTAATTCTCCTCACCTTTGACAATGTACTTTATGAGATCCACCTCCTGCCCCCAAAACACTGCTCTTAACTCCACCGCCTATCCCCAAATCTATAAGAACCAGTGATAATCACACCACCCTTTGTTGACTCCTTTTTCGGACTCAGCCCGCCTGCACCCAGGTGAAATAAACAGCCATGTTGCTCACACAAAGCATGTTTGGTGGTCTCTTCACACAGACACGTGAGACAGGAGTTCGAGACCAGCCTGGCCAATCTGGTGAAACTCTATGTCTCTACTAAAAATACAAAAATTAGCTGGGCATGGTGGCGGGCACCTGTAATCCCAGCTACTCGGGAAGCTGAGGCACAAAAATTGCTTGAACCCAGGAGGCAGAGTTTGCAGTGAGCCAAGATCACACTGTCAGGCCTCTGAGCCCAAGCCAAGCCATTGCATCCCCTGTGACTTGCACGTATACATCCAGATGGCCTGAAGTAACTGAAGATCCACACAAGAAGTAAAAATAGCCTTAACTGATGACATTCCACCATTGTGATTTGTTTCTGCCCCACCCTAACTCTTCAATGTACTTTGTAATCTCCCCCACCCTTAAGAAGGTACTTTGTAATCTCCCCAACCCTTAAGAAGGTTCTTTGTAATTCTCCCCACCCTTGAGAATGTACTTTGTGAGATCCACCCCTGCCTGCAAAACATGGCTCTTCACCCCCTATCCCAAAACCTGTAAGAACTAATGATAATCCACCACCCTTTGCTGACTCTCTTTTCGGACTCAGCCCGCCTGCACCCAGGTGAAATAAACAGCCATGTTGCTCACACAAAGCCTGTTTGGTGGTCTCTTCACACGGACGCGCATGAAACACACGACTGCACTTCAGGCTGGGCGACAGAGCTAGATTCCATCTCAAAAAAAATAAAATAAAAAGGAGTCACCTCCCCCGAGAGGCCTCTGGACCACCCCATCTGAGCAGGCCACTCTTCCTTCTCTATCTTACCATCTTGTTTCTGTCCCAGTAGTTAGGGCTACCTCCAGTAATCCTATTTGTCCCTTTACTGTTTAGTGCGTCTCGCTTGACTAGAAGCTCCATGAAAGCAAGAGACCCTACCTGCCTCCTTCGCCACTAGACCCCCAGGGCCTGGTATGTGGTGATCGCTCAGGGCCCATTTTCTTCCTTTCCTCCTCCTCCAAGGGTGGGGAAAGAGCATCAGAAGGTCTAGGTGGCCCCAGGCCCAAACAATGCTCCTTTAAAAGGAAACTAGATTGTTACAAAGGTCAGAGGCTGAAAAGTTATTTCCGCCTTTTATCCCTCTAAATTCTTCACTTCCTGAAAAAACAAACAAACAAGCCACTGAGGGCCCTTGGACTAAATCCAGGCCTGAGTTGCTGGGCAGAGGTCAGTCTTGTCCAGACATGGGAAAAAAATAACTCGAGTCAGACAGGTGGGTCACCACAGAACTAATCCAGCCTGCAAATGGCCTGTGCAATCTTCAGCTCTGTCCAGACCTGCCTCCCTCTGGGGATGCCTTTAAAGGTGATGAATGATCTGGATGAATGGGCTTAGAAGATAAGAGGGAAAAACAAATATCACAGGTCAAATCGTTATTTGTCTTCAAGTTTAACACCGTCTACTGGACTAAAAGATGTCCAAAGAATAGTTGTTCAACTATGTAAATTCCTTTTTTTTTTTTTTTGAGACAGAGTCTCGCTCTGTTGCCCAGGCTGCAGTGCAATGGTATGATCTTGGCTCACTGCAAGCAACCTCTGATTTTAGTATTATTAGTAGAGACAGGGTTTCACCATGTTGACCAGGCTGGTCTCGAACTCCTGACCTCAGGTGATCCACCTGCCTCGGCATCCCAGAGTGCTGGGATTACAGGCGTGAGCCACCGTGCCCGGCCAACTACATAAATTCCTAACAACGTATCTCCAGAAAGTATAGGCACAACAGCACATGCAGTCATTCCTGTAATTAAGTGCTCCGGGAGGCCAAGGCAAGAAGATCCCTTGAGCCCAGGAGTTTGAGACCAGCCTGGACAACATAGCAAGACTGTGTCTCTACAAAATATACAAAAATTGGGCTGGGGATGGTGGCTCATGCCTGTAGGCCCAGCACTTTGGGAGACCAAGGCAGGAAGATCGATTGAACTCAGGAGCTCGGGACCAGCCTGGACAACATAACGAGACCCAGTCTCTACTAAAACTCAAGAAAATTAGCCAGACGTGGTTGCATGTGCCTGTAGTCCCAGCACTTTGGGAGGCCAAGGTGGGTGGATCACCTGAGGTCAGGAGGTCGAGACCAGCCTGGCCAACATGGTGAAGTCTCATCCCTACTAAAAATACAAAAATTAGCCAGGCACGGTGGCACACACCTGTAGTCCCAGCTACTTGGGAGGCTGAGGCAGGAGAATGGATTGAACCCGGGAGGCAGAGGTTGCAGTGAGCCGAGATGGCACCATTGCACTCCAGCCTGGGCAACAGAACAAGACTCCATCAAAAAAAAAAAAAAAAAGAAAGAAGAGAAGAAAATTAGCCAGGTGTGGTTGCATGCACCTGTAGTCCCAGCACTTTGGGAGGCCAAGGCAGGAGGATCAATCAAGGCTAGGAGATTGAGACTGCAGAAGGAAACCCTGTCTCTAAAAACAAGGTCCAGCTAAAATCAGGGTCCAGCTCCACCACAAGCGCAGCTCCAGGGGCTGTTGAGTTTTGCCTCTACCATTCCAAGTAGTCTCTGCTCCAGACCAAGTCCCACCATCTGGCAGTCATGTCAGTCCAACCACAGTCATATCAGGGCGCTTCCAGTCATTGAGTGCCCCTTGAGGAGGCTGGAGGAGAGGCCAATGACATTTGCACTTGAGACTCCAGAGTCTAGATTTATAACCACTATGTTACGGCTGCCAGTGTGGCTGCAAGGACACTTCTTTCATTCATTCATTTACAATAGATGTAGCATCTGCTGTGTGCCAGATGCCATTCTAGGTTCTAGGGAAACAAGGCAGAGCCCCTGTTTTCCAAGGCATCCACATTCTAGGAAAGACTGCTACCAGCCTGGCGTGGTGGCTCATGCCTGTAATCCCAGTACTTTGGGAGGCCGAGGTGGGCGGATCACTTGATGTCAGGAGTTCAAGACCAGCCAACATAGTGAAACCCCGTTTCTACTAAAAGTACAAAAATCAGCTGGGCATGGTGGCACGTGCCTGTAGTCCCAGCTACTCAGGAAGCTAAGGCAGGAGAATCGCTTGAACCTGGGAGGCAGAGGTTCTGGTGAGCCGAGATCATGCTACTGCACTCCAGCCTGGGCAACAGAGTGAGACTCCATCAAAAAATAATAATAATAATAAAATAAAGACTGCTACTAAACAATAAAATAACCAAACCAGATAGATGACTTCAGGTGGTGGTAAGAGCTTTGAAAGAATAAGCAAGGTAACTAACTGGTCAGAGGAAGGGAGATGGGTGCATTCCCTCAGATAGACCGCCCCAGAGGTCTGCCTCTCTGACATGACATCTGAGCAGAGACCCAACAGGAAAAGGAAGAGGCTGCTCTATGGCCGGGTACGGTGGCTCACACCTGTAATCCCAGCACTTTGGGAGGCCCAGGCGGGCGGATCACGAGGTCAGGAGATCGAGACCATCCTGGCTAAGACGGTGAAACCGTCTCTACTAAAAATACAAAAAAATTAGCCGGGCGTGGTGGCGGATGCCTGTAGTCCCAGCTACTCGGAAGGCTGAGGCAGGAGAATGGCATGAACCTGGGAGACGGAGCTTGCAGTGAGCCGAGATCGCGCCACTGCACTTCAGCCTGGGCGACAGAGTGAGACTCCATCTCAAAGAAAAAAAAAAAAAAGAACCAAGAGGTGTCCAGGCGAAGAGAACAGCAGATGCAAAGGCCCTGTGGCAGAAACAATCTTGGTATGCTGGAGGAATAGGAAGGCAGCCAGTGCAGCTGGAGCAGGATAGGTTAAGGGAGGATCAAGGTGATGAGGGCCTGGAAAGAGGGGCTGGGGTCGAATCACCAGATCCTGTTGGTTGCAATGGAAGAGCCTGGAGTTTATTCTCAGAGCAGTGAGAAGCCACTGGAAAGTTGTTTTTTTGTTTTTCTGTTTTTGAGACAGAGTCTAGCTCTGTGACCCAGGCAGACTGCAGTGGTGCAATCTTGGCTCACTGTAACCTCTGCCTCCCAGGTTCAAGCGATTCTCCTGCCTCAGGCTCCCCAGTAGCTGGGATTACAGGCACATGCCACCACACCCATCTAATTTTTCTTTTTCTTTTTTTTTTTTTTTTTTGAGACAGAGTCTCTGTCACCCAGGCTGGAGTGCAGTGGCGCAATCTCAGCTCACTGCAACCTCCACCTCCCTGGTTCAAGCGATTCTCCTGCCTCAGCCTCCCGAGTAGCTGGGACTACAGGTGCATGCCACCATACCTGGGTTAATTTTTTGTGTTTTTAGTAGAGACAAGATTTCACCACGTTAGCCAGGATGGTCTCGATTTCCTGACCTCGTGATCTGCCCACCACGGCCTCCCAAAGTGCTGGGATTACAGTCGTGAGCCACCGTGCCTGGCCAGCCACCGGAAAGTTTTATGTAAGCAGGGGAGTGATCTGTTTTATCATTTAGAAGGATACACACCTCTTCTTCTTTTTTTAGAGACAGGGTCTAGTTCTGTCACCCAGGCTGGAGCCCAGTGGCACAATCATAGCTTACTGTAACCTCAAACTCCTGGGCTCAAGTGATCCTCCTGCCTCAGCATCCCAAAGTGCTGGATTACAGGCATGAGTCACCATGCCTGGTCACACTTCTCATTCTTTAAACCAGACCTCATTTGTCCATCTCCCCCATCCCCCGCCCCACCCCACGGACTGTCCTATAATGCCCATACAACAGGTCACTGTTTAGAAAGTGCTACAAAGTTACAAACACAGTCCCTTCTGAGCCTCCCACCAATGTTGGTGGGTACAAGGTCAAAAAAAAAAATCTCATCTATCTAAGGGGCATAGGAGACTTTTTAGTTAGAGGGCCCAATTATAGTCCTCCTGAAAAGATGCCAAAAGTCCCCTTCAACACTTAGCAAAGATTCAAGAAAGATGAATCTCACATTCTTTGTATGGGAAATGAGGAACTTGACATCTTCAATATAATGGATTCCACTAAAATAAGATGACGATCAATAGGAACCAACTAAAAAAATACTTGACTAGCTGTTATTGAAAGGCTGAAATTCAGCTGACATAAGCAGTATTAATATTGAGCTAGAAAATAATTCGCATTGAATTCAGCCCAACTTTTGTTTTCTGATTTGGGTCTCTTCTAAATTTTTTTTTTCTTCTGGACATTGAGAACAATCCAATTTGAAGGCCTCAATGCCCAAATCTACACTCTTGTTTTATTCTATATCCTTGGTTTCTTCTTTTTTTTTGAGATGGAGTCTCATTCTGTCGCCCAGGCTGGAGTGCAGTGGCGTGATCTTGGCTCAATGCAAGATCCGCCTCCCGGGTTCATGCCATTCTCCTGCTGCAGCCTCCCGAGTAATTGGGACTACAGATGCCCGCCCCCACGCCCGGCTAATTTTTTTGTATTTTTAGTAGAGACGGGGTTTCTCCGTGTTATCCAGGATGGTCTCGATCTCCTGACCTCGTGATCCACCTGCCTCAGCATCTCAAAGTGCTGGGATTACAGGCGTTAGCCACCGTGCCCGGCCCACACCTAGGTGATTTTTAAAGTTCTTCTAGTAGAGACAGGGTCTCACTATGTCGGGTCGCCGTGTTTGATGTCAGTTTTCCCTGCCAGAATCTACAATCTCCTTGATCACCATTATATCCCAACGAAGAGCTCAGTACCTGGTACAAAGCACATTTGATCAATACTTGCTGAATAAAGAAATAAAAATGAAGAGGCACTCCAGCCTGGGCAACAGAGTGAGATGGTCTCAAAAAAACAAAAACAAAAACAAAAAACGACTGGAAAGGAGATGAGGGTACTTGTGAAGCCATATTATATGACACGCTCTGTGCTAGGACTTTTATATACCTTGTCTCATCTCTTCATCTCATATAATCCTTACAAGTACCTCAAAAGTGGGGAAATCCCCATATAACTGAAGACGAAGGCAGTTCAGAAGTTCATTGATTTGCCCTAAGGTTCCTCAATTTGCAAACATCAGGCCAATGATCCAACCCCAGGTATGTTTGGCAGTGAAGGACCAGTTGAGTCATAGCTGCAAGTAACCACCCTGCAGTGGTCCCTATCTTGGCCGTTAGCTTACATTGACATTTAACACTCAAATTTACTCAGTAACACCAGCTATCATGTTTTCCACTAAAACTCCACAGCATTCTGGCAACTTTTCTATTTTAGAGCAATAAAGTAAATTGTTAGCATCCCTTTGACATATAAATATTTCTACAAATAGTAATTCTCTAGCCATTCATTTGGAGTATTTAAAACTCAACATTCATAGCACATTTTATGTGACAAAGAACTTATGTTCAGAACACAAAAATAAGTCGTACGTCTTCATTAAAAACAGGTGAAGAATTTGAACAAACATTTGCAAACTAAAATACAAATGAAATACACTCAACATCATTAAACAAGAAAATAAAATTATGAGATAATCACTAATAATCACTACATATGCACCACAGTGATTAAAATTTTTTTAAGTTAAGCCACGTGACCCAACAAGGTGCATTCACTCAAGAGAAACGCAAATATATGTCCACTCAAAGACTTGCACATGAATGTTGAGAGCAGGTTTATACTGAATAGCGCAATGTGAAAAAACCCCAAAATCTAGCAAAGGATGAAGGGAGAAATAAACTGTGGTATATACATACAATAGAACACTACTCAATAATAAAAAGGATTATATTCCTGATACATGCAATATGGGTGAACCGTAAAAATATCATGCTGAGCAAGAGAAGCCAAACACAAGAGAACATGTTGTTATGATTTCACGTACATGAAACTTTAGTAAAGACAAGTCTAATCCATAGTGACAGAAAGCAAATCAGTAACTGCTGACAGGGGCAAATGAGGAGATGATCCCAAGGGAACCTTCTGGGGTAAGACGCTGTTCTCTATCTCGATCGTATTGGTGGTCACACAAGTGAAGACATGTTAGAACTCATCAAACCATACACTTAGAATGTGTAATATAAACCTCAATAAAGCAAAATTTAAAAAAAAAAACCACCTTTAATTTTCTCTTACAAAAAAAAAAAAGGAAAACCACTTAACTTTAATTTTCTCCAACAACTGATTCTGGTACACAGTATACCTTAATGCCTGCATCCACGGCCTCACGTCATGCTGTTTACATGAACGTAAAGCTTCGCCGAAGAGTGGAATAAGACAGTCCTGCCAGAGAAAAACCAAAATTACTCAACGTAAAACAGGCTGTTGATATGTTTGCAGATATATAGCAAGTCTTAAGTCCAAGACTGCAATATAGTTTGGCTACTTCAGATTGATTGCAGTAGTTTTATCTATTACACTATACCCTTACATCATTTATCTTCTACTCACAAGAGGCAAGCACACAGTAAGAGAAAGCCTTTTGTTTTGAAGGGAAATCTTCTTCAGAATATTAAGTCTAATTTATCAATATACTTAATAAAGCACATTACAAAAAAAAAAGTCACAGCACATTTACTATAAAGCAGACTGCAGAAAAACATTACAACTAATGCTTTATTATGAAGTTCTCGAAGATCACCATTCATTCAGAAGCCCCCATCTCTGGTCGAACTTTACCCCATTTAGGATGAAGAGGAGAGATCTTTGTTTGCAGCAAATCTAAAATTTACGTGATCTGCCTAAAGGAACTGTCTTTACATACACCACCTCCCACCCCAAAAATAGAAGAAAAAACTGAGCAATTTGCCATCCTTGCGATTATCTCAGGTTCTTCCATCTGCCCCATGTACTTCCCAAATGAAAGACTGCCTGAAAACAGCATGTTAGATTTCTGGATTTACCAGCTTGCCCAACTACAAATCCTATTCCAAAAAACTCAAAAAATAAGGTCTTTGTTCTACAGTAATGACCATTAATAGTCATAAGAGTGTGCTTGTAAAAATATACAGACCTCTGTTGAAAGTCTGTTAGAAACTGTGGTCTCCAAAGCAGACGAGCAATACAGCTGCAAGGTACTTAGAACTGGCAAAGACTGTGAAACTGTTAAAGTAGAAAGTCTCAGAGGTCCAATAGCGATGCGGGATGTTTGCTTCAAGTACTTTACCACATTTCTGAAACAAAATATTTACTGTCAATTAATAAAAATTACAATTCATAACCACTCAAAGAATAAAGCAATTGATAAGATGCTATCAAATTGACATCCAAAGTTAGGGGGCAGTAAGAGGAGCAGCCTGCTCTATAATAAAATGGTATCAGCAAGTCAAGACATTTGCTTTTGGGGATTTTTACATTTTATTTCATTTCAACCTCAGTTTTTGTTGGCAAGCAGCATTCATATATCATATGACTTCTACAACTAAAATGAAGCTATTAGCACTAGTATTTAGTAATCTAGTAACTCTCCTTCCAGCCCTCTTCACCCCATGTATGTTTATCACATGATATACACAATGTACATTTACCTCCGTAAGAGTAAACTTACTCAGTTATAGACTGCCACTTCTGATCTTGTTCTATCGGGTTTAAAGCAGTTGCCAAACAAACAGAACTTCTTAACAATGGAACTTCAATGGATTTCTGAGGTTCCCTTGGATCTGGACTTCACATGTTACGAAGCAGTTTTTTCATGTCTACAGAAGTTAAATGAAATGTCATTAAGTTAATGTGCTTTTATTATAAATTTTGATTTATGTTTGGCATTATTAAAAACTAATCACCAATGAACAGCTCCTTTAATATTTCAGGCAGTTAAACACTATAAGCATTACTGAGAGCTATATAAAAATCATACTTCATACAAAATTACTGTACCTCAGACCCCTAAAAAGCAGTTGCCTTCAAAGGCTCAAAAATCAGTAAGTCGAGGTCAGGCGTGGTGGCTCACGCCTGTAATCCCGGCACTTTGGGAGGCCAAGGTGGGTGGATCACGAAGTCAGGAGTTCAAGACCAGCCTGGCCACGATGATGAAACCCCGTCTCTACTAAAAATACAAAAAATTAGCTTGGCACGGTGGCAGACACCTGTAATCCCAGCTACTCAGGAGGCTGAGGCAGGAGAATCGCTTGAACTCAGAGGGCGGAGGTTGCAGTGAGCCGAAATCGCGCCACTGCACTCCAGCCTGGGCAACAGAGTGAGACTCTGTCTCAACAAAAAAGAAAATCGGTAAGTCAATCTACTATTTAAGGGGACAAATCTAGACCTGCATTAGCAAATCTTGCTCAATCCAGAATACTCATTAAACTTTTTAATAACATCTTATCAAGTGTTCCATTTGTGATAAAGAACTTAATGAGCCACATCAAGATGAAAATCAAGAAAAATATTTAGCTGAAACACTACTTTGTCCTTTATCAAACAAAATGGCTAGATAAATCTCAAAGTATTAAGGTGGTCATTTTTTTTATTTGACTTAATTTTAAGTGCTTTTCATTTCCCAAATCAAACATAAATAGGGCAGCCCTAAATTTGTTGCTTCACATGGGATTCTGCCCCCACAAAAATGTAAAATAACTTCCAGATTTTCCAGTAAAATATACTAAGCCAAACATTTTGAGCAACTTGTCCACTAAAATAACTTTAAAACTATTTTCTCAAGTACCTACCTATTTTTTCTTTTGATCCTCCAGCAAGTAGATTGATATTTTCTCCTGGTAACAATTCTAATTGCTCGGTACATTTGACAAATTTTCCAGACTCAAAGCTGCTTAATGATCTGTAATTAAAATATTGGTTAGCTTGTATTCCTATGCAGCCTGTGGAACCATTAAAAAAAACAAACAAACAAAAACAGAACAAATCCTAGGAAGACAGCAAAGTACACAGCACTTTTCTGACAAAATTCCTTCCACGAGGATGCCATTATTTTGGTTTTTATGTTGCAGATGTGACTACCACTTAATTAGTACTCAAATTGGAGTGGCAAACCAGAAAGTCACAGCTACAGACTTTCAGTGGAGCTGACTCGCCCGTGTCTCCTTCCTGTTTTCATGTGTTGCAGCCTGTTCTCTTCAGAGCCTGACACACTGACAGTAGACCTCTGCAGGACAACTTTGACACCCAGTTCTCTCCAAGCTGCCAGTGAGCTCCCTGTGCAGCCTCACTCCTCACCTACAGCATGAGCCCTTGCAGCTCTCCCAGCATCACAATCTTGTATCTCAGTCCTGGCTTCTTTCACTGCTGGCATCCCTCCGTCTCTCCCTTTTTCACCTACTTTTCTTTTTTCAAAGAATTCTTCTCTTTCATCTGCTTATATGAAAAATAATGACACCTCTGAAATTCTTTCCTGTAGTTCTGCAGCATCAATGCCAGGAAGACAGGCCTCATCCTCCCAGCTTCTATGCTGCTCCTTTCAGATCCCTTACCCTGTCCCCATTTTCATGACACGGGCTCTCCAGCCAGGAAGAAGACACTGTTTCTCACTCTCTCTCTTTTCCATCTTTGCCTGTCCCTCTCGCTGTGTAACTTCCCTTATAACTCAGCCTGAGGCCAGTGCTAGAAAGGCACATCACCTGACTTATTCTGTGCCTGATTCTACCTAGATCAGTGCAACCACTGGCTTCTCAGGGGGACCCTTGAGTACTGGGCACTGATGAACTGCTGCCAACACAGTCATCATTTCTGCCATTAAAAGGTCCTAAGTCCTCTCCAGTGGCAGGTTCCCCAAGTCCCCACTATGCTCTATAATGCCCTATGCTTTCAGCTAATGACTCAGTCCTCAGAAAAAACAAACAAACAAAAAAACACAGGCTTTAATTTCCTCTACCCCTACCCCCAATCCACCATACACTGCCGAAATTCTGTCTATACCAACTTTGACTGCTTTCCTTGAGGCAGAGAAAAGGTGAGGGCCAGTTAATCTATCAATGTTCTTTCTCCTGTTTCTTCAACCTCTGCTTTCTAGTGGCTCCTTCCCCTTGGCCAAAAGAACATAATCTCTCCAACATTTAAAATAAACATCTCATATTTCCCTCCAGCAACAGCTTCCTATCCTCGACTTCAAGAAAAACTCACTGACCAAATAACTTACCTCAAGCTTTTCATTTTCAAATGTCTCTACCACTCAATACTATTCAATCTAGCTTCTTCTGTCTCTCTACAAAACTCTTTTTCCTTATAATCCCTAGAGCATCTGACAAGGCTGACTACTCCCATCTGGATGTCCTATATCTAGGGCACTTCCCTTCTCAATGTCCCTGTATTTTTTTGAATGGCTTCCTCTTCTATCCTTTCACAAAAATGCTAAACTAGGATTCTGACCCAGGCCTTCCTTCCTCTTCACTCACTATTCTCCAGAGGCTTCTCTCTGGTTTGGTTGCTTACAAAGGCTCTAGAGTATAGAGACTGAAAAGGAAAGAGGGCCTTTTCTGTGTACTAATCATCTGCAAATCTCTCAAGCTTAGACTGTCTCCTTAGTTCAAAATCCAATTCTTAACAGCTTACCCAACAATCTCATCTGCACATTTCATTAGAAATCTTAAAACAGGGCTTGTTCTCTGTGTGCTCCTACTCCAGTTAATAGCATTGTTTCTCTTCCCTCTACCATTGCCCCCATAAATTAATGGTCTCCATGCTTCCATACTTGCCCCGCACCTCCAGTCTCTTCACCACAGCAGAATGAACCAAGTCAGATCACAACACATCTCTGTTCAAATCCCACCTGAAATTTTCAGTCTTACTAGAATAACAGCCAAAGTTCTTTTCTCAGTTCCCAGCTACTTCTCTGCCCTTATATCCTACTGTTTAAGGCGCTCCTAAACACACAGGCCTCCCAGCTATTTCCAGAACACTCCAAGCCCATCATTCTCACATCAGGTCTAGGCCCAAAGGGCATCCTGATGGGCATGTCTTGACCTTGTGTCTTCCCTCCAAAGAAGGTCAGCTTTACCTAACTGCTTTCCTTATGGCACAGAAAAGGTGAGTGAGGTCCAATTAGTCCTTCTATCAATAATCTTTATCTAATCTTTGCTTTAAAAGGTTGGAATTTGTGTCTGTTTTATGTGCTGCCTGGGTCACAGCACATGCTCAGTGAAGCAATTACACATTAACCCATTTAGCAGTAGAAGGCAAGGGTATCAGACAAAGTCTAATGACCTTTATCTTCCCAGCCAAGTGTCTGCAACAGAGTGAGTGCTCAGTTTTGAATTACAGAATTAATAAAAGCACAGAGGAATGAGAAGAAAGTTTAATTTACAGATGTTCACAAACTCTGTCCTCATTAGAATAAATGTTTTTGATATATTCAGACCTCATTTCGAAACAAAGCCATCAAATGTGATTCTTTCTAAAGCAGTACAAATTTTTCTTTATATTCACTCTGGCATAATCTTCAAACTGTATTAAGGTTTTAGAACGACAGGTTCTGAAAATTAATACCAAATGACTATCTCAGCAGTGTTTTCCCATTATACAAATACCTTCCCTCATCTCTGATGTCAGTTTCCTGTTGTCATTTTCATAATGGCAGTAAGTTAGAAATATAACCATTTTGTATTACTACATATGACCAATTTTAATATTTTTTTGCCATAGGAAAAACATCATAGTTATTGGAAATTTGTTTTATAACTGGAAACAGAAAGCCTTACTTTATATAGTTGAAGTCAGCTTTCAGGTTGAGGGAAGTGCTACTGGTACTCTTTTTCAAGTCATGGATAGCGTTCTGCCATTCCTGCACAGCAGCCCAATCGGCAGTTGAGATGTAGCACTCACATGCTTTGTTTCCTAAATAATTTATAACCTCAGGGGAAGAGTCAGTCGGTTTGGACAGCACACTTTTTCTGGATTCACCTGAAAGTATTTTATAAAATAAGAAGAGAGAGATTCAGATCAATTAGAAATATTTCAAAGAGCACAGAAACCTAAAAACATGATAAGAACATCAGTACGAAATATATTACTATAACTTTTGCTTTATTTAAAAATACTGAATGCTCACCATTCAGACAATGTTTCAGGCTGGCACTCTTACACCCAGCACTGGCTAAGGTGAGCACCGATTTGTCAAAGCTGGAGATGCAGCAATCAACACCTGTCATGGCACACAGGTGTTCCTGGTACTCCACAGAGGCCTTTTCAAACCTGAAAAGCAAATTGAAGCAGTCTTATTTCTTTATTTATCTAACTACTTACTTTTTTTTTTTGAGATGAAGTTTTGCTCTTCTTGCCCAGGCTGGAGTGCAATGGCACTGTCTCAGCTCAGTGCAACCTCTGCCTCCCGTGTACAAGCGATTCTCCTGCCTCAGCCTCCTGAGTAGCTGGGATTACAGGCGCTCGCCACCATGCCCGGCTAATTTTCTTGTATTTTTAGTAGAGACGGGGTTTCACCATGTTGGCCAGGCTGGTCTTGAACTCCTGACCTCAGGTGATCCACCTGCCTCGGCCTCCCAAAGTGCTGGGAATACAGATGTAAGCCACCGAACCCAGCCTACCTAACATGGCAAATTTTGTTTTTTTAAATATTGAGTGGGAAAAACAGATCATAAAACCATGTGCCTATGTACGCTGATGTTTTGGTGAAGAATGGAGGAAACGACATGAAAGAAAAAAGAATTACAAAGCGTATGGATATGGAAATATGGGACTACAAAAGGACACACAACAGAAGTTACTACAAAGATATGGAAGTATGAGCAGTTCTTTTATTTTCCTAAGTTCGCAAGATTTCATTAAACTAACATAAATGGACACAGAATATTATGGTACAAGCTCCTCTACCTGGAGGAAGCAATGAGTCTGAATGTAGAGTTCACTGGACTAACGAGCAAATACTCTGACAATAAAGGGTAATTTGTATCAGACTCTGAGGGGGAAGGAGCTCAACTAGGGATCAAGTTCAAAAGCATTTATAAAACAACTGACAGGTCTTGTTTTACAGTGTGATTTGCCACTAATTCTTAAATAAGAAAGGCACTCCAGTATTGCTGCTAACTAAAGAACAAACTGAAGATGCCTCCTGGTGAAGGGATTTATAGCAAGCTTCAATGCTGAAAGCAAACAAAGCTGTTTTAAGATTTGGCTACAATGTCAGTGAGTAATACAAAGAATTTAAACATAAAGTAATTCTATCACCCATTTCCTTCCCTCCAACCTACCTCCCTTCAGCCTGTTGAGCCACTGAGTTAATCCACAGAAGATGTTTTCCAACAATAGATGATGACCAGACAGCAATTCCCTGTATAGCTTCAGGACAATGAAGTTCACATAGTGCTTCTACCACCATCATAATGCTTACTTCCAATTCATTCCCCTGAAAACGCATTCAGAAAAGTTAGTCACCCAATACCATTAAAACATAAATCCCTATAAAATTTACAACTGATCAGTCTGTGCCTGCTTAAAGCCAAATGTATTTAACAATTATTGTCACAATTTTCACATTATTTAGCTCAGAATTCTTTAAAATGTTACATATAAAATAGCCACAAAGGGTGACTAACAGAACCTTAGCAGCACATGGATGTTTGTACCCCCACCCCAAAGTTACCCAAAAACATTTAACCTGTGACCTCTGTAGGAATAACACATGGAGTAAAAAGAAAGCAAAAATGAAATATAAATAAACAGGAATTAAGGAATGATTAACTTCATGTGTTTGAAAACTGCTTGACATTACCTGAATTGCTAAACATTTTGTTATTTTTGGATTCCAGTTATTTATTGTGAGCCCACTTTCAAGCCAGGAATTACTCAAGCATTTGTCATACGTTATAAAAACAATTTCTCCTGGCCAGGTGCAGTGGCTCATGCCTGTAATCCCAGCACTTTGGAAGGCCGAGGTGGGCGGATCACTTGTGGTCAGGAGTTCGAGACCAGCCTGGCCAACATGGTGAAACCCTGTCTCTACTAAAAATACAAAACTTAGCCGGGTATGGTGGTGGGTGCCTGTAATCCCAGGGACTGAGGCAAGAAGAGGCTTGAACCCGAGAGGCGGAGCTTACAGTGAGCCGAGATCGCACAACTGCACTCCAGCCTGGGCGACAGAGTGAAACTGTGTCTCAAAAAAATAAATAAATAAATAAAAATTTTCCCCCATAAACAAATTTTCAGAATTACCTTTAAAGTTCTAAACTTTGCACGGAAGAAATAGAGTTTTAACGTGTTCTAACATGAATATTGTTTTAACATGAACAAAAACATGAACATTATTTTGACTTCTAACACTGTTTTAACACGAATAAAATAGGTAACTCTGGCAGTTGTTGCTTTTACAAAATACAGGATCAAAACCTTTGAAAATGAATCCAAGCTTTAACTTATTTTATCCATAGATTAAATCATACCAAAGGAATTAAACCATGTTTTTCTTATTAACAGACTTAAAATGAATTTCAAACACACCACTTTACCTGAGATAGGCTGGTTGTTTTCATCTCTGTAAGCAAGTCAAAGCCATGTCTCACTGTCACTGCAGGCTGGCCTGCCAACAATCCTACCCTCATGATGGAGAGTCGAATCCGCGTTAGCCAGTCCTGACAAGTTTGGCGATTGGTATACAAAAAAGTTCTAATGACCTTTACGATAAGAGAAAGAAAAGCTCAGGACTGGTTCAATTTGTAGGTAAGGATGTCTCACCTATATATAAACCAAATACACAAGTCTATTGTGATTTCAGCTCTGCACATACTGCCAGCTGTGACCATTAAACTGCTATAAAACAACACTATCTCCCGGAAACCAACCTTGGGAGGTGAAGTTAAGGCATTAGCACATCCCTCGTATGCATTATACATTAATTTCTCCAGATTTTCCAGATACTGCAGAAGAAGAACAAGTCTAAGTTGGTTGTTACCATGGCCTTCATCACTGTCTGCAGTTGTCCACTGACTAACATCCTGATCAGGGTTTAATGTGTGACCTGCGAGACTTCGAATGATACCTGAAAGCAAAGACAACATTCTGAATTTTTAAAAATCTTAAAAGTTCCTAGAATAAGTGTGAGTTTTTTATGACCAATTCACATTTATCAAGTATCCTCTGTCTACCCATCATTTAAAAATAAAAAATCCCAACATGAAAGATCTTTCATTTTAGGGGAAAAAAATATATATTTTTTCCACACAACTCCCATAAGTTTTGGAAAAAAAACAAACATATTTCCAATGCAATTATTCAATGAAAGCTTATTCTAACAAACAAACCTGAAAATTATTGACTTTTTTCAAAAAAAATCATATACCCTCAAATCTTTAACAAAGATTTAAAAATCCATTATTTCTCAATAAGGCTTTGAAAGTATTCACATCATAAAGCTTGAGCGAGTTACCTTCAATTGTCTGGAAGGTGTCTTGAGCTCTGCCCAGTGGGGTTCTCAGCTTAGAAAGAACAGTGAATTGTGCAGCTTCCCATATGGCCCACTGCCAAAGGATAGCATCTGTCTTCAGGAGATTGCGTGGAATTGTTGACTGGTCACGCTTATCCAGTCTCTGGCAGCTATAGAACAGTCTTTCCAACCAATTGTCCTTCCTGGGAAAAGTAGTTTCATATTTAAAAGACAATGACAACTTCATTTTAATAATGAAAAAAAAATGCAAGGGGAATGGGAATAAGGAACTGTAATTTTCCCTACTCCAAAAAAAGGCAAAACCTATGAAATTGAGAAGCATTATGTCCCCCCCTCTCATTTTGAGGTCTTGTATAGTTAACAGGATGAGGTACAGTGTGGAAGGATGATTAGGGTAAACGGCTCATGCCAGTCAGGAATGAAACTCATTCAATGCAACTAAGCATCTCTAGAATATCTCCACCCCCACCCCACTCCCCAAAGTGTTAATGACATCACATCAGTTAACTGTTAACCACATTTCATTACTCAATTTCAAAGCCCATTTTTGTTTCTACAGATGCTATCTTCAAAGCAATTTTCCTATTGATGAAAACTGAAATAACCCATATGAGAAGAATGTTACTTGATACTCTGCCACCCCCAAACATATTTTCTCTTCAAAACTGCATGTAAAGTCAAGGGAATCTTAAAATTTTCTTTCCCAGATAAAATAGTCAAAGAAATGTCTTACCCTGTTCTATGAGAGTTCCCATACAAAATAAAACTAATAACATCAGAGAAATCTTGGGGGTGGAATGTATTACTTGGTGCTTTACTCATGTGACTTCTTAATGCTAAAGAAATTTCTTGAATTTCTGTGTGATTGTTATCGCTGTAGACAGAAAATAAAGTTGTTGTTATGCAAAATATTTTAGCTTAAAAGGTTAGCACATACTGTAAGTGGATTATTTACTTATTAACTCACTGGAGGTAAAAATATAGTAAAATTGAGACTTTCAAATGGATACAGAGATGTGATTACAACTTTAGATCCTTTTTTTATTCACCTCAGATGGGTCATGTGCCGACATCATAAGAGGATTTGAGGGAGGCATATCAAACATGTGAACATAAAAACCCAATCATTATGCTTATCTATTACAAAAGGATCAAGTTTAGGCTCTTAAAAGCTCCCAAATCAACTTGATCAAAAACAATAAAAGATTACTGTTTAGTTTTTCAAATATCTGAGCTACTAAGAAACATATTTTGGCACTACATGAGTTATTCTATACTAATTATTGTGAGCCTATAAAGCTCATTAAAAATTTTTAATTTTCTTGCAGACCTGCAAAATTTGATTATTTGACATCACTTCAATCACTGACAAGCAGGGCCATAAAAGATGTGTCATTAATGCTCTAATAGGTGATGTGTCTTCTCCTAAAGTAGACAACCAGTAGAGGCTGTAAATATCACAGAATGTCTTTGCTCCAAAACAACTGTTATACCTTAGGACAACACCTAAAGGAATTGATTTCAACAGTTTTCCAAATGCTTGTCGAATACAAGTTCCACGGTGCACTAGTTGAACACGGCAAACATCAACACATCTATGAAAGAACGAAATAGACAAAGCAGGTGTGTTAACAGTTCCAGGTTATTAGGGTTAATGTCAAAAGACATGATCTTAATTTCATACCTCTGTAAAAGATCATCTGGCAAGGAAGAGGATAGAGCATGTAGACTGCTGCATGCCTGCAGACAGATATTCACATCTTCAACGAGAGCTATTAAACATTAAAAGACAGTTACTTTCAGCTGGCCAAAAGAAATTATATCCCAGTTTGTCATAATTATCTGAATCCATTCATTCATTCAACAAAGAGTGAGTGCCTACTATAGACTAGGCACTGTTCTTGTCCAGAATCCTCATTGACTGTCACATTTGGAAAAATGACACATTCAACAAAACCCACGTAATGTAACTGATGGGTCATCACACAAAACTTTTTCTGAGAGAAAATGTAAAAGTATATGTAAACTATAAACATTCACGTTAGCTTAAAAATGTGACAATCACTTCAAAACATTTTTCTAATACTAAGAATGAAAAAAAATCAAGACTGTGTATCTGTCATTAAAATGAGGATTACACATCTTCAGGTCAGGAAAAGAGCTCGATTCATGACCATCTCCCATTACCAAAGACCCTTTTAAGGACTGATAAACAAAATAGAAAAAAAAAAAAACAGAGTCTTACTGTCAGCTAAAAGGCCTTTGCAAAATTTATGGAAAGACGGAAGACAGAATAAAGGTGCATATGTTTCGGACTTCTTCATTACAACAGCTACTTCCAAAGCCCAAGTCATTAACAGTTTCCTGAAACACAAAATATACAGTTGACTGTACATTAAAAAAAAAAAAACAACAAAAACAAAAAAAGTTAAAAGCCTAGTCTTCTTACATTGGTTTTCTCTTGGTTTTTCAAACATCTCAAACAATAAAAAATAAAAATAAAAAATGAAACTATAGAAATTACTGTCAAAATTGTTGTGTGCCTTTTAAGAAAACCTCCCAACGCAGCATGATAATAGCAAAGAGGCCGGGCGTGGTGGCTTACCTGAGGTCAGGAGTTCAAGACCAGCCTGGCCAACGACATGGTGAAACACCATCTCTACTAAAAATACAAAAATTAGCTGGGTGTGGTGGCGGGCACCTGTAATCGCGGCTACTTGGGAGGCTGAGGCAGGAGAATTGCTTGAACCTGGAAGGCAGAGGTTGCAGTGAGCAAAACTCCGTCTCAAAAAAAAAAAAAGCAAAGAATATTAAAAATCTATATATATTCTTCTATGAAACACTGGGGGTGGGGGATTGAGGTTTTTCATGTATTTCTTTTCAGAAAGAATAAGAAAGCCTAGATTAAATAATAAAACCAAATTATAAGGTGTTTGACAATAAAGAAGCTGCTCTACCTCACCTCTATAATCCACATTTTTTTAAATTTTTTGTAATCCACATTTCTTCTTCTCAAATTATAAAGGCAAATTAACAAAGTTAGGAATGGTTAATACTATATAATATCTGTTACCTCGTGTCCTGGTTATCTTTCTTAAGTAACATTCCCAGAAGATTTAATATAATTGAGAAATGTTTCTTTGTGGCCGTAGTTACAGTGCCAATCACAGCTCCATCAAACAAAGAAGGAGAGGAAGAACTGAGGCTACTAAAGATAAAGTGATCATGCCTGAAAGACAAAGCATAGATTATCTTTTCATCTTTAATCAAAGAAAGCAAGCAAGTCCAAAGTTAAATCAACATACATCTTTAAAATCTATCCATTAAAAAAATAAAATGTTTTGTGGGGTTCTTTTCTTAAGAAAAATTTGTGAATACAGTACCTGGTACAATGAGGATACAATGTGTAGAGCACAGCATACTGAATGGCAGGGAAGTGAACAGCCAGGTCACTGTGCACAATCATCAGATTCTTACTCAGAAGTGCAAAGACAGTTGGAGATAGCGCCCACATCTGATCACGTACAAAACAAAGTAAGTTTATGGCTTCTCCAAAATAAGCACAAGCATACAGAGTTTATCCTTCAAAACAGGGGTATTTGGACATTTTTAAATTAAAATTACAGATTGGAAGGGATCTAGTACACTACACCTGGGACAAATACTTTTTTGTGAAGTCAGTAAAGCCTTTGCGTGCAATATAGCATCTCTATGCAATGCAGCAACTCCTCGTCTATCGCTACAGTAAGAAAACAGCCACAGGTCAGGTGTTGTGGCTCACACCTGTAATCCTAGCACTTTGGGAGGCTAAGGTGGGCAGATCACTTGAGCCCAGGAGTTTGAAACCAGCCTGGGCAACACAGCGGGACCCCATCTCTACTAAAATTACAAAAAGTAGCTGGGCATGGTGGCGCACACTTGTAATCCCAGCTACTCGGGAGGCTGAGGCAGGAGAATCGCTTGAACCTGGGAGGCAGAGGTTGCAGTGACCCGAGATCATACCAATGCACTCCAGCCTAGATGACAAAGTTAAGACTCTCTCTCTCAAAACAAAACACCAGCCACACACAAAACACAGGAATGAGAGTACCTGTGTTCCAAGAAAACTTTCTTGAGTCGGAGTCTCTCGCTCTGTCGCCCAGGCTGGAGTGCAATGGGGCGATCTCAGCTCACTGCAACCTCTACCTCCGGGGTTCAAGCAATTCTCCCTGCCTCAGTCTCCCAAGTAGCTGAGATTACAGGTGCCCATCACCACGCCCTGCTAACTTTTGTATTTTTTTAGTAGAGATAGGGTTTCACCATGTTGGCCAGGCTGGTCTTGAACTCCTGAGCTTGGGTGATCTGCCTGTCTCAGTCTCCCGAGGGATTACAGGCGTGAACCACTGCGCCCAGCCCAACAAGAACTTTCTTTACAAAAACAGGCACTAGTGTTGTGATGGTTGTACACTTCTGTGAATATAGTAAAAATCAGTGAATTATACACTTAAAATAACAGACAAAAAACAGGTGCTGGGCTGTATTTGGCCCACAGACCATAGTTTGCTGATCTCTGGTCTAAACAGAGCCCTTTGTATGTGCCTTTTGCGGAAGTAGACTGTATTTCCTCAATTTTCCATATACTGCAAATGGCAAGGTGCCCTGTTCAATAAGGAAACAGAGGCACACCCTGCCACCCTACACCTTTTCCATCCATCTTTTTCCTTTACACTGCCAAGACACTCCACTCCACCTGACTGCCCCATCCCCACCCACTTTCTCCTTATTTCTAGAGTACAGGACATAAACATCTTTGAATCTGTAAATAATGTGAATAATTTTCCTCAAAAATCAAGCTTTCATGTTTGAAGAAGAGTTTATTGTGACTTCAAACATAAACTGTAACTGGTAATAAGCGAAGCAGCTATGGAATTATACAAGGCAATCCAATCTAACAACACGGAGCACATTGAAGCGCAAACATCAAATTTTACCTTCTTCCTCCTAAAAACTTTATTCCCTAATTACATCCATTTCTTTCTTTGTTTCTTTCTTTTTTTTTTTTCTTTTGAGACAGAGTCTGGCTCTGTAGCCCAGGCTGGAGTGCGGTGGTGTGATCTCAGCTCACTGCAACCTCCACTTCCTGGGTTCAAGCAATTCTCCTACCTCACCCTCCAAAGTAGCTAGGATTACAGGTGTGCACCACCACCCCTGGCTAATTTTTCTATTTTTAGTAGAGGCGAGCTTTCACCATGTTGGCCAGGCTGGTCTCAAACTCCTGACCACAGGTGATCAGCCTGACTTGGCCTCCCAGAGTGCTGGGTTTACAGGTGTCAGCAACCGTGCCCAGCCTACACCTATTATTTTCTATTAAAAATGATGTTTTTCAACTCTGTGTGGTCCAATAGGAAGAAGAAATACACAAACCATAAACAATAAATACAAATCAAGAGCAGGGCCACGTCAAATTACTTAAAAAAAAAAAACACACGGGCTGGGCGCGGTGGCTCATGCCTGTAATTCCAGCACTTTGGGAGGCTGAGGCAGGTGGATCACCTGAGGTCAGGAGTTTGAGACCAGCCTGACCAACATGGTGAAACCAAGTCTCTACTAAAAATACAAAAATTAGCCCGTCGTAGTGGCAAGTGTCTGTAATCTTAGCTACTCGGGAGGCTGAGGCAGGAGAATTGCTGGAACCCGGGAGGCAGAGGTGGCAGTGAGCCGAGATTGCACCACTGCACTCCAGCCCAGTTGACAACAGCATGACTCTGTCTCCCCAAAAAAAAAATAAAATAAAATAAAAAAAAAAAAAAGTCCCCCCACCACCACCAAAAGGAAGACTACAGGTTCAGTATCCCTTATTCAAAATGCTTGGGACCAGAAGTGTTTCAGACTTTGTATATGTTTGGATTTGAGAATACTTGCATATATATAAAATGAGATATGTGGGGGATGGGACCCAAGTCTAAAGACGAAATTCACTTATGTTTCATAGACACCTTCTATTCATAGCCTGAAGGTCATTTTATGCAATATTTTAAATAATTTTGGGCATACAACAGTTTGGACTCATCACATGAGGTCGGGTGTGGGATTTTCCACTTGGGGCATCATACTGGTGCTCAAAAAGTTTCAAATTTTGGAGCATTTTAGATTTAGGATTTTCAGATTAGGGATGCTCACCAGTAAGTGTTATGAAAATATTCCAAACTCCGGCTGGGCATGGTGGTGCCCACCTGTAATCCCAGCATTTTGGGAGGCCAAGGCAGGTGGATCACCTGAGGTCAGGAGTTCACAACCAGCCTGGCTAACATGGTGAAAACCCATCTCTACTAAATACAAAAAAATTAGCCAGGGGTGGTGGTGCATGCCTGTAATCCGAGCTACCTGGGAGGCTGAAACAGGAGAATCGCTTGTACCCGGGAGGCGGAGGTTGCAGCGAGCCAAGATCGCGCCATTGCACTCCAGCCTGGGCAACAAGAGTAAAAACACTATCTCCAAAAAAAAAAAAAAAGTATTCCAAAATCCAAAATCGAAAACACTTCCAGTCCCAAGTATTTCAGATAAGGAATATTCAACCTGTATGAATGTTCCTAGGGAAAAAGAGACAGCCAAAATATAAGACCATGTATAAGAACTAACTTCAGTACACAGAAAGAAAAAAGTACCAGGGGAAGAAGAAAGAGACCGCATTTTAAAACAACTATACAAATTTGAGCTGTAAGAAACACTGACATTTTCTGTAAGCATGCTAGAGCAAATAGGAGAAATTCATAAGACATTTTCTAGAAAATAAAACTAATATAAAAAAACTTATCAAGATTTGTCAAGGAAAAAGAAGAAAAGTTAAATATAATGGCAAGAAAACATTCCTACCAATTTTATTTATCCAGGCATGTCTTAAATATGGCTGTTTGTTACATACAGTGATTCTGCAGACATGTTGACATAACAGTGAAATACATAAATATGTAATGAGAAAAGGCTTAACTGTTGATAAAACAAAGTCATTACAATTAAAGGCTCACCCCTATTAGTGAGTTTTTGGCATTTCCAATTGTAGTCAGGGCACTGAGGTCAAATTTAACTACAAATTTTGCATTGTCTACATTGAACACATGATTCTTAAAAGCCTCATGTTTTATTTCAGAACAGGACTCAGGAAGTTGCAGACTGTGCAGGAGGTTGTTTAGGGCACAAGTCATTTCTCCCAATATTAACTTATAGGCAGTCTCCAAAACAGGAATATTCTTCAAGCTGAGCACTGCTTGATAAACAGCACGGGCTACAGCAACAACCTGAAAAACAAAAAATTCAAGGAAGTGATAAATGGAAAATAAATCTTCTAAAATTATATGGAAAATAAATCACTATCTGTATTAGTGCTGATGATACAAATAAATTTAAGATCGATCAATTCACTGTCTGTAGCATTTAATATTTTAATTTTTTAAAAACCAATCAGAAAACTGACACAGATCAGTATGCTATTTCAAATCTATTAAGTTTTATCACAAATAAAGAGTACTATAAATGAAAACTGTCAATAGGAAATTTCCAAAATGGCCGTTTTTGTTTTTTTTTTTTAATAATCAACATCAAAAGACATATGCAAACAGCAGTTTAAGACTGGGTTTCTTAAATCTACCAGGAAAGTCTGTGGTGGATTTGACTAGGGGGTGGTTGAAAAGCCAGTCATTTTTGTTTACCAAATATACAGTACTTCTTAATTTATAACTTTATAAATGTGTCAACTTGTTTTACCCTTATGAAAATTTAATAAATTTAATAACAGCAAAAGATGCATAGTCTGAAAAGAGTATCTGGCACACCATTCATGAAAGTATTCAGTATGATTATCAAGAAATATAAATTTAAAAGAACAAATACAATCACTATATTCTAAATCAAACATTTCACATTTCACTCAATTTCACTTATATAGCCTGGGGTAAGCAACATTAGGTCCAACTCTTCAGTGACTCAAGTTGTCAAAATTCATTATCAGTGTATTACTTACCTCTTTTTCTTTATGATAACGCAAGAATAGTAGTTTAGATGATGGTATAAACAGTTTTTCTACAAATGATGATGGCAGTTTCGTATTTATCTGTTCAACAATCTAAAAGAATAAAATTTTTAAAAAATGAGCTTCTCAAATTACAAAAAGACATGGAGAAACCTTAAAGGCACACTGGTAAGTGAAAGAAGCCAACTGAAAAGGCTACATACTATATGACTCCAACTACATGGCATTCTGGAAAAGGCAAAACGATGGAGACAGTAAAAAGATCAGGGGTTGCCATGGGCTTAAGATGGGGGGAGGGAGGAGTGGGGAGAGGGAACGAGGAAGGAGTGGGTAGAACATAAAAGATTTTTAGGGAAGTGAAACTATCCTGTATGATACTGGTAATAGGGGAAACATGTCATTACACATGTTAAAGTCCATAGAATACATAACACAAAGTAAACTATAAAATTAGTTAATAATAATATATCAATATTCACTCCTTTGTAATAAATGTACCACACTAACACAATATGTTAATGAGGGGGAAACTGTTGGGATGAAGAAGGTATATGGGAACTCACTGTTTTCTGCTCAATTTTCTGTATATCTAAAAAATGAAGTCTTTTAATTTAGAAAAATATATCTAAGCTATATTTTAAGGCCTTAATACTGTGACATTAAAGTGTTTAGACACCTAAATAGGACACACGTATTTTACAGTTATCATGGGCATTTTTTCACATTAGCAAAGAGAGGTGTAATTCTGGCAGAAATGCTCAGCAGAATGTCATCTAGAATTTGCTGTAAAATAATCTAGTTGGAGATGAAAGGATAGCAAAGAGGCCTAGATGAAACCAGATGGGCCATTTGTTTCTAATTATAGAAGCTGAGTGTTAAATATGTACAAATTTATTATACTATGCTCCCTATTTTTATGTGCTTCAGAACGTCCATAATAAAAGTGGGGGGAGGATATTTATGGTTAAGAAATTAAAGGAGGCCGGCCGGGCGCGGTGGCTCACGCCTGTAATCCCAGCACTTTGGGAGGCCAAGGCAGGCAGATCACGAGGTCAGGAGATCGAGACCATCCTGGCTAACATGGTGAAACCCCGTCTCTACTAAAAATACAATTGTGCCACTGCACTCCAGCCTGGGCAAAAGAGCGAGACTCCGTCTCAAAAAAAAAAAAAAAAAAAAAAAAAATTAAAGGAGGCCAGGCATGATTGCTCACACCTGTAATCCCAGCACTTTGGGAGGGCAAGGCAGGAGGATTACTTGAGACCAAGAATTTAAGGCCAGCCTAGACAATGTAGCGAGACCCCTTCTCTCCAAAAAATATAAAGGTTAGCCAGGCATGGTGGCATGCATCTGTAGTCCCAGATAGTCGGGAGGCTGAGTGGGAGGATCACTTGAGCCCAGGAGTTTGAGGCTGCAGTGAGCTCTGATTGTACCGCTGCACTCCAGCCAGGGGAATACAGCAAGATCCTGTGACCAAAAAAAAAAGAAAGAAAAGAAAAGAAAAAAAGAAAGAATCTGGTGCGTAGAGCAATGTTTCCTCAGAAAAAACGAGTAAAGCTACACTGAGACTAGCTATCAACCACTAAAAATAGAGGCCTGGCAGAGTGGCTCATGCCTATAATCCCAGTACTTTGGGAGGCCAAGGCAGGTGGATTGCTTGAGCCCAAGAATTCAAGACCAGCCTGGGCAACATGGCAAAACTCCATCTCTACAAAATAATATAAAAAATTAGCCAGGTGTGGTGGTGCACGCCTGTAGTCCTAGCTACCTGGGGGGCTGAGGTGGGAGGATCACCTGAACCCAAGAGGTCAAGGCTACAGTGAGCCAAAATCATGCCACTGCACTTCATCCTGTGCAACGGAGTGAGACCCTGTCTCAAAAAAAAAATTGCATTAAAAATAAAAGTAAATAGACACTAAAATGAAAGCATAGATTATAAGACTGATGAATGTACTCTAAAAAAATTATATAATAAAGCAAAGCCCTTATTTTTTTTCTTTTTTGGAGACAGGGCCTTTTTTGTCACCTTGGCTGAGTGCAGTGGCACAATCAGAGCTCACTTCAACCTCAAGTTCCTGGGCTTAATCGATCCTCCTCCATCAGCCTCCCGAGTAGCTAGGACTGCAGGTGCACACCACTACACCAAGCTAATTTTTGACTTTTTGTACAGATGGGGTCTCACTACATTGCCCAAGCTGTGCCAGAATTCCTGGATGCAAGCAACCCTTCTGCTTTGGCCTCCCAAAGCGCTGGGATTACAAGCATGAGCCACCATACCCAGACAAAGCCCTTAATTTCTTACATATCCATTTAAGGGCCTGAATAAACCAACACATTAAAAAGGAAAAGAATAATTCACATACCAGCGTGAGTAAATTCAAGACTGAGATGATATAATCGGTACCACAAGTCTGGCAATTCTCCAGTTGGTCTAATCCATATGTAATGACCATGTCACAATGTATAGTCATGCTAGGATCCAAGCTGCCGAGCAAAACACCAACACGCTCATTAGCAGCTGTCAACACAGCCTCAGAAAAAAACACCTGGTTTGCAGCCGTCACACATCTCATTACTCTGTACAGCACCTGTAAATGGGGAAAACCAGCAGCTTTTTAAAAAAATTCACGTGCTTCCACAAAGCAAGAAAATACTTTTTATTTAATGCAATTTCAACTGAAAATTAACTGCTTGCCTTGCCAGCAGTCTCTTAATATTCTAGTTCTCAGTAGCTGAATAATGATGATACCTTTACTACAATATGTAAACATGATCTTGGCTAAAAAATCCTAAAGTGCTACTATGACAGGAAATGGAATCTGCCATCCTCTATTTCCCACATACCCAACTTCGTTTCTCCCAATGTCACTAAATGGCTGAAGCTCAGAATCTTTATCATGAAATACACCACGACAGTAATGGTATTGACAGCATGGGAATAGCCTGCCCACACATACTACAAGCTAGCTCTTGGGCTTTTGGGAATCAATCTTTCAAAACTGAACATACAAGTCACTTTAAGCTTATTAAAGTTTCTATCTACTGATGGTCTCTTTTGAAAGATAAGCACTCTCATGCTTGCCACATAATATCTTCAAAAATCATATTATTTCCAATACACACACACACAAAATCCCCCACTTAACTATAATAGCCAATAATTGTGTACTAAATTTCTAATAAAATAGGGGAGAAAACAGAGCAAATGTTAAAAAATATTTCTATAATATTTAACAACCAATACATACAGGATTTTATTTAGTCTACCCATAGTTTTCATTAAAAGTATCCTTAGAGGTTGGGCATAGTGACTCACATCTATCATCCTAGCACTTTGAGAGGATTAGCTGGAAGGTTCTCTTGAGTCCAGGAGTTTGAGACCAGCCATGTCAACATAACAACACCTCATCTCTACCAAATTTGTTTCTAAATTAGTTGGGTGTGGTGGCTCACACCAGTAGTCCCACCAACTACTTGAGAGGCTGAGGTGGGAGGATCACTTAAGCCTGGGAGGTCAAGGCTGCAGTGAGCCAAGATCGTGCCACTGCACTCCAGCCTGGGCAACAGAGACCATGTCTCCAAAAAAAAAAGAGTTGGGGGGAGAGGGCGGAGGGGGAAGCATTCTTGGCCATGCATGCACAGTGGCTCATGTCTATAATCCCAACACTTTGGGAGGCTGAGGTGGGAAGACTGCTTGAGGCCAAAAGTTCAAGACCAGCCTGGGAAACACTGAGACCCCATCTCTACAAAAATAAAAAATTAGCAGGAGCTATGCTGGGAGGATCACTTGAGCCCAAGAGATAGAGGCTGCACTGAGTCGTGATGGCACCACCCCACTTTAAAAAGGAAAAAAAAAAAAAAGCTGGGTATGGTGACACCCGCTTGTAGGGCTGAGTGAGGTGGGAAGTTCACCTGGGCCCAAGAGTTCAAGACTACAGTGAGCTATGATTGAACTACTACACTCCAGCCTGGGTGACAGAGTGAGGTTCCAGCTCCAAAAATAAATAAAAAAAATAAAAACCCCACCATTCTACCATTCTCAAAGGCCTAAAAGATCCTCATAAATCAATATACACCTATCCTATAAATTATGTCCCCTTTATTTTATGTCTGAATTAACGGCTTTTTATTTCAACTCTGTACAGTCTTCAAACAACCACCTTTTAGACATTAAAAATGAAGCAAAGATATTAAACCATTTTGAAACCATATTGGTTTAAAATACCGATATGCCGGTTTCATTTATCTTTAAGTTCTGACATTTCTGCTCAAGTACACAACTTACTATATAATCAATATCCTATTTTATTTAGCAACATGTTCAGCAAAAGTATATGCTCCTAAAAGCAAGTTTTATCCTAACGGTAAAATTTTCATCAGTTAGATTAAATTTTTTATGACTGTATCACACATGCTTCTTTCTCCTTATTCAAAGCAGAGTACAATGCCTGGGGTTCATTTCTTGTGTCTTTTCCACTGAACCCTCACTGGATGTGCTATATACAGTGCAGCTAATGTCTGAGGCTGCTGAAGTGTGGCAATCTAGCTACCTCATTTTTAATTTGTTTATGTTCTTTGATATCAGGCTATCAAAGAATATAAAGATACACAAGTTTTCATATGAGTTCCATCTTATGCTCAGAGAAGATTACTTTCTGAGGCTTCTCCTATAGTGTGCTATTCGTAATATGTTGAAAAACTAAAAGGAAACCCAATAATTTAAAAGTAAAATTATAAGAAATATTATTTAAAAATGAAAGAATGAGATTTAAAAATTCAGAGTGGCCTTTTGTCATGGGAGGGTAGGGGAGTTGGATGAAAGGAGGATGAGCTATAACAGGATTCCCTGCTTTTCTGGTTGTTTAAGAAAGCAGTCAGACAATATATACATATATACATACATACATACATGCTAAACAAATGAAGGATTAATAACAGTTCACCTGGTAAAGAGAAGCATTTACAATGTAAAACAATTTTATTTTTGAATGACACTTCAAATGCCCAAAAGCACTTACATCTGTTACGTATGCCTCAGTAATTGGAGGGCCCGAATTGGGCTGAGGCTTTCCCCAGTGCTCCTCACCACAGTACTAAATACCCGGAGAAGCGCAGCCAGCTTTGGTAATGACACTGATGGAGGAGGGACGTCTTCATCCACTGATTCCCCAGAGGCCACATGGCTGAGGTCCTAGATGTGAATTCACAGCATTCTTAATAAGTAGTACATTGTTTAAAAAAACAAAACAAAACAAAAAAAAACTCTAAAATATTTCAATCAATTCATTTTAGAATAGATTTTTAGGCTTTTAGAAAGAGAACTGTGGCCCATGAGAATATTCATGACTCTGAATATAAAAATGGGTTTTACCTAATTATTTCAAAAAGCCAACATTAAACCCAATAGACAACAAATTAAGGAAATAATCTCTTAAATCAACTCAGAAAGCTGTTGGGGAAAAATAAATTCTAGCACATATGCTCTAGTTATATGTAGGTATAAATGAAGACGGAAGCTTTTGCCACTCCTGAATTAGTTTTTGGCTAAAAATCTCATTCTAGGTATTCTTTGAGCCACTCAGCTCAACAGTAAGTCCTCCAAACCAAGAGCATGCACATGAAGAGCAAAGGGAGATTACAAGACCTGGTCTACAGATGTGTAACTGAAGAAGTACGATATATGAAAAGGACAAGATTCGCAAAAACTAGGATACCAGAACCAATGTATACATCTACCTAAAATTAAGCACCAAAATAACAGAAGAGAATGAGATCTTAAGGATAACAAGGGGAAGCATCTCTACAAACTAGAATGTGTGGCTTATGAGAGGTAGATCAGCTTTAAACGTGGGCTGTGAAAAAAGACATTCTAGGTGTGGGGGCAAAGAAAAAACAACGCAGAAGCAAAACATTTCCTTGCTTTTCTAGGAAAGAGTAAACACATCAGTACAGCTAAAGGTACTGAATTCCTGTTGACTACAAGCAGCAAAGATGAAAAAAACAAGATGAGGCCAAAATCTTTATGGGAGCCTTGACTGGTTGATCTGAATAGGGGAGAAACACAAAGAGATTCAGATAAGAGATGGCACAGAGTTAAGCCATGACAGTGGGGCCAGAAAAGCCAAGTACCAGTAACAGAGGCTTCAGCAGCGCTCTTAAAGCTCCTATGCTATATTCGTACAGCCACAAAAGCTGGCTGAAGCCAAGGCTTGTCCTCCAAAGTACGATTCAAGATCTCCTGTACATATGTAAGAGGAAAATCTTTAGGAGCTTTTGGTGTTTTGTGTTTTTTTATAACACAACATCAATTTGCTTTAAGACTCTGAAGACTGGGAACAAAAAATAAAAATAAATAACAAAATATGTCTTTAGAAAAATACCAGCTACCGAGAGTATGTAAAGCTTTGCGAAATACGAAGCTTGCAACGTTTCTTTTAGTCTCTCCAGTAATTCTCCTGGTAACTTAAACACATCTGAAATAAATGTTTAAAATACTGACTGGGCACGGGGGCTCATGCCTATAATCCCAGCACTTTGGGAGGCCGACGCGGCTGGATCACCAGTGGTCAGGAGTTTGAGACCAGCCTGGCCAACATGGTGAAACCCCGTCTCTACTAAAAATACAAAAATTAGCTGGGCGTAGTGGCGGGCACCTGTAATTCCAGCTACTCGGGAGGCTGAGGCAGGAGAATCATTTGAACCCAGGAGGTGGAGGTTGCAGTGAGCTGAGATCGTGCCATTGCACTCCAGCCTGAGTGACAGAGCGAGACTCCGTCTCAAAAAGAAAAAATTTTTCAAAATATTGCAATGGGCTTGTAATTTCTGCTTAAATGTCAGGAGGTCTGAGCCATTTTAAAATAAATCTAGCACAATTTAAGATTTTTTCTTAACCAAAATTTTAAGAAACAGCTTTCTATATACTCACCTCAGCATATGCTTCCATGTCTTCTAGAAACTGACCAAGTAGAGGCGTAGAAAATGCAAGATCAGCTACCCAAAATGGCTCCAAACTCTGCAACCACCCTTGGAATCGCGTAAGAAATTGTGAAAGGGTAGGGGGGAGAAAAAACACCAAAAAATCCAAATTAAAAAATATAAGAGGCTTCTTTTAAAAAGTATCTGGTTTTCAAGCAGCATACCCTAAAACATGTCCTATATCATAAAATTAAGACTGCTAAACATGCTGATCACGATTAACCAATACCTCTTTAATTAATACCTCCTTAATTTCTGCAGAAATTAACAGGTAAATGTTATTTCCTTACTTTTTCAGTAAATTTCATATCTATATTGTCACTACACATGACTTAAGACTAAAATGCCACAATCTACCATTGGCCCGGCTAATCCCAGGGCCACATCTAACCATTAAAGGTGTATACTCATCTCCTCAGTGAAAATGAAACAGACCACTATCACCTGAATATCTTATTTTCAAAAGTTTATTACACCAAGTAAGTTACGAGAAACTATGACACTTGAAACAAGCTGAAATGTGCAAATGAGCCACGCTAGTCATTCACTTAACTCCAAAAAAGTGGGAAACAAAACCACTTCTCATTTATGACAATTCTCCAAATTAACCCTATATTTCCTTTTTTAAAAAAATAACCAGAAAAACAATAAAATGTGACAAATAACTTGGATCTTCCATTGTCCACTTCAGGGTATTGCCACTGCAATATATTCTTACCATATACTTTCCTACCAGTACAAACTACAAATAACTTGGGTAAGTCCTGTCTGTACTTACTCTACCCACCTACTAGTAATTTCCTCTGAAAATATATATTTAGCTAACAAGTCATGTTCATTTACAATAAAACATTTCTCTGAATTAGTTTTCTTGCATTATTAAAGAAATGGTATTGATAGATGGTCACTGGGGGACCACTGCTCCTCCCCGACAGTATTTAAATAACTGGTATAGGCTGCAAGACTTACCAGATACCTGCTGCGTGAGCGAAGGTTTCTGAGTATGATCTCTATGCCATCCAACTAATATACCAACTGTATCCTTGATGGAAACAAAGAGAGAGGGGGCCAATCATTTTAAGATATTACTGCAATCCACCTGTGGACCATTTCACAGCAAAAGATCCTAAAAGGAGCATCTATGTTCTACCTACTTGACATTCTAGAAACTTAGAAAGGGGAGAGGGGCAGGAAAATAAAAGAACTACATTTCTGACAGCAATGAAATAGTTTATTTTCTTCAAATATTTTAAGGTACGAACGTCAGAAAGAAAAATGCGGCATTTAACCCTGGAACCTCAAATATCACTGATTATATTCAAAGGAGCAGAGGCACTGTTTTCCATCTGATTCCTCAGTTCCTCACACACACAACCATCCCCCTCACCCCATGATCTGAACAGCGGAATGAGGAACTCACCCTAAAATTAGTGCTGAAAATATGAGGGTAACATCGAGCCACCAAAAGAATGCACTTAACACATTTGCAAAGCAATTCTGGTGTATCCACATTTTCAAGAATTGACTGCAGGCTGGTCATTACAAGCTTAAAAATAAAAGTTACAAACCGTGAACATTCAACAAAATAGGGAGAAAACAAGCAAATTAGGTTCATTATTTATGAAGTGCCTACATAAAAACCTGAGTATGAGACCAAGAAAAATAGATTCTGTAGTTTTAGTTAAAAAAAAAAAAGAATTGACTTGTAAATCCCAACTGCTTGGGAGGCTGAGACACAAGAATTGCTTGAACCCAGGAGGCAGAGGTTGCAGTGAGCTGAGATTGCACCGCTGCACTCCAGCCTGGGAAATACAGCCAGACTCCATCTCAAAAAAAAAAAAAAAAATTAATAAATAAATAAAATAAATAAACTGAAAATATTTCGCTCCACTAAGCTGTTAAGCTAAAAACAGATACTGTTTTCTCTTCTTCAATGTTTGTTAATATTAGTCCTTTGACATCAGTTAACATTAGTCCTTAATAACATCTGTTTACAATATCCCTAAATGCTCTCTTTAAGATTCTACCTGTGATTAAATTTCAAATACAAAAAAGTAAAATGGATTTGGGAAACTTTTCTATAAAGTACAACAATTACTTTGCAATCCAAAATATAAAGCAAATTTTATATAATTTATGCTTTAGTATATTAGTACTTGCTTCATATTAAAATTAAGGAAGATCAGTATGGCACCACACATGAATAACATGCAGGCTCAGGTTACCATTATACATAAATTTTTAAAATAAATATATGGCAAAAATAAAATAATAAATAACTATTTGTCATTCCATTGAAAGAATATTTATTTTGCAGCTGTTAAAAAACATTTTTCCCTAAAAAAGGAAAAGCTGTGCTTTACATAGCAATCTTATCAAAGAAATGCTAGAATCAGAAAACCATCATTTTAGGCTGGGTGCAGTGGCTCACACCTGTAACCCCAGCACTTTGGGAGGACGAGGCAGGTGGATCACCTGAGGTCAGGAGTTCAAGACCAGCCTGGCCAGCATGATGAAACTCCGTCTCTACTAAAAATATAAAAATTAGCAGAGCACAGTGGCACATGCCTGTAATCCCAGCTACTCAGGAGGCTGAAGCAAGAGAACTGCTTGAACCTGGGAGGCGGAGGTTGCAGTGAGCCGAGATCGTGCCACTGCCCTCCAGCTTGGACAACAGAGCAAGATTACGTCTCAAAAAAAAAAAAAGAGAAAAAGAAAACCATTATTTTGCAATAGCCAATGTTATAATCTACACAGGCACAGACTATCAATGCTAAAAATCATTTAAAAGACATCTTGGGGTAATTACAGAAATTTGAATATAGAACACATATGTAATAAAATTCATTTTCTTAGGTATGATTACAATATTCTTGTTATACAGAAGAAAAACCTTATTCTTGGGAGATGCATACTAAAACATTATGGGGTGAACTGTCATCATGTGTATGGTTTTCAGATGCTCAACAAAAGTGTGTGAGAAAATAAAACTGTGGCAAAATATTAGTAACTGGTAAATCTAGGTGAAGCATATATTATGAAATTATTATCGTATTTACAGGTATTTATTTTACTGGTGCATCTATCTTTCTATGAATGTGAGAATTTTCACAAGAGCTGGGAAAATGTTCATAATTATGCATGCAGAATAAGCCCAAGCTGGTGGCATTCTGTTCAGTTACAGGTAATTTTCTGAATCTTCCCTCAAATTTTTCTCAAACCTCTATAATCAAGGGGAAAATGTTTCATTTTGTTTTGCTTTTTTGAGACAGGGTTGCCTATAATGGAGTGCAGTAGCTTGACCATAGCTCACTGTAGCTTCAACCTCCCAGGCACAAGCGATCCTCCTGCCTCAGCCTCCAAGTAGCTGCGATTACAGGTGCATGCCACCATGCCCAACTTATTTTTTTTCCTTTTTTTTTTTTTTTTGTTTGATAGAAACAGGGTTTCACCATGTTGCTCAGGCTGGTCTCAAACTCCTGGACTCAGGCAATTCACCAGCCTCAGCCTCCCACAGTGCTGGGGTTACAGGAGTGAGCCACCATGCCCAGTTAAAAATACATTTTTTATTAAAAAAAAAAAAAAGAATATTCCTTATATTTCCTTTATATTTTTTAAACTACATACCCAAAATAAAGCATATCAAAAACTGTAAAAAAAAAAAAAAAAAAAAAAAAAACCCTAATATCAGATATTCCAAACACAACAATACCATAATTTAATCACTTAAAATCTTACTCAAAACTAAATCAATGATCTTTTAGGCCAGGTGTGGTGACTCATGACACTAATCACAGTACTTTGGGAGGCCGAGGCAGGAGGATCACTTGAGGTCAGGAGTTGAAGACCAGCATGGCCAACACAATGAAACCCCATCTCTACTAAAAATATAAAAATTAGCCAGGCTAATGGCACACTCCTGCAATACCAGCTACTCGGGAGGCTGAGGCAGGAGAATCACTTGAACCTGGGAGGCAGAGGTTGCAGTGAGCCGAGATTATGCCACTGCACTCCACGCTGGACAACAGAGCAAGACTCTGCATAAAAAAAAAAAAAAAAGAATGATATTTTAATATATTCAGATACACAAATATGAAATACAACTAAGTAGAGCCGGTATTCATTTACACATAATTATCTTATACCATTTGGAATAAGAATTTGGGGCACGTTAGCAAACCAAAAGGCTCAGAAAGAAGTTGTGATATTTAGTTCTTGTCTCCCTCTACAAATGTGAAGCACTCTTCTATCCGGCATTACTAGTGGAGTTCCTATTTTCAACTTTGCAAATTCTGGTCCTAAGCAATCTCAAAAAAAACATTTCTAAAAACCAAAGGGGAAAAAAATCTTTTTTTTTTTTTTTTTTTTTTTGAGACAGAGTCTGGCTCTGTCTCCCAGGCAATGGTGCGATCTTGGCTCACTGCAACCTCGGCCTCCCGGGTTCAAGCCATTCTCCTGCCTCAGCCTCCTGAGTAGCTGGGACTACAGGCGCGTGCCACCACGCCCGGCTAATTTTTGTATTGTTAGTAGAGACGGGGTTTCACCATGTTGGCCAGGATGGTTTCGATCTCTTGACCTCATGATCCGCCTGCCTCAGCCTCCCAAAGTGCTGGGATTACAGGCGTGAGCCACCACGCCTGGCGTGTAAGCCAATTTTTTAGAAGAAATCTCTCCCTCTCTCTCCACATATATGCATATATGTATGTAGCACTGATCCTTGAACAGTGTATCCTTTACTCAAACTGAGAAAGAGGAATTTTTAAAACATATTTCCTATCAGTAGATAACCCCTATTCTATGATTCCCTTCTTCAAGCTCCCCTCCAAGGACATGTGTTAAAGGGACAATTTTCTTCCCAAGTATATCATGCATTTTTTCCCCCTTCATTCTTACCTGCATTACAGATGAAAAGGCTTTCTTTTCTCCTACAGTCTCTAGTGCTTTGTAGGTGGCACATAAGTAGAGGAGTTTAACTTCATCTTTTGCAGATGAGCTAAATTTGCTAAAAATCCACTTGAAGATCTTCTCAGCCTCATAGCTCAGAGAAGCACAAAGAAGGCCGAGACAGCAAGCTCCCTCCTGTCTCAACTCCTGAAGCAATTTGCTACTGTGTTTATTTTAATGCAAACAAAAAACACACACAAAAGGCTTAAGTTTTCTATGATGACACGAGTAATACATCTTACAAAAGAATGTCTTAAGTGGTTTTTTAAATTTCTATTCAAACTACATAAAAGGTTGAAATTTTCTCCACTCTAAATACTACATTCTGTCTAGCCTGCATTGCCCTCAAGTATCTGTCTGACATCACTTTCTTTTTACAAAATCAATTATTTACAAACAGTGAGGGAAGGCCCAAAAATGCTAAATTCCATCTCAAACTGTATTAAATAACTCTCAGAAAAGGGCAGCAACAAATAAGTAGATAAAACACTCTATACATAACTACATTCTACATAATATCCAATATGTAATGACTATAAAATAAAAAATGGTAATAGTTAAATACAGAAACTTAAAAGGATAACAGTAATGATTTACATAGAACTTTAATAAGTAACTCTATAAAACAAAACCATCAAAAGGCACTAAGGTTTATGACCAGCTGAGATAAATTTTGGGTACTTGCCAACACTGCAAATCTTTGGGAATCACCATAACAAAAAATGACCACACACCTCTGGAGACTCTAATAGCCAGAGAATATATGGTTTGGATCCACTCTTACCCAAAGAAGGAAATTCCTTTTTACCTCTATTCTCTAAGCAGTTTCAAATTCTCTTGTTTACAAAAACTAATTTTATTCTTCATGCCTGCATCAAGAGTTTATGCCATTCCATAAGTCAAGACTCAGTTATCCAGTGAGACTAGCAAATTAAAAAAATAAAATATTCCAGCCAGGCACGGTGGCTCATGCCTGTAATCCCAACACTTTGGAAGGCTAAGGTGGGTGGATCACCTGAGGTCAGGAGTTCCAGACCAGCCTGGCCAACATGGTGAAACCCTGTCTCTACTAAAAATACAAAAATTAGCTGGCAGTTGTGGTGCACGCCTGTAGTCCCAGCTACTCGGGAGGCTGAGGCAGGAGAATCACTTGAACCCGGGAGGTGGAGGTTGCAGTGAGCTGAGATCGCACCACTGCACTCCAGCCTGGGTGACAGGGTGAGACTCCGGCTCAAAAAATAAATATTCTTTTCAAGTGGATTCCATTTGTATTCAACCGTAATTAACACATAATTAATGCAGATAAAAATGACAAGACCCACTGAAATGTCAATAAATGTTCATAAACAAAGCCAGTGGGTTTGTCTTCTTGTGTATTGTTAAGTAATTTCTAAAAATATATTTTAAAGTCATTTAAACCGAACCATTATTAGTTACTTACCTTTCATTAAGCACATCATGTACAGCAGCCAAGATATCCAATTGTTTAACTAGTACCTTTAAAAGAAAACACATTTATAAAAACTTCAAATTCCTATACTTTTAAGAATAGCATTGTGTACTTTTTTATTTGTCTTCCCTCCAAATTCTAATTCAACAGTACTTTACTTTCTTTATTATTCCCACTCCCCAATGAGCATGTATCAGGAATGTCATGTTTCCTTTCAGCCTATGAAAGAAATTCACCCACTGGAAACATAGAGCTGTGACCATCAACAAAAAAATAAACTCAAAAAGCTTGTTTCATTTACTTTGAAATCCATTTGAAAAATTGACTGACGGATGGAGGGATAGATGGAGAGATATGTGACAAGGCAGTATTTAGGGTAAAATGTTAACGACAAAAATTAGATGATGGGTTTAACAGATTCAATGTCAAATTCTTTCAACTTGCTATATATTTGAAACTACTCATAATAAAATTTGGAAGGAGGAGAAACTTGCTTTGATCCAAGTGTCATCTGCCTCACTAGACCATTTTCATTAATTTTCTCCTGCTCATTGTCAAGTTCTTTTTTTTTTTTTAAGATGGAGTTTCACTCTTTTCGCCCAGGCTGGAGTGCAATGGCGTGATCTCAGCTCACTGCAACCTCCGTCTCCTGGGTTCAAGCGATTCTCCTGCCACAGCCTCCCATGTAGCTGGAATTACGGTCATGTGCCACCACACCCAGCTAATTTTGTATTTTTAGTAGAGATGGGGGCTTCACTATGTTGGGCAGGCTGGTATCGAACTCCTGAACTCAGGTGATCCACCCACCTTGGCCTCCCAAAATGCTGGGATTACATGCATGAGCCACCACACCTGGCCCATATCAAGTTCTTAATTGGTGTAAAGAAAGTGAAGAAAAAAATTTAACCCTTCCTATACTTTGTTACATTTCTGTTGTTGTTTTAAGAGACAAGGACTCCCTCTGTCGCCCAGGTTGACATGCAGAGGTGTGATCATATCTCACTGCAACCCTGAATTCCTGGGCTCAAGTGATTCTTCCACCTCAGCCAGGTGTAGTGGCACATGCCTGAAGTCCCAGCTACTCAGGAGGCCACAGCGGGAGGATAGCTTGAATCCAGGAGTTTGAGACTGCAGTGAGCTATGACTGTGCCACTGCACTCCAGCCTGGGCGACAGAGCAAGATCTTGTCTTTAAGAAGAAAAAGAAATTACATATTAGAGAGCATTAAGTTCTTGATCATCATAATACAGACTTTCCCCATTCTTAAACTACTCAAGGTAGCATTACCTAGTTTATTATGGAAACACAAAAATCCTCATATTTCCAAACATACTATACTTACCAGCTTATTTTCTGGTTGCTGAATAAATTCTTTCAACTGCTTTACAGTAGCCAATCTTCGGTCTCGGTCGTTTTCCCGGGTGATCCTCCGAAGAAGATATGACAGTCGAGACTCATCACAATAAGACATCGATCTCTCTGTGAATATATAAACATTTTGTTGTCCACTGAGTATAAATAAGCAAAGGAAATTTTAAATTTTAAAATAATTTTAAAATTTTTAAAATTAAAAATTATTTAAATAATAATTAAATTATTATGGGGGCTCATGCCTGTAATCCCAGTACTTTGGAAGGTGGGTAGATCACATGAGTTCAGGAGTTTGAGACCAGCCTGGGCAACATGGTGAAACCCTGTCTCCACAGACACACAAAAAATTACATAAACTAGCCAGCCAAGGTGGTGTGCACCTGTAGTCCCAGCTACTCGGGAGGCTGAGGCAGGAGAATCACTGGAGCCCGTGAGGCGGAGGTTGCAGTGAGCCAAGATCACCCCATTGCACTCCAGCCTGGGTGACAGAGCAAGACCCTCTCTCAAAAATAAAATTACATCAAAAGTCACAGTCCACTGGTCAATAAAAGCTCAGGGAATATAGGTCCTATCGCTCTTTTGTTCAACTCTGTATTCCAAATCCCAGCAGAGTGCCTGGCACATAACAGACCCTCAAAAAAATATTTGCTGAAGGAAACAAGAAATGAATAACCCTAGGCCAACTGAACACCTCATTCCAGAGGACTGGCTGGGAGAGAAAAAAGAAAGGCCTTAGTAACAACTTTCTTTGGGTCCATTCCAAACTGTTTTCAACATGCAGGTAAAGAGCCCGGGTGTAGGTAAATTAAACAACTTCCAAGGGGTATGGATAAAGTCTCAATCGAGTAAAAACAGGATATAGGCTTCTACTTATCATCTAGGTATCCCACTGGAGGAAAGCCTCTTATTCACATTATCATCATTTCCCTGGGATGAAGTTTTGGGGAGCCATAATCACACATTTAGTTCAACAAATGTCTAATTATCATCTACCACATGCAAGGCATGCCTCCACTAGAAAGGTAGCAAACCACAACTTTTCTCCCTTTATTTTTTAATCACAAGAACAAGCAAACAATAGTGAATACTATTAGTATATTAACGATGCCTTTAAAAACTAGATTTTTGCTGGGCGAGGTGGCTCTTGCCTGTAATTACCCAGCACTTTGGAAGGCCAAGGCAGGCAGATCACTTGAGCACAGGAGTTCGAGACCAGCCTTGGCAACATGGTACAACCCCATCTCTACGAAAAATACAAAAATTAGCTGGGCACAGTGGCACATGCCTGTAATCCCAGCTACTCAGGAGGCTGAGGTGGGAGGATCGCTTTAGCCTGGGAAGCAAAGGTTGCAGTGAAATCACACTAGCGCATTCCAGCCTGGGTGACAGAGCGAGACTGTCTCAAAAAACAAAACAAAACAAAAAACTCAATTTTTGCAAAACATTTTCAACTGTGCTATTTACCATAATTAGCCAATACATACGTAAACAACAAATCACAAAGGGTCTGACAGTTTCATTTCTAAGGTATGAGAAAAAATTGATAATAAAAGAAACCAGAAGGCTGGGCATGGTGGCTCACACCTGTAATCCCAGCACTTTGGGAGGCCGAGGAGGGCAGATCACGGGGTCAGGAGTTGGAGACCTGCCTGGCCAACATGGTGGAACCTCGTCTCTACTAAAGATACAAAAAATTAGCCGGGCGTGGTGGCACGCTCCTGTAATCCCAGCTACTCGGGAGGCTGAGGCAGGAGAATCACTTTAATCTGGGAGGTGGAGGCTGCAGTGACCTGAGATCGCGCCATTGCACTCCAGCCTGGGTGACAGGGAGATACTCCATCTCATAAATAAATAAATAACTACAAGGGGGAACAACACACACTGGATCCTTTTGGAGGGTGGGGGGTGGGAGGAAGGAGAGGATCAAGAGAAACAACCAATGGGTACCAGGCTTAATACCTGGGTGATAAAATAATCTATACTACAAACCCTCATGACACAAGTTTACCACTGTAACAAATCTGCACTTGTATCCTGAATTTAAGTTAAAAAAAAAAAAAAAAAAAAAAAAGAAACTACAATGACTGAGAGAAGAATAGGATTTTTACAAATCCGTAGCCCATAGAGTATTTCAATAAGGACAGATACCAAATATGTCATCAAGTTACCAGCTGGGAAATTAGGCTCTACTTACAATTCTGTCACTAGCAAACTACATGACCCTGAGCCTTTGAAGAAGAGGAATTCTCTACTGAACTACTTTAGAATCGCTGTTTAGCTTCTATAATATCATAAGTCTAAGGCTTCAAACACTCTATTTTAACAAACAGCATACATAGCCTTTGAATTCATTCCACTTGTGAAAACATAAAAAGAAATCAGTTTTTTAAAAGTTATATACCAACAATAAAAGCTACAGGCACAAAGATTTTCACCAAGATACACGAAGCACACACACAGTATAAAAAATAAAAAAAAAAAGTCAAAAACTAAACGTCCAAAAAGTAATTACATCTGACAAAGCCCATAACTCAGCTTTACCGATAAGTTTCTCTTTAAGGAAAAAAATTATCATTACCTCTAATCCTCTGAACTTTCTTTTTTGTTGTTGTTTTTTTGAGACGGAGTCTCGCTCTGTCGCCCAGGCTGGAGTGCAGTGGCGCACTCAGCTCACTGCAAGCTCTGCCTCCCGGGTTCACACCATTCTCCTGCCTCAGCCTCCCGAGTAGCTGGGACTACAGGCGCCCGCCACCGCGCCCAGCTAATTTTTTGTATTTTCAGTAGAGACAGGGTTTCACCGTGTTAGCCAGGATGGTCTCGATCTCCTGACCTCGTGATCTGCCCGTCTCGGCCTCCCAAAGTGCTGGGATTACAGGCGTGAGCCGCTGCACCCGGCCAATCCTCTGAACTTCCAAGGCACTCACCTATACAGTGAGGCTATGTCATAAGGCAGAAATGCTATCAGTGTATTTAACTTTAGAAAAGTGCCCACTCAAGGCAGGGCCCGGTGGCTCACGCCTGTAATGAGCACGTGTGATCACTTGAGGTCAGGAGTTCGAGACCAGCCTGGCCAACATGGTGAAACCCTGTCTCCACTAAAAATGCAAAAATCAGCTGGGTATGGTGGTATGCACCTGTAATCCCAGCTACTTGGGAGGCTGAGGCATGAGAATCACTTGAACCTGGGAGGCGGAGGTTGCAGTGAGCAGAGATTGCAGCACTGCGCTCCAGCCTGGGTGACAGAGCAAGACTCTGTCTCAAAAAAATATATTGAAAACAACAACAACAAAAAAACCAGAAAAGTACCCACTCTAGGGGGCGGGGGGAAGGAGAGCATCAGCAAGAATAGCTTAATGGATGCTGGGTTTAATACCTAGATGATGAGATGATCTGTGCAGCAAACTACCATGGCACACGTTTACCTACATAACAAACCTGTACATCCTGCACATGTACCCTGAACTTAAAAGAGAGAAAAAAAAAAAAAAAAGACAGAAAAGTACCCCCTCTCTACATATATCTATATCCTCCACAGGCCCAAGAGTTCAAGGACTTGCTGTAGTAGGAGCCTACTATGCACTATACATTCAATATCCACGATAATTGGGTAAACCTTTTCTGTAAGATCTTATCCAGTCTTCTAATCTTGTTTTAAGAGAATTCTCTTTTAAAATGTACTATAGCCTTTCTAGTGGGAAATTAACAATTCACAGGAAAAGAATGTAAACAATTTTTACCTGCACAGTAGACTAATCAACTTATGCCTTTGCAAGGCATTAGTAAGAGGCATCCAGAATAAGAGGAGATACAAGTCTTTGGAAGGTGTATGTGATTGGTCCCCGTTTTCCCAGCCTTACCCTGTGATTTCCTCATGTCTTTGGTGGCTAAAGCACAACTGCCATGCTGAACACTGGTGAACTCAGGGCTGGTCACATTGTTAACCCTCAGCTCTTGCCCCAATGACTTCCGACCATAAGTATTTTCCCCAGATCCCCCATTGACACCGTAGCCACCTACAAACAGCCATGTGTACGTCATTTAAATATGATTGTTCGTTTCATTCAGTCAATTTCCTGATAGCTCAGGATCTTATGACTCAATCTGCAGCTCAACCAGCCTTTGCTTCTCCTACCTTTTTCCTGTACTGTCTGCCTTGAAAATCATTTTCATTTCTTTTAATACACCTTTGAAGTTAAATTAATTTTATTTTGATCCCTTCATTGGAAAATAAGCAAAGAAATGAAAACTAAATTAAATCAAATTTTGCACCTTGTTTTAAAACTTTCTTGAAGTTTAGAGACAGTAGCCAAGAGGAACTTCAACCTTAGCTAAATATTTTTGAAAATAAAAACAAAAATAGTATTGTATCTTTTTTGTAAGAAAACTGCATTGATGAATTATGTATGGAAAAATTTTAAATTTTAAAAATAATAAAGTGGATAAACGTCCTATGAAGTTTTCAGAAATAACACTGCATTTGTTATTCATATTTTAAATATATTAGAAGAAAGTGAGAAAGTTGGGGGTGTAAGAAGGCAGGAAGGTGGGATAGGTAGGTTCAAAAAACATGCTTGTAGCAATAAGAAAATATATATACCCTTTTCGTCATTCTGTATGTCAGCGTGGACTCTGGTATCATCGTGCCTTTGCCGAGACACCACAGCTGAATTTGAAGGTTGCAGTCCGTAAGAGGAAGAACCACCTCTATCTCTGGATGAAGAATATTTTAAATTACCTGGGTCGGCTGATGCACTATCAGTTCTATAAAAAGAGAAAAGTTTAAGATTAGAACTTTAAATAACATAAATAAATCTTTCTTTAAACAAGCCTCTCTTCTCCCAAATTTTACATTTAACCATTACTATTGTATTTAGTGTAATATGCACTATATATTATATGTAAGCACTCAGCCGTCTAATAAGAAGTCTTTCACTGGGAAGAGAGTCTCAATGGATGAAATGCCAACTTTTCACTCTCTTCTACTGTTCTAAAGACCCATTCAGAAATATGAATAACTACTGGGATTAGGGTGACTTTGCTGGTTTTAGCATTGAAAGTCTCCTGTTCCAGGCAAAACAGGACAATTGGTTACTCTGGTCCAGTGTTCTCCTCACATGACTTGATAATAAGAATAATTCTTTCTAATTCTCCCCCATGGAGACGGTTAATCAGTCAAAACATTTCAGCCTTTCCTGTCATAAAAATAAAAAACACTGGCAGCATGTCAGGGACGGGCAATGTCTTACCAAGTTATTTTCTAAGTACTGATTAGGTACTGTAGTATTGAAGACCCCATTGAAGATGCCTTAATTGTAAAGAGTAGCAATCAAAATTTTAAAAAGTAAAAAAGAAGACATTTTAAGAAAATAAAAGGTATCAGAAATGCAATAAAGTTATATCAGAAAGTTGTAGTTCGTAATCTATTTAAAATTCAGGTACTGTTTAGAATAATACCTGATGCTTATTAGTAAACAAGTAGGGTACAGCCAAGGGTAAAAGTGTGTCCTCATCTAAGTATCTGCTCTATGCTTCAACTGCCTCATAAGTAAAACAGAGCTGAGTTACAAGACTTCTCATGAGTGTTACTCTTTCAGCCATCAATCATAAACTATCAAGAAAGAAGACAACAAAATAATCTGTTATAGCATATGAAAAATCCAAGTAAGTTCTTCCCCTACTGATTTTCTCCTGAGAGGAACAATTTTGAGGAAAAAAAAAAGAAAAAGAAAAAGAAAATCACTTCTATGATATTTACTAAAAATGCTTTCTCAACCTTTTAGAACCTGAATCTTTTAGAAAAGTTTAGGACACTGGCAAGGCCAGAAACTAACCTATTCCTCTACGCTTTGCCCCTCCCTCTATGGTGTAAAAGTGACAGCAGTGTTTGTATACTGTATATATTTCGTTTAGAGTTTATTAGTCTTTCCTTGCTCCCAAAAATACTAAACATAAAACTTTGCATGAGCTCAATCAGTTGGACACCTTGATCTGCACTTACTGCAATCACTGTTAATACAGAATGCAGACAATAGGTCCAATTAAACTTGGATATCTAACTGGTACAAGTCATTACTTATAAAGGATCTCAATCTGAAACTTCATGAAATTCAAAACCTAGCATACTAAAATGACTAAGGCTCCATAAGGAGTATCTTCTAATATTCAGAGTTCACTTATTCATAAAGCTAAGTACTTCGAACATAAGGGAAAATAAAATCTATGGAATTTCAAGAAAAATGTATGAGAATATTTTCTGAGTATACTAAGTCTATAAGCATTAAAATATTAACTCAATGGACCATAACTTTTTTAAACTAATGAAAAGACATTCCTTATGTACCTAAAAATAGCACATTTAACATGCGTCTATATAAATCATAGCATACCATTACTTTCTGAAAGGAGACTGAAACGTAAGAGAGCTTATAATCTTTTCTGACAGGGTTTGAACTTTATATGTATGCCACAGTAAGCTCTTATTAGATGAGCGAATAAAATAAGCACTTGACTAATTCAGAAACACAAAGATAACTGAAGTCTGCCAATATTTAAACGTATCTTCACTTCCTGTTTTCATCATGTTTACTTATCTCCTACACTACCTTTACTATTAAGAGTTAAATGTTTGTATCATTTTCTGGTGACACAGTAGTACCATAAGGCAGCAGAGAATACAAGTTAAAAAAAGATCTGGGCTCAAATCCCAGCTCCAGCACTGAAAAGTATGTGTGCTTTTGCACAAATTACTTGATCTCCAAGCCTTGGTTGTCTCTTGCATAAAATGAGGATGATACCTATCTAACATGTAAGGTTGTTGTGAGGCTAAAATAAGATAATGAATTATAAAGAAACACTTAGTTTGCAGGGTATGTTAAAAGTTGTTATGACCATAATACAAAATAAACTCAAAGTTTCCAGTCTAAAAGACAATGTACAAACAGTTCATGAGTATATGAATATAATCAAAACAAGTTTTTACAGTCAATATAGAGCAACTTAAATACTTCACTGAAGAAAGCAGGTAATCTGTTGCTACCAACAATGTGTTTCCAACTAGGAAGCATCTGATTTCAAACTAAACTGTAAAACCAGGAGCAGCTTCCCCGTTGGTTAGAAATAAGGTTTCTAAATCCCCTAAGTTATGAACACTGAGATTTTTTTCCCAAAAAAAATCTGTGTTTTCAGAAATATAACAAAAAAAACTGGAATAGAGCCACCGTCTCAGAAATACCTCAAAACTCCCTAGTTGCCAAATTATTTTAATACAAATTGATCAAAGCATCCCCAACCAGAACTCAGGTTGTAAGCATTCTGAACCTAAAAGCACAAAATGGTTTAGCATTTATAAGAAATTTCTATTTTTATACAATCTTGACTGCTTAGGTTTCAAAAAATGTCAATGTCAGGCTGTTAGCACCAACAAGATCATCCCAGTCCAATAAATAGAGAACTGTTGAAGAACGGAAATGAGCACTTAAAATGAGGCAATCAAAGCCACAAAATAGAAACTGCAGATTTGAACTCCAAGAAGCAGGCATGAATGTTAGGCTAGTTAGTTAGAAGAGCTGAAAGGGATATCATCTGCCAGAATTAGTGTCTCAATTTAGTGAAAAAAGAAAATCTATCTGTTAAGTCTAAGAATCCTAGCAAGGAACCAAAAATACCTCTACAGCCCCTTTAATATTCTAAAAATATCATGGAGAGAAAAAAAAAGAAATGCATAAATTTCCCCAAAACGATCAAACTGAAGTTAAAGCCTGATGTACATGCCACATGAGAGGTAAGTTTCTAAAGCTCATACCTCAAAAATCGCCTTTGTGATGTTGTGCATCAAGTCAATCTGTAAGACAGTAGTTACAATATTAGTGAAGACAGTGGGTTAAAACATTTGTTGTTCAAACATGGAGCAAATATCATTCATGAGTTAGGTGCCTTTAGTTGAACTATGGTCCCATTAGGGTTCATACATTAAAGCAAAAATTGAGGTGGAAAGACACTCTGTGCCTTACAGGATAAAGAGGCTTAATGTGGCAACCAAAAAAATTTTAGTACATAAGAGAATTTAAATGTTAACTATCACATACAAATCACATGCAAATACAGTTACCACTTATTTTAGTTACCTATTCTCAATATACAGAAAAATGCCACAAATCTAGGAGGCCATTCGTTTCAAATGACCGGAATCCTTAGACCTCACACCAACAAGCCACCATGTGCTGGGGATGGTATCGCCTGACTAAATGTAGCCTTGCAGTCCATTCTTGTAAGTATTAGAGAGAAAAAGAGAGAGAGCGTCATCTCTGGAAAGTGTGAAGTCAGGGAATTCCCTACTAGGAAGCATTTCCATAAAGCACCCCAAAATGACTTGATGCAAACACCACACCTAGTGGTGTCACTGGAGTAAGCATCATATTACTTCAAATTGCTTTTACCTAGGTTTATTAAGGGATTTTGCTCTCATGGTGAGATCTAATTTGTAATGGATATAAACCAGGAAATGAGATTTGCACTAAAGCCAATGAAGTAGGAATGTACTTATTCTCTAAAGCAGCAAAGATAGTCTCACTGTCACAGAGCAGTTATAGGATATGTTGCTTTCCATACTAATGGTTAATACCACTTGGAAATGATTTACCCTTCAAAAATAAATTCAAGGTTTTCCCCTGTAATGCCTCTTGCCTGGATTCAAACATGCTTTAATGAGGAATAAGAGAAACGGTGAAACTATGAATAACCCTGGGCCTTGTATCATTACATTAGAAACACTGCTCTAAATATGAGTCTATGGCTAAAATATTAATTTGAGAGGCTCAGGGAATTTATTATACAAATCTCTTCTTGCAGAGAACTTTTAAGTTCAAATTTAATAAAACAAAACAGAACCATTCCATGTCAAAATTGTAAATGAGTATGCATCAGTTTTGCAATACTGAAATATTAAATTAATATAATTTATTGGTAAAACTACCTTAGCTACCTAAGTATTAAGTGTCTATAATAACCAAATCTTAATTATCCATTTATGGGTGATTTGTTTCCTTTTTTGAGACAGGGTCTCACTCTGTCACCCAGGCTGGAGTGCACTGGCATGACCATAGCTCACTGCAGCCTCGACCTCATGGGTGCAGCCTCGACCTCATGGGTTCAGCCTCTCAAACAGCTGGGACCACAGGTGCATGCCACTCCATTTAGCTAATTTTTTATTTTTATGTTTTTTGGAGACAGGTGTCTGATTATGTTGCTCAGGCTGCTCTCAAATTCCTGGACTCAAGCAATCCTCCCACCTCAGCCTCCCAAAATGCTAGGATTAGAAGCATGAGTGACCACATCTGGACTGTCACCAATTTTTAACTGTCTGTCAACTAAACAGCCAATATAGACTGATAAAATATATTTAACTATTGTAAAATTGTAAAGAATTGTATCTTCACCAAGGAGAGGTCTGGCTTTTACCTGTGAATTCTGGAAGGTAATCTCTAAACTCTTGAAATGTCATACCTAATAAGAGGGTCCTGGCCAGGAGCAGTGGCTCACACCTGTAATCCCAGCACTTTGGGAGGCCAAGGCGGGCAGATCGCTTGAGGTCAGGATTCTGAGACCAGCCTGGCCAGCATGGTGAAACCTGTCTCTACTAAAAATACAAAAATTAGCCAGGCATGGTGACGGGCACCTGTAATAATCCCAGCTACTCAGGAGGCTGAGGTTTCAGTGAGCTGAGATCATGCCACTGCACTCCAGCCTGGGCAACAGAGCAAGACTATCTCCAAAAAAAAAGGGGGGGGGGGCGGCGGTGGGGGAAAGTGTCCTTGTTCATCTGGGGGCTTTAGGCCACAGCACAGTCTAATAATGTGGCTTATGGTGGGGGCTTTGAGTCACATGGATCAGCTTGGCCTCCAGTGGGGCTGGAGACTAAGGTTAGCCACATGGGCATGCAACCATGGAACCCCAGTAAAAACGCTGGACATAAAAAATAGAGTGAGCTTCCCTGGTTGGCAATAATCCATGAGTATGGTCGCACACCAGTGCCACCAGGAAGGTGTCATTTTTCACAACTCTACAGGGACAGGACAATTAGAAACTCCAACATTTGGAACTTCCCCGAACTCTGCCCTATGCACCTCTACCCTTGGCTCGTTCTAATCTGAATCCCTAAACTGCAATAAACTCTAACCATGGGTATGAGAGCTTTCAATGAGTTCTAGTGAGTCCTCCTGGCAAATCATCCAACCTAAGAGTGGTCTTGGCCAGGCACAGTGACTCAAGCCTGTAATCCCAGCACTTCGGGAGGCCCAGGCAGGCGGATCACTTCAGCTCAGGAGTTTGAGACCAGCCTGGCAATATGGTGAAACTGTCTCTAAAAAATATAGAAAAACTAGCCAGGCGAGGTGGTGTGTGCCCACAGATCCAGCAACTCAGGTGGCTGAGGTAGGAGGACTGCCTGAACCTGGGAGGGAGGAGTTCAGGGCGCAGTGAGCCGTGATCATGCCACTGCACTCTCACCGGGGTGACAGAGAGAGGCCCTGTCTCAAAAAAAAAAAAGAGTGGTCTTGGGAACCCCCAAACTTGCAACTAGTATTAGAAGCAAGGGTCATCTTATGGACTGGACTCCCTCTTACTCTGCACTCATATTTAAAACCATTAAATATACTGTAGCTCAAAAAAAGTTGCTTGTTTGTTTTGAAAAAGGGTCTCACACTGTCGCCCAGGCTAGAGTGCAGTGGTGCAATCCGAGCTCAAGCAAACCTCCCACATCAGCCTCCCAAGTAGTTGAGACCACAGGCTTACTCCACCACGCCCAGCAACTTTTGTATTTTTTTGTCCCATTCTCTACAACATTCCCAAAATGTTGCCCAAGCTGGTCTCGCACTCCTGAGCTCAAGTGATCCACTCACCTCAGCCTCCCAAAGGGTTGGGATTACAGGCATAAGCCACTGCACCCGGCCATAAATTTTGTTTTTTAATAACATTTCCAGCAAACATGATAAAGATTTGACTTCAGTGTTGCTTATTTTCCTTCCAAGGAACCTCTAATATTCTCTACTTTCAGAACTCCAATCAAATTAGCCAGAAAGAGCAAACGAAGCCAATAAATCCAGGAGGGCAATAGATCTGATTTTAACCCTTGTTTCACATGCACAATTGTCTTCAGAGAAAAGCTGAAGAAAGTACCCCCTCACCTCCATGCCCCAATGCTCCTTTTCTCTGACTTCAAGTGGGCCTCTGATGCTGCCCACATTTCCCTCACCAGGTTTCTTTCCTTTCCAAAACATCTGTAAAACTTTCTGCACCTTCTTCCTTCTCCCACCACTACCAGTGGATGACCTTATAGATTTCTGCTCCATGAGAAACAGAAGCCATTTGACAGCACCCTCAGCAAGAGCTAACATTTTAGCTCCTAACAAGAGCTAGTGGGCAACTGATCCAAGCAGTTTACATATGTTTATCATGTCATTTCGTGTTCAACACAATCCTATTAGTTATAACTTGATAACTAAGGTTTCATAACTGGCCTATGGTTGCACAGCTTGTAAAAGGCAGAGTCAGAACTCAGACCCAGTACTGTCTAATGTTTGAGCTCTTCAACACTCCATCACTGCCTGTCATCTTCCTTCTAATATATCCACAAATTCACCTGCATCTGCACATACAGCTTTTCTTCCCATCATCTTCGCATAATGGAACAAATAAACCTCCTATCCATAGAAATCATCTGTCTATTCCCCCCATTTTCCAAGGTATGTCTTGTCTTTTTTTTTTTGCGATGTAGTCTCGCTCTGTCGCCCAGGCTGAAGTGCAGTGGCGTGATCTCGACTCGCTGCCTCCCGGATTCACGCCATTCTCCTGCCTCAGCCTCCCGAGTAGCTGGGACTACAGGCGCCCACCACCACGCCCGGCTAATTTTTTGTATTTTTAGTAGAGACGGGGTTTCACCATGTTAGCCAGGATGGTCTCGATCTCCTGACCTCGTGATCCGCCCACCTTGGCCTCCCCAAAGTGCTGGGATTACAGGCTTGAGCCACTGCACCCGGCCTGTTTCTTTTGTACGTTGCAAAATCTCCCATTTTACTACTGCTTATCACATCATCAACATATGAGCACTCTCAAAAGTCTTACTTTAAAAAAAACAAAAACAAAAACAAAAAATGGCCGGGCACGGTGGCTCATGCCTGTAATCCCAGCACTTTGGGAGGCGAAGGCAGGCAGATCATAAGGTCAGGAGATTGAGACCACCCTGGCCAACACGGTGAAACCCCGTCTCTACTAAAATAGAAAAAATAAAATTACCTGTGCGTGGTGGCACGCACCTGTAGTCCCAGCTACTTGGGAGGCTGAGGCAGGGGAATCATTTGAACCCGGGAGGCAGAGCTTGCAGTGAGCCAAGATCGTGCCACTACACTCCAGCCTGGTGACAGAGCGAGACTCCGTCTCAAAAAAAAAAACTAAAGGCCGGGTGCGGTGGCTCACGCTGGTAATCCCAGCACTTTGGGAGGCCAAGGTGGGTGGATCATGAGGTCAGGAGTTCAAGACCAGCCTGGCCAATGTAGTGAAACCCCGTCTCTACTAAATATACAAATATCAGCCAGGCGTGGTGGCGGGCGCCTGCAATCCCAGCTACTCAGGAGGCTGAGGCAGGAGAATCGCTCGAATCCGGGAGGCAGAGGTTGCAGTGAGCCGAGACTGCACCATTGCGCTTCAGCCTGGGCGGCAGAGAGACTCCATCTCAAAAATAATCATAATAATAATAAAATAAATTTAAAAATTAAGAAAATAAGGCCGGGCACGGTGGCTCACGCCTGTAATCCCAGCACTTTGGGAGGGCGAGGCAGGCAGATCATGAGGTCAGGAGTTTGAGACCAGCCTGGGCAACATAGTGAAACCCCGTCTCTACTAAAAATACAAAAAATTAGCCGGGTGTGGTGGTGGGCGCCTGTATTCCCAGCTAGTTGGGAGGCTGAGGCAGGAGAACTACTTGAACCCCGGAGGCGGAGGTTGCAGTGAGCCGAGGTCACGCCATTGCACTCCAGACCGGGCAACAGTGTGAGACTCTGACTCAAAAAAAACAAAAAACAAAAAAACCCTTTAACTGCCTTTCTCCCTCTATCAATCTAATAGCCTGGACTCTTCACAGACAAACCTGTTGAAAAATTTATCTTCCTTGCCTTCATTTACTTTTTAACCCACTTTAATCTGGGTTCCACCTGCAACACACCACTGAAGCTATTCCTACTAAGGTAGGAACTGCCACTCAAGGCCTTCTTGGCTCTAAAATCCCATGAGCCTTTTTCAGTTCACCCTACAATTTCTCAATACCACTCTAAAGTTTATGAGTTTTTTAGTTAACTTTAATCCAGTGACTCTTTCTACTTTATCCCAATCCAAGTATTCTCCTCCTTCTTCACTTCATTTTTTTTTTTTTTTTTTGAGACAGACTCTGACTTTGTTGCCCAGGCTGGAGTATAGTGGTGCAATACTGGCTCACTGCAACCTCCACCTCCAGGTTCAAGCGATTCTCCTGCCTCAGCCTCCCAAGTAGCTGAGATTACAGGCCCCTGCTACCACACCCGGCTAATTTTTGTATTTTTAGTAGAGACGGGGTTTCACCATGTTGGCCAGGCTGGTCTCGAACTCCTGACCTCAAGGGATCCACCCGCCTCGGCCTCCCAAAGTGTTGGAATTACAGGCGTGAGCCAACGTGCCCGGCCCCTTCTTCACTTCTTTAACCAGCTTAGATTTCATTGTGTATCATTTCAACAACACTCTTGCCTATACCCTTAACTCTTAAGATTCTCATCACACCCATCTGGCAAAACCCCAATCCTGGATAAACCCAACGATCCATCAATAAGCACCACACTCCCAGGTCCTCCAGTGTTTACTTCCCATTCTATACATGCACTATCCAGACATTCCCATTCTCTTCAAATTCCAAAATATCCTATCACCTCCCCTCCCCATACACACATTCTACTTCACCAACAAGAAAAAAGGTACCAGCTGGGCACAGTGGCTCACGCCTGTAATCCCCGCACTTTGGGAGGCCAAGGCGGGTGGATCACTTGATGTCAGGAGTTGGACACCAGCCTGGCCAAAATGGTGAAACCTCATCTCTACTAAAAATACAAAAATTAGCTGGGTGTGGTGGTGCGCACCTGTAATCTCAGCTACATGGGAGACTGAGGCAGGAGAATCGCTTGAACCCAGGAGGTGGAGGTTGCAGTGAGCCAAGACTGCACCACTGCACTCCAGAGCCTGGGCAATAATAAGAGCGAAACTCCGTCTCGGGGTGGGGTGAGGAAGATACCATAAAATACCTGTACCCGATTCTAGACCTTACTGAGGATTCCATCTACTTCCACCTTACTGTAACTTTTCAAATACTTTTCCCACTGAACTAAATCCCCCCCATAAACATGCAACACTTTCTAATGTATTCCATTGAAAAATACAAAAACATATAAAAAGGAAAAACTCCATCAATCCCACACGTCCCTCCATCAAACAATCTGCCTTTACTTGCTGCAGCCAAACTAAAGTTGTCTAGATTCCCCTCTCCCATTTCTTCACTTCTTCTAGCTCCTTAACACACACTGGTCCAATTTCTGCCCCATCACTCTTGGCAAAATCCATTATGACCTCCAGGCTGCTAAATCCAAGATACAGTTCAGGCCTCAATCTGCTCATCCTTTCAGCAGCTTTCACAGGGCTTCTGAGTAGGGTTGAGCAGTTTTGCCCTGCACACAGGTGCCCTGCAGAGGAATGAGGTGGGCTGAATGAAACTCCTTTTTTAAAAATTCTTGGCTGGCATAGTGGCTCACGCCTGTAATCCCAGCACTTTGGGAGGCTGAGGCGGACGGATCACTTGAGGTCAGGAGTTCAAGGTCAGCCTGGCCAATATGGCAAAACCCCATCTGTTAAAAATACAAAAATTAGCTGGCCGTGGTGGCGGGCACCTGTAATCCCAGCTACTCGGGAGGCTGAGGCAGGAGAATCACTTGAACCCAGGAGGCAGAGGTTTCAGTGAGCCGAGACTGCCCCACTGCACTCCAGCCTGGGCAACAAGAGAGAAACTCCATCTCAAAAAAAAAAATTGTTTATGCCAACTAATTGTACACCTAAATGCACCAAGTTCCTGACTTTCTCCTTGCATTTATTTATTTATTTATTTATTTATTTATTTATTAGGTCTCACTCTATGTTGCCCACGTTGTAGTGCAGTGTGTGATTACAGCTCACTGCAGCCTTGAACTCCTGGGCTCAAGAGATTCCTCTGGTCTTAGCCTCCCCAGTAGCTAGAACTACAGGTATGGAGTGGCTCTCTGCCTTTATTTCTAACCCAAGCTACCTTACAACCTTAAAAAGAGACGCTGCTTCGCCGGGCACAGTGGCTCTCACCTGTAATCCCAGCACTTTGGGAGGCCGAGGCGGGCGGATCACGAGGTCAGGAGATCGAGACCATCCTGGCTAACACGGTGAAACCCTATCTCTACTAAAAATACAAAAAATTAGCCAGGCGTGGTGGCGGGCACCTGCAATCCCAGCTACTCGGGAGGCTGAGGCAGGAGAATGGCGTGAACCCAGGAGGTGGAGCTGGCAGTGAGCCGAGATTGCACCACTGCACTCTAGCCTGGGCGACAGAGTGACACTCCATCCTAAAAAAAAAAAAAAAAATTTATTATATACATACACACACACACACACACACACACACACACACACATACACACACACACACACACATCTCCCCAGAAGCATCAATATTTACTGAATTAGAGTATTTCATTACCTGTTATAAAAAACAAACAAAAAAACCTTCCATTATACTAATTTATAAAGGAATCAAAACAAAATGGGTTGGCGGGTCCAGGCACGGTGTCTCACTTCTGTAATCCCAGCACTTTGAGAAGCCAAGGTGGGAACTCGAGGTCAGGAGTTCGAGACCAGCCTGGCCAACATGGCGAAACCCTGTCTCTAATACAAAAATTAGACGGGCCTGGTGACATGCGCCTGTAGTCCCAGCTACTCGGGAGGCAGAGGCACATGAATCACTTGAACCCAGGAGTGGAGGTTGTACTGAGCCAAGATCGTGCCACTGCACTCCACCCTGGGAGACAGAGTGAAACTATGTCTTTAAAAAAAAAGGCGGGGTGCAGTGGCACACACCTGTAATCCCAGCACTTTGGGAGGCCGAGGCAGGTGGATCACCTGAGGTCAGGAGTTCACGACCAGCCTAACATGGTGAAACCCCATCTCTACTAAATATAAAAAAATTAGCCGGGTGTGGTGGCACATGCCTGTAATCTGATCTACTTGGGAGGCTGAGACAGGAAAACAGCTTGTACCTGGGAGGCGGAGGATGCAGTGAGCCGAGATTGCACCATTGCGCTCCAGCCTGGACAACAAGAGCAAAACTCTGTCTCAAAAAAAAAAAAAAAAAAAAAAAAAAAAAAAAAGTTGGGGTGAGGGGAAGGTTCAACTTAAAGATACAATTACTAAGTGTTTCATAAGGAATGACTTATTTCATAATGGAGTAGGAGTTTGACACCAGCATGGGCAACATGGGGAGGCCCCATCTCTACAAAAAAGTAAAAATAAAAAATTAGCGTGCCAAGCATGGTGGGTCACACCTGTAATCCTGGCACTTTGGGAGGCCAAGGAGGAAGGATCACTTGAGCCTAGGTATTCAAGACCAGCCCAGGCAGCATGGCAAAACCCCGTCTCTACAGAAAACAAAAAAAAAATAAAGTAGCTGGGGGTGGTAACATGCACCTGTGGTCCCAGCTATTGGGAGGGTGAGGTAGGAGGACTTATTGAGCCTGGGAGGTGGAGGCTGCAGTGAGCTGAGATGGTTCCACTGCACTCCAACCTGGGCAATGGAGCGAGACTCTGTTTCAGAAAAAGAGAGAGGAAGCCAGGCGTGGTGGCTCACGCCTGTAATCCCAGCACTTTGGGAGGCCGAAGCGGGTGGATCACCTGAGGTCAGCAGTTCAAGACCAGCCTGGCCAACATGGTGAAATCCCATCTCCACTAAAAACACAAAAATTAGCCGGGCATAGTGGCATGCACCTGTATTCCCAGCTACTTGGGAGGCTGAGACAGGAGAATCACTTGAACCAGGAGGCGGAGGTTGCAAGTGAGCTGAGATTGTGCCACTATACTCCAGCCTGGGCGACAAAGTAAAGCTCTGTCTCAAAAAAAAAAGAGAGAGAGAGAGGAAAAATAAATTAGCCAGGTGTGGTGGTATGCACCTGTGGTCCCAGCTACTCAGGAGGCTAAGGCGGGAGGATTCCCAGAGCCCAGGAAGTCAAGGCTGCAGTGAGCAGTGATTGCACCACTGCACTCCAGCCTGGGCAACAGAGCAAGAGCATATCTCAAAAAAGAGGAAAGAAAAGAAAAGAAAAACATAAAAACAAATGTTCCTTTAGTTTTAATTTTTATTTTTTAGTTTATTATGGCTGTTTTACTCTCCCCCAAGTAAAACAGCCATACACAATTTGCTGAAATTTTCCTTAGTGTACTTTGAAATCTGTGGAACAGAACTGGCAATCGCTAAATTCTATTTGACTCTAGTTCCATTTAATATTAGACTGGTGTGGAAGTAACTGCGGTTTTTGCCAAAACCGCAATTACTTTTGCACCTACCTAATAGGTATAAAATATGTAACTTCACTTAATTTTATCCTTTATGTATCTCCCTATATTATGTACCTATGGACATCAAACTTAGTACAGACTGATAAAAGGCTGAATAGACAACTCTGGTTTCAAAAATCCAGCTTCTCACAACATCAGACATACTAGTATACAGCTTTTCTAATTTCACAACACATTTCCATTTTTTGGTCTTTCACAATAGAGAAGATGTGTGTACTTTTGAATACTCTGATCTGTCTACAATCTACCAAAATTGGAAGGTGTTTTTATTATACAGTTTCATCCTTTTAGAAATATAGAAAGATCCTAAGTTTGGGCACAGTAAGACACTCAATATAGATCTACTACTAAACAAGTAAGACCAATTACACAATTAATGTCCTAATACCCCGAGTGGAGAAGTAAAATCTACTTGTTTTCTGTTGACTTGAACGCCTTCTCTTCTTTGTTGAATTAATCAATCTATTTGACTCCAATGTCAAATTAATCAATGTCACTTTAGAATATTAAAATGTACAATTATGAATTACACATTTAATTTTAAAACACATCATTCTGATCTCTGTCTTGATTGATACTAGAAGATTATCTTCCAAACTAAGGTGGAAAAAATGACAGACTTTAGCTATTGGCAATGATAGGTCATTTTTTTAGGGAAGAGGAGTAAAGAGGGCCACCTCCATAGGTCAGATATCCCTTTGTTCTAAGAAGCCACCACCCCTGTTTCTTCATATGAAAAAAACCAGAGGCATCCAGTGGTTCCCAAAACCTTCTCAACTTTACGCTTGAGGAACCCACAGATTTCAAATAATACAACTGACCTAAGACACTCATTTGTTTAACCATTCTTTTTTTAACTTTTTATTTTTTTTGAGAAGGAGTCTTGCTCTGCTGCCCAGGCTGGAGTGCAGTGGTGTGATGTCGCTCACTACAACCTCTGCCTCTCAGGTTCAAGTGATTCTCCTGCCTCAGCCTCCCGAGTAACTGGGATTACAGGCATGCACCACCACATCCCGCTAATTTATTTATTTATTTTTTTTTAGTAGAGACAGGGGTTTCACCATGTCGGTTGGCCAGGCTGGTCTCGAACTCCTGACCTCAGGTGATCCACCCACCTCAGCCTCCCAAAGTGCTGGGATTACAGGCGTGAGCCACTGCCCCCGGCCTGCTTAACCATTCTTAAATGTCGGGTGCAGTGGCTCACACCTGTAATCTCAACACTTTGGGAGGCTGAAGGTGGGCAGATTGCTTGCGTTCAGGGGTTCAAGACCAGCCTGGGCAACGTGGTGAAAACCCCATCTCTACAAAAAATACAAAAATGAGCCGGGCTGTTGGCAAGCGCCTGTAGCCCCAGCTACTTGTGGATGCTGAGGCAGGAGGCTTGAGCCTGGGAGGTCGAGACTGCAGTAAGCCAAGTATCTGTGCCGCTGCACTCCAGCCTGGGTGACACAGCAAGACCGTCTCAAAAAAATTGACAGAAGAGTTGACTGAGAGCACAGTGAATGAAAAGGAAGACTATAAGCCAGTGCCATATAAATGCTTACTGTTGGAGGTATGCTTCTATGGAACACGGGTTTGCTCTCTTGCCATATGACATTCACATATTCAGCCACCTGGAACACTTCCTGTCAGTATGTGTGAAGTATCATGTGTGGTCAAAATTGTCTCAACAGTCATTTTCCACACCAACTGGCAAACTAACACTAAAAGAAATCAACAAGTATTGCTTTTTCAAAAGCCTAAATCGGCTGAGTGCGATGACTTACACCTGTAATCCCAGCACTTTGGGAGGCCAAAGCAGGCGGATCACCTGAGTCAGGAGTCCAAGAACAGGCCGGCCAACATGGTGGAATCTCGTCTCTACTAAAAATACAAAAATTAGCTGGACGCCTGTAATCCCAGCTACTCAGGAGGCTGAGGCAGGAGAATTTTTCCCTGTAACCGGGAGGCAGGGGCTGCAGTGAGTCGAGATTACACCACTGCACTCCAGCCTGGGAGACAGAGCAAGACTCCATCTCAGGAAGACAAAAAAAAAAAAAAGCCTACATCAAGGAAAACAGAACCAAAACACCAGGGACAAAATGGTACATAAGAGGCAAAAAAATTTTCACCAAAATTATTCAGATGAACAATAATAAATGTGCCTGCATCTGAAGATGTTCTAAACCTTCATTTAAGCAAGAAGCAAGATCAAGATCTGTTCCGTCAGTTACCTGGAGTCTGTCATCTTTCTGAATAGGGGACAGAATCACCTCAAATTTAACTAATAAAAATTTATGACTTGGCAAACACCCCAGGTATTTTTATTGACTAACAAATCAGCTATGACAATCTTAGCAACAAATCAAGTTATGCTATGGGGTATGTCCACACTTCCCTGTTCCCTCTACAACAGGAGAAAATCAAATTTTTCCAACATCCTAACAAACTGTTACTGCCTGTAACCAAATGTATCACAGTATCGTCTACCAAGGCGTTACATCCTGAAACTTTCCTACAAAAAGCACAGCTTCAAAGAAACCTTGCAAGCTTTCTTGTAAGCTCCTCCCTTCCCCCATCGCCCCTCCCCAGAGCCAAGAAATAAAGCACTTGAAAGAAACAACATGGATAATATTTATTAATAGCTCATGTACATATTCCATAACTACATAAGCCATTTGGCTTCATACCTGTCAGCAATGAAGTCAGCTGGCCCTAGCACGTGGCTGCGACTCTTCTCTATTTATTTAGAACTACAAACTACAATTTACACTTTTCCAAAAGCTGTAGGACTATTTGGGAAGGGCACTTTATTCTTCTAAAAGGTTACTAAATTCTCTTATATACTTATACTGATCACAATACTGAAAAATAATAGAAAATCCATTGTCATTCATTTACCACCTAATTTGTTAAGATGCCAGAAAACCAAATTTTACACATTTCAATAAAAAGGCAAAACTAAGCATGTCAATCATAGGAAAAAAATACTTAATCAACTAATTTTATTTAAAGCACTCACAAACTCTTAAGTGGTACAAGACAAGTCAACGCTGTTTATCGAACAATATTTTTTTTTACGACTAAACATCTCAATTCTAGACTCAGGCACTAATTATTAAAGTCATCTAGTTATATACACCAATTCTCAACAGACACAGTTTTTTTTGGAAAGGCATATTAAACAGACTAAGATGTGTACTACCCATTAGCCAAAGATAATTTTATTGATTTTTCTAACGAGTCTTCAAATGTTACATTCTAACATCTTAGCAAATTATTTCCAAATACTGCTGGAATTACATGTAACTATCAGGAAACAAAAGGGCTTCTCTTTTTTTTTTTTTCTTTTTTTTTTTTTTTGAGACGGAGTCTCGCTCTGTCGCCCAGGCCGGACTGCGGACTGCAGTGGCGCAATCTCGGCTCACTGCAAGCTCCGCCTCCCCGGTTCAGGCCATTCTGCCTCAGCCTCCTGAGTAGCTGGGACTACAGGCGTCCGCCACCACACCCGGCTAATTTTTTGTATTTTTAGTAGAGATGGGGTTTCACCGTGTTAGCCAGGATGGTCTTGATCTCCTGACCTCATGATCTGCCCACCTCAGCCTCCCAAAGTGCTGGGATTACAGGCGTGAGCCACTGCGCCCAGCCAGGTTTTTTTTAATGTAATTATTTAAGCTGTAGTTTTCACTTCTTGGTTTTGGGTAATAGATCTTGTGAGAAAAGATCCAAACCAATTTTGACTTCTGCTGAAGTATTTAACTTGACTTTGAAATGTGATCTTTGTTGACAGGTCAAAGAAATTCATTGATCCTATTTATCAGGTATGGGAAGGCATGAGTGCTGAAGAGCTACAGGAGTTCAAGAAACCCATGAAAAAGGTCAGTTTGTGATTGATTGAGCACACTCTCGGAATCTCCTTTCTGGTTCCAGGTCACAGTCAGATAGTAAGTGGCAAGTTGCTCGTGCGTGTAATCCCCACACTTTAGGGGGTCAAGGCCAGAGGATTGCTGGAGACCAGCCTGGGCAACACAGTGACACCCTGTTTCTACAAAAATTTTTTAAATTAGCTGGGCGTGGTGGTGCACACCTGTAATCCCAGCTCCTCTGGAAGCTGAGGTGGGAGGTCAAGGCTGCAGTGAGCTGTAAATGCAGCATGGCATTTCATCCTGGGCAACAGAGCAAGACCCTGTTTTCTTTAAAAAAGCACACCGAAACCGTGTCTTACTCATTCTGCCTTTATAAAATTCCAGGCCCAGGTTTTGTTGTTATTTAAAGAGTCTATGGCTTTTTTGGATAAATTGCTTAAACCAGACACTTCACATACTGACATGTGAGAAGCGAAGGTTAATTACAAATTAGCTGAACAAATTTAGATCTTTGCCACTTGCGCATTCTCACCAAGTAACAATCTCCAGTTGACTCATGTTGAAATTGCCCCAGCAGTTTACATTAGTTTTATAGATCTTCATGAATGGGTGGTGAAGACGCAGGTTGCAACATACCCTCCAGGTCACATGAAGTGGAGCTGAGACAGTTACAGTTAGAGAGGAAAGTTAGAATCCAGTAATAAAGAATTTCGCTGCTCTGTTGCTTGGGAGCACATTTGTTTTCTCATTAAAAGCAGCTTCAAGATGGCTTTTTTGTTGTTGTTGTTTTTCATAAGTAATCATTAATAAGTAATCATTGGAAAGCCCCACCACACCCAACCAATTAGCTTCGTGTGGTGGCAGGCATCTGTAATCTCAGTTACTCAGGAGACTGAGGCAAGAGAATTGCTTGAACCTGGGAGGCGGAGTTTGCAGTGAGTTGAGATTGCACCGCTGTATTCCAACCTGGGCGACAGCGCCAGACCCTGTCTCAAAAGAAAAAAATAATAATATAAAGTGACCAGGTGTGTTGACTCACGCCTGTAATCCCACCACTTTGGGTGGAAGCAGGAGGATCACTGGAGCCCAGGAGTTTGAAACCAGCCTAGGCAACATAGTGAGACCCTGTCTCTATATTAAACACACACACACACACAAAGGCAGCCAGACTATGCACTAGGAACTGCCCTGGGAATCCCTTTGTGTTCTCACAACAATCCCATTTCACAGATGAAGAAACCAAGGCACAGAAATATTAAGTAACGTGTCCAGGTGCGGTGGCTCACACCTGTAATCCCAGTACTTTGGGAGGCTGAGGCAGGCAGCTCACAAGGTCAGGAGTTCGAGACCATCCTGGCCAATATGGTGAAACCCTGTCTCTACTAAAAATACAAAAGTCCTAGGGGTAGTCAGCCCCTCTCACCCCACCCTCATCCTCTCACACAAGAGTCATTTACTGTCCCTCCAGTTATGCCCAGTCACGCAGACACTCTGCTGCTCAAATGCCCTCACCCCATCCTCAGCCTGCTCCCAGGCCACCTCCCTCCAGAATCCACCTTGCCTGCCAGGTGGCCATAGGGACCCTCGCCATACTGTCTGCTTGTGGCAGTGCCCTCCAGCCTGGGGGGTCTTCCAGAGCAGATCTCTGGCCAAGCGCAGTGGCTCATGCCTGTAATCTCAGCACCTTCAGAGGCCAAGGCAGGTGGATCACCTGAGGTCAGGAGTTCGAGACCAGCCTTGCTAACATGGTGAAACCCCGTCTCTACTAAAAATACAAAAATTAGCCAGGTGTGGTAGTGGTGCATGCCTGTAGTCCCAGCTACTCAGGAGGCTGAGGCAGGAGAATCTCTTGGACCCGGGAGGTGGAGGTTGCAGTGAGCTGAAATGGTGCCACTGCACTCCAGCCTGGGCAACAGTGAGACTCTGTCTTTAAAAAAAAAAAAAAAAAAGAGAGCGGAGTTCTGATATAAGCTGCCCTGGCACATAGTGAGCCTCCAGAAATGGTCCCTTGACCTCTAAATGCACCAAGACCCAGGGAACACGCCCTCTCTGAGCACCCTGACAATGTCCCAGTCCCAACACGGTACCCTGAAGCTGTCCCCAAAGTTTCCCCTGCCACACTCCCTGACCACTCTCTGGTATCTCAGAGCCCTAGCAACAGCCCTATAGAGGGAGGGTTCTAGGCATGGGGCAGGCATGAGCACTGTGCTTATAACCAAGCAAAACACTCCCTCTGTGCCAACATAGGTGGGGCAGGTCACGCTGGGGTCTGTTTGCCCTGTCTGCCCGCTGCAGCCTCCTCGGGGAGGGCCAGGGTTGTCTGTGCATCCTGTGAGCCCCAGGGTCTATGTGCACATATGTGTGTCTGTGCCTTTCTCTCTCTCTCTGTGTGTGTGTGTGTGTGTGTGTGTGTGTGTGTGTGTGTGTACACGGCGCATCTGAATTGTCCTGAGTGCCGTCTCGGGTATCCTTGAGCTGTGTGTGCATGTGTCCCCCTAGCGGTAAGTCTCCTCGGAATAAGGGAAGAAAAGGTGCTCTTTTGATGTTATTATTCCCCCAGCCCCTCCCCCGCTCACCTAATCCCATGTGTACAGTGTCATGGAACCTTACCATGTTGTGTGTGTAATCCCCTGTGTGCAGTGTCATGGAACCTTACCATGTTGTGTGTGTAATCCCGTGTGCGGTGTCATGGAACCTTACCATGTGTTGTGTGTTATCCCCTGGGTGCAGTGTCATGGAACCTTACCATGTGGTGTGTGTAATCCCCTGTGTGTGGCATCATGGAACCTTACCATGTTGTGTGTGTAATCCCCTGTGTGCAGTGTCATGGAACTTTACCATGTTGTGTGTGTAAGTCTGCTCTGTTAGCAACTCCGCAGGATTCATTCACAGGTGCCCCCTCCACAGTTGACTCTTCTCTTTCAGAGGGTTCCTGGCATAGTCTGTCTGATTTTTCCTTTATACACAACCCTATAGGGAAGATCCTTGCATATATGTCTTGGCAAATAGATAAGTTCCTGGAAGTAGAATTGCTACATGTGTTTAAAAGTTTGTTAAGACGGTAACAGGTTTTCTAGAAATGTTTTACTAATTCTTCCACGGACAGTGCTTGAGAACAAGTTTTTTCTACACCTTTGCTAAGGCTGGTAATTTTTAAAAATGGTGTTAAAGGCACATGTCTACTTTGAAATCATAACTGTTTGTTTGTTTAAAGGAGACCCTTGAGAAATGAAACCCTAAATTTCAGGAACTTCATCTCTTCATCTGTGAAAACACTTTGTCCACACTTATTGTTTTAAAAAGATTTTTTTTTTTTGGCCATAAAGTAGTATATGTTCTATTGTTCTGTTAAGTTTGAAGTGACCAGCCCACCACAGTTAGGTCACTGAGTGTTTTGGTTGCCTGGTTATTCTTTCAGGAATGTTTGAATCGAAATGCTCACAATTTATTTCCCCAGAAGAGAGAATTTTCAGAAATCTCCTAAGAAAGTCTGATGTCCGTTCATATGATCTGTTTGCTTTGTTAGTAGAGAAAACTACCTTTGGAGACTAGTTGTAGCATGGAAGGGGAAGGCAGTAGAAATAGTTTTGGGGTGAGGCGAGCAGTCCCAGGGGAACACGAAGGCAGCGTTTCAGGAGTGCTGCTGGTTAGTTTTCCACGCCATCACTGCACATTATTTTACAAATCCCTGTTTCTAGTTCAGAAGGCAAATGACAGTTTCTTTAGAAAATGTAACACTGTAATCTTGTAAAATGAAAGTGTTCCAGTTACATCATTTTCGGTTATTTCAGAACCATTAAAGTTCTGACAGCCTACTTCCCCAATCTCTTTGTAGACTGTGGCCCAAAGAAGGCTTAGAGAAATAATTTTGAATCTTGATTTTGTTCCAACTCTGTTCCTTAAATGCCTAAGAACTGTGATTTTTTGAGTATTTGTTAAAAGCCTACTGTGTCAGCCAGGCATGGTGGCTCATGCCTGTAATCCCAGCACCTTGGGAGGCTGAGGCGGGCGGATCACGATGTCAGGGGATCGAGACCATCCTGGCAAACACGGTGAAGTCTCTACTATAAATACAAAAAAATACAAAAAATTAGCTGGGCGTGGTGGTGGATGCCTGTAGTCCCAGCTGCTCAGGAGGCTGAGGCAGGAGAATGGTGTGAACCCGGGAGGCGGAGCTTGCAGTGAGCTGAGATCGTGCCACTGCACTCCAGCCTGGGCGACAGAGCAAGACTCGGTCTCAAAAAAAAAAGCAAAACCTACTGTGCACAGAGCTCCGAGGCCTGCCCCAGTACAAAGCCTGCAGTCTCTGACCCAGGAGAAAGTGTGCACAGCTGCAGGTACCTTGATGTGTCAAACACCATTGCCTCTGGCTGCCGAAGCTTCTGATATCTGCTGATAGTCTTCAGAGACTTTTTTAAAACGTGATACATGGCTTCTGTCTTCCTGATTTCAAGATTCTCTCTCTGTCTTTGGCTTTTGCTGAATTGATAATAACATGTCTTGGTGTGGGTCTCTTTGAGTTCATTTTCCTTAGAGTTCATTGGGCTCTTGGATGTTTATATTCATGAAATTGGGAAAGTTTTCAATCATTATTTCTTCAAATTATCTCTCTGCCCTTGTCTTTCTTCTCCTTCTTAAATACCACAATGTATATATTAGTCCACTTGATGGTGTTCCAAAAGTCCCTTAGGCTCTGTTTACATTTCTTTGATCTTTCCTTTTTTTTTTTCCTTTTTTCAATCTTTTTACTTCCTGTTCCTCAGACTCAATAATTGCCATTGTCCTATATTCAAGTTAAGTAATTTTTTCTTCTGCCTATTCAAACATGACTTTCAATCCTACTAGTTAATATTTTATTTCAGTTACTGTACTTTTCCACTCTAGAATTTTTTTGTTTCCTTTTAAAGTTTTCTACCTCCTTATTGATATTGCTGTTTTGTTTGTACATCATTTTCTTGACTTCCTCCACATCTTCCTCTAGTTTTTAAAGCATCATTAAGACAGTATTTTAAAGTATTTTTCTAGTATATCTGCCATCATGTCTTTTTCAGTACAGTTTCCATTCATTTTTTTTTCCTTTGATCCTTTGATGGGCCATAATTTCCTGTTTCTTTGTATGCTTCTGAGTTTTATTAAAAACTGGACATTTGACTCTAATAAAGTGGTAATTCTGGAAATTATATTTTCGTCATTCTCTTAGGTTTGCTGTTGTTTGTTACTTTTTATTTATTGTTTTTGTTTTTTGGATTGTTGTAGGCTGTCTCGGTGCTTAGGATCAGCCTGGGGTGTGAAACTAAGTTCTTCTCAGGCATTTTCTGAGCCTGTGTCTTTCCCTGAGCATGTGTGGTTACTTTATATTTTTCTTTATATATACAGTTGTGTTTTAATGCCCTAATACTTAATATATGAATCCCAAAAGAGGAAAATGAGAAAAATGAAGGATGGTGTGTAAAGGGAGCTAGTCCTTTAAAGCCCCTGTCACTTCAAATAGAGGGGCAGGAGCTTGTGCCATGCCAGGAGTTTAGGGGGCATTAATAGTTTGGAAACACTGTAAATTAATTAGTAATTTAATTTAATTTAAATTGACAGCCTTTTCTCTGTCTGTTAGGCTATGTGCACCTCAATGTAAATCAACAGAAGGGTTTGACTAATTGGTGAAGCAACATTTATTGCAGTCTCTGGTTTGGGGATGAATGCAGAAAGGCTTTGCTTCTGGTTCAGCCTTACCCTGGAACAAGATATACATATGGCTCTACAGGTTAAACAAAGCCAAAACATCATGGTTTCCATGCTCCTTAGAGTTCCTGATTAATGAGAAGAGCATCTCATATTCCAATACTCCTCCAAATTGTGTGGCTCTAGAATTTTATTTCTAACTTCTTTATCCCCAAGATCATTAAAACTGAATTACAGAAGCTATTATCCCAGTGTCCTACAATAGGTCTGACAGCTGTAATTCTGTAGCCCTTTAGGAAAAAAACAGTCTTGGTAGGACTCTTAGAAGCATGGCTTGGAGGACTGCAGGTTTGCCATCTCATCCATGGATGTAGAGTGGGATGGATGACTTGGCTCTTTACTCAAGGCAATTTTTGTTATTAGGTGAGGTCAAGAATTGGCTACTGTCCTCAATTTGATGCCTTGCTGGAATATATGACTGCTCAGGAAATAATGATTATGTATGCCAGAATATGGGGAGTCTCTGAGCCCCAGATTGGGCTGTATGTGAACAAATGTTTGAATTCACTGGAACTGGAGTCTCATGCTGCCAGGCTTATCAACACCTACAGGTAAGTCACTATGCTACTGCTCTTTTCTGTTGATGCTGCTAATATTGAGGTTCTTGCTGTTTGAAATGAAGCTTACAGCTCCACCTAAGCTCCTCTTCCCACAATTACCTACTTGTGAAACTATCTAATGTTCTGCTAGGCTTCAGATGCCAGTAACAAGGCAAATCAATACAGTTCCACATCTTCCCTTTTCAGAGATGAAACGCAAAGTCTTGGTTCTATTTGAACTATATCCTCTGAACCTCAAAAAAAGGAGTGTCTTCTCTTCCTAGTGTCCCTATAGTTCTTTGTCTACCAAGTAAGGAGGAATGTAGGCCCTTTGAATTATGATGTGATTTATGTGTCTTGGAAACCATAACACTCTAAGAACATGCCACTGATAATGCTGCCAAAATTAATTACATAAAAGTCACTCCTCGATATCTCAAATTAAAATGAATTGATATAGACGCCTGTAATTGGGCCTGCTACCTAATCAAAGTCACATATAATCAGCATTGGGACATCCATGTTAAGTGTTTGCTGGGACTCTCAGCATTTGGGAAATTTGTACTAACTCTTTCCTATACATAGCTGATATGTATAGCCATTTTTTCTCTCACTTTTTCTCTCCTTCTTTGGCCATGAAGTGAAGGAAACAAACGTAGGCTGAGTACTGCTATTGCCCTAATGGGAAGGTCTTCAGTCATCTTCCTGGATGAGCCATCAACTGGCATGGACCCAGTAGCCAGACGCCTGCTCTGGAACATGGTGACAAAGACACGTGAAAGTGGAAAAGCCATCGTTATGACCTCCCACAGGTATGGCTCATTGGGAGGCTTGGTTGAAGGCTAGCAAGAGTTTTAGTGGCTATAAGAAGGAATTATTTAGGCCCAGTGGATAATATTGGACACTAAACTTGCCTGAGTATGTTAGCTCCTCATCAGGAATTAGGATTCATGTTAATCCTAATAAATCAAATGGCCAAAAATCCTCACTGAGTTTAAAAAAAAAGTGAGGAAAAGACAGGACTTCAGAAGATGTTCTATTTGAAAATTGAGCGCTGTGTTCTTTTTCGTTTGAAAAATTCCCACTTCCCATCTATGTGCTTTATGATTGGAAAAATACAAATTCTGATTGAAAATAGGGTCACAAAATTCTGGCTCTGATTGAACTACACAATGTCTTCCAAAAGAGAACTTTTTATTTTTACCCTTACAACATTCTGCCCTTTTGTTTTCCAAGTATGGAGGAATGTGACGCCCTCTGTACCAGTCTAGCCATCATGGTGCAAGGGAAGTTCACTTGCTTGGGCAGCCCTCAGCATCTCAAGAGCAAGTTTGGCAACATTTACATCCTGAAGGTCAAGGTCAAGACTGAAGATAAATTAGAGGATTTTAAATGTTATGTTGCAACAACATTTCCAGGTAAATTAAGTTGTGCTACCTTTGTCAGAAATGTATTAAATTGGCCGGGCGCACTGGTTCACGCCTGTAATCCCAGCACTTTTGGGAGGCTGAGGTGGGCAGGTCATTTGAGCTCAGGAGTTTGAGAAATGTGTTAAATCATATTTGTTGTTCTCACCATCCATATGATTTATGTCTTCAATACCAGTTTTCTGTGAGTTATTGATAGGTATTGATTTTCTATAATGTTCCTTTGGCAATGTTTGATATTATAGTCTCTTATGCCAGATTATGCTAAGTTTCACAAAAAGCAGAAGTCCTCACAAACTCTTACATCACCTAACAAGGCACTTTTATGTTTGTGCTGTCCATATAAATTAGTTGGGCGCAGTAGCTCATGCCTGTAATTCCAGCAACTTGGAAGGCTGAGGCCAGAGAATTGCTTGAGCCCCAGGGTTTAAGGCTGCAATGAGCTATGATTGTGCCATTGCACTCCAGCCTGGCAAGACCCCATCTCTAAAAAAATTAATGATAATAAATAAAAACTAAAAATAAATTATATATCTAAAGTCCTATTTTAGCATAATTCTCAATTATTTTTACAGATTATTCATGCCAAATTTTAAGGTTTTTTCCTTCACACTGCTCATGCAACTTTATGCTTTTGCTGTCTCAGCTAGGATATGGTATTGAAATGCAAATAAGAACTGGTATTTCTCTCCTTTCAAGAGTAGTTTGGTTTCTGAGTGCCGTTTCTTCATGCTAAATTCAGTAAGCACCTCTCCGCCTACATGGAACAGTACAAGAGAGAGCATGCATTTCGATCTCTTATCTCTCTTTCCTTAACCTAAAGCATGGGCAATGGCAAGGCTTTTAATAATTCTGGTTTTTCATCTTAGTTTCCACTTTGTTAGGCTGAGCAAAATACCGCAGAAGTTCCCGTTGTGTGTTAGGCTAAGGGGTTGAAAATTTGTCTCCTAGGCAATGGAAAATAGCAAAATTGATTACACAGTAAGAATGAAAATCAGGGCCGGGCACAGTGGCTCATGCTTGTAATCCCAGCACTTTGGGAGGCTGAGGTGGGCGGATCACCTGAGGTCAGGAGTTTGAGACCAGCCTGGCCAACATGATGAATCCCCATATCCATTAAAAATACAAAAATTAGCTGTACATGGTAGCACACACCTGTGGTCTCAGTTACTCAGGAGGCTGAGGCAGGAGAATTGCTTGAACCGGGGAGGCGGAGGTTCCAGTGAACAGAGGTCATGCCATTGCACTTTAGCCTGGGTGACAGAGAGAGACTCTGTCTCAAAAAAGCAAAAAGAGAAGAAAATCAGAAAATAGATACGAAATGGATGGTCAAGCATATGTGGAGAACGAGCTGTGTAGAAAAATTATCACCTCGGTGTTGGTCATAGTGTTTATGGTGTGCCCTTGACACATGTAGATGGATATGTCCATTAAGAAGTTGAATATTCATTTATGCATTCATGTGGCAAATATTTTTGAGGACTTATTGTGTCAAGAGTTCTATTTGATGTGATCAATAAATCACTTTAGGAAAGCTCTATAGGCTGGGCACAGTGGCTCACGTCTGTAATCCCAGCACTTTGGGAGGCCAAGGCAGGTGGATCACGAGGTCGGGAGTTTGAGACCAGCCTGGCCAATATTGTGAAACCCCATCTCTACCAAAAATACAAAAATTAGCCGGGCATGGTGGTGGGTGCCTGTAATCCCAGCTACTTGGGAGACTGAGGCAGGAGAATCGCTTGAACCCAGAAGGTGGATGTTGCGGTGAGCCGAGATCGTGCCACTGGACTCCAGCCTGGGCAACAGAGTGAGACTCCATCTTAAAAACAAAAACGAAAACAAAAAGCTCTGCACACTTCAAGATAACACAGAAAAACAATTCAACAAAATCGGGTAAACAATAAATGACCCAGACTAGTAACTTAATAGAGAAATTGAAATTACTTTTTAAAAAATCAAACAGAAATCATGGATATGTAATATACAGTGAATAAAATGAATAATGCAGTAGAAAGCATTAACAGCAGAGTTTATCAAGCAGAGAAAAATATCTCAACTCAAAATAGGTTTTTTGAAAATATACAGTTAGATGATTAAAAGAAAAATTAAGAGGAATGAAGAAAGCTCATGGGATTTATAGAACAGCATCAAAAGAGCCAGTGTTTACATTATTAGAGTTTGTGAGGAAGAAGAAAAAACAAATTGTTGGAAAGCTTAAAGAAATAAAAGCAGAAGATTTTCCAAATACTAAGAAAAACATAAATATCCAGGTACAAGAGGGTCACATATCTGCATTCGGATTCAATACAAACAAGGCTACATCAAGACATTATAATTAAATGGTCAAAAATCAAGCACAAAGAGAGGATCTGAAAGCAGCAAGAGAAAAAAAAAGCAAATAACATATAAGGGAGATTCCATAAGGCTAGCTATAGGTGTCTCAACCAGGACCTCATAGGCAAGGAGAGAGTAGGATGACATGTTCAAAGTACTGAAGAGAAAAAAACCCTGCCAACCAAGATACTGTATCCAATACTATGTTGAATAGGAGTGGTAAGAGAGGACATTCTTGTGCCAGTTGTTCTTGTGCCAGTTTTCAAGGGGAATGCTTCCAGCTTTTGCCCATTCAGTATGATATTGGCGGTGGGTTTGTCATATGTCATGTCATGGCTCTTATTAGTTTGAGGTATGTCCTTTGAATATCTAGTGTATTGAGAACTTTTAACATGAAGGGATGTTGAATTTTATCGAAGGCCTTTTCTGCATCTATTGAGCTAATCATGTGGTTTTTGTCTTCAGTTCTGTTTACGTGGTGAATCACATTTATTAATTTGCATATGTTGAACCAACCTTGCATCCTAGGGATGAAGCCAACTTGATCATGGTGGACAAGCTTTTTGATGTGTGGGTGGATTCAGTTTGCCAGTATTTTATTGAGAATTTTTGCATTGATGTTCATCAAGGATATTGGCCTGAAGTTTTCTTTTTTTGTTGTATCTCTGCCAGGTTTTGGTATCAGGATGATGCTGGCCTCATAGAATGAGTTAGGGAGGAGTCCCTCCTTTGGTCACCAGCCTACATGTACCTGTAGGAGGTAGCTAGAGACCCCTATTGGGAGGTCTCACTCAGTCAGGAGGAAAGGGATCAGGGACCCACCCAAAGCAGCAGTCTGGCTGCTTATTGGTAGAGCAGGTGTGCTGTGTTGTGTGGGACCTTTCCTTGTTCGGACTGCCTGTATTCTTCAAAGCTGACAGACTGAAGCAGCTGAGTTGACCAAACCACAGAGATGGCAGCTGCGCCTCCTCCAGGAACTTGGACCCATCTCAGGGAGACTCTAACTCACTGCCATTTGTTGGCTGGGATTCCAAACCAGTAGGTCTTAACTCGTGATGTGACGTGGAAGTGGGGCCTGCAGAATGACACTGCTTGGCTCCCTGGATTCAGCTTCCTTCCTAGGGATATGTACAGATGGACCTCTCACCTTGCCAGGGATCCCAAGGCTAGAGTATATAAAACTCCTGGGTCTCTGTGTGTGCCTGAGTGGATGCTCTGTCAAGACTTCACACAGCTCTGTGTATCAGACCCAAGGCCCTGGTGGTGTGGGCTCATGGGGGGATCTCTTGATCTGTGGATTGCAAAGATCCATGGGAAAAGCGTGGTTTCCTGGGCAAGGTCTCACCATCACTCACTGCTTCTCTTGTCTAGGGGTGGTGGTTCCTTTGGCTCCGTGTAGCTCCTTGGTGGGCCATCTCCACTCCCTGCTCTTCTTTGTTCTCCATGGGTCGAGTTTTTAGCCTAGTTGGTCCCAATGCGAGAACCTGGATATGTCAGTCAAAGGTACTAAATTCACTCACCCCTCTCCGTTCCTCTCCATGAGTGCTGTGAACCGCAGCTACTTCTAATAGGCCATCATGGATCAGGTCCCTCTGCAAACATTAGACTTTTAGAAGGCTCAGTTTTCTTACATTGGGCATGTCAGCTGATAATTTATTGTACCTCAAATCCTGCCCTCAATAATTGCTATGAACTCCACATAATAAGATGATTTCATGAGGAATAAATCTGAAAGCATGAACCGTGTCATGGATACCAAAAAGAGTGGGTTAGCGGGTTATATCTCCTTTCGTATTGACCTCCTCTATTCACCCCTCCACAGTATATAATTAAGTAAATTCCATTATTACTCCATATCCATCAAGAGAATGGGAACAGAGAATGGCTTCCTCTCACTTTCTCAATTCTCTGTTCTTCCACCTTCTCACCTCTCCCTTCTGTGCCTTTTGTCCTCCAACATACACTTGATAGGAATTGGGGGAGTGGAGGAGAGGCTTATCTGAGTTGGGGGCTGAAGGGGAGATTGCAATGGTAACTGTGTTTTTGTTGCTGTTGTTAAAGGTGTTTGGCATTTTGGAGGAAGCTAAAGAGCAATTCGATTTAGAAGACTATTCTGTCAGTCAGATCACACTGGAACAGGTCTTCCTGACCTTTGCTAACCCAGAGAAAGCATCCAGTGATGATGAAAACGAGGTGCCATGAGATTCAGTTACAACCAGTGACCCTTGTGTCTCTCATAGATGACACCTGGATGCATGGGGGACCTTCCTGTGCATGTATATCTTGGTGTACATATATTTATGTAATAAAGCTTTTCCCAAAGAAGAAAGTTTGTCCCCTTCATTGCAGATTTAGATGAGCGGCCTGTGTATCCAGCATGCTCAAATCCAAAGACATTTGGTGAAATTCCCATTTTCTCTCCTTGAGATATGAAAGAGCAGCATTTATCAGGGTTGGGACAGGAACCTGTTCCTGAGTGTTCTGGACATTTGAACAGAAAGATCCAGTAATGATGGAGCTGTCAGATGGGACAGCCCAAAGAACAAGAGCTTTATGTTTCAGCAGTTGAGTTATGGATAAGAAGCGCATAAGGCCTGGATCACATCAGCTTTCCTATGGATACACACACACACACATTCACACTCACACACGCGTGCAGATATACATGCATATACACATATATCTAATATAAATTCATCAATGTTGGAGGGCTGAGTTGGGTTACTATTTCAGACATCCAAAATAAAGTTCATATGCTTCAGTTGAAAGAGAATTTTTGCACCAAGAACATTTGGGATCCATGACCAGAAAAAAAAGGATTATTTAAAAATAGTGTGTTTTCTTTTCTACAATTATCTCACCTCTAATAAAGAAGAAGGAGAAATAAAGTGGAGAGAGAGGGACACAGAGATATTTTCTTCTGATTCTTGCCTAGGTAGATAGATGGAGTCCCCCATAAATAATATGAGAAATCTAATCACCTTTTCAGGATTCATAGACAACTAGGATGGTTCTTGCAGAATTGCAAGATGAAGAGAGTCTATAAAGGTGCTCTATTTTGGGGTGGCTTGTTCAATGTTTTCAAATCCTTAATTGGATATTGTTTATTATAAAGTGACACCCACCAGATGCTTACTGTTCTTTTTTTTGTTGTTGTTAGATAAAGAGGGAATTTGAGTTTGTTTCTATGAAGTGTCTAGGAGCATACGAAGTCTCCAATTAAAACAAAATTGAGCCGGGCGCGGTGGCTCATGCTTGTAATCCCAGCACTTTGGGAGGTTGAGGCGGGTGGATCACCTGAGTTCGGGAGTTCGAGACCAGCCTGACCAACATGGAGAAACCCCGTCTCTGCTAAAAATACAGAATTAGCCAGGCGTAGTGGCACATGCCTGTAATCCCAGCTACTAGGGAGGCTGAGGCAGGAGAATTGCTTGAACCTGGGAGGCAGAGGTTGTGGTGAGCTGAGATCGTGCCATTGCACTCCAGCCTGGGCAACAAGAGTGAAACTCTGTCTCAAAAATAATAATAATAATAATAATAGAATATAGCTCTTTCTCTGGTTCATAGGCTATGCTCACCTGAGTGTAAATCAACAGAGGTGTTTGACTAATTGCTAAAACAATACTCATTGCAGTCTCCAGGTTGGCAGGGTGGGGAAAGGCTTTGGTTCTGGTTCAGCCTTTATATGGACAAGATGTTGTACAGGTTTAACAGTGCAAATACCTCCATGGCGGCCATTCCCCCTGGAGTTCTTGATTAATGAGAAGACCATGTCATAATCTAGTACTCCTCCAAAATGAGTAGGCTGTGGAATTTCATTTCTAACTTCTTTATCCCCAAGATCATTAAAACTGAATTATGGAGCCTACTATTCCAATGTCCTACAATAGATCTGACAGCTATAATTTTGTAGCCCTTTAGAAAAAAAATATCTTGGTAGGACTCTTAAAAGTATGGCCTGGAAGACTGCAGGTTTGCCATCTTATCCATGGTTGTCTAGTGGGATAGATGACTTGGGTCTTTACTTAATGCAATTCTTGTAATTAGGTTAAGGTCAAGAATTGGTTATTGTCCTGAATTTGATGTCTTGCTAGAATATATGACTGCTCAGGAAATAATGATCATGTATGCCAGATTATGGGGAGTCCCTAAGCCCCAGATTCAACTGTATGTGAAGAAATGGTTGAATTCACTTGAACTGGAGCCTCATGCTGATGAGCTTATCAACACCTACAGGTGAGTCATTATGCTGCTGCACTTTTTGTTGATGCTGCTAATGTTGAGGTGCTTTCTTTTGTCCCTGCTGTTTGAAATGAAGCCCATAGCTCCACCTATGCTCCTTTTCCCACAATTACCTAATTACGAAACTGTCTAATGTTCTACTAGGTTTCAGATACGAGTAGTAAGGCAGATCAATGTAGCTTCACGTCGTCCTTTTGCAGAAATGGAACAATAAATCTTAGGTTTTTTTGAACTGTAGCTTCTGAACCTCAAAAGGGATCAATTAAGAGGGAGTTTAGGATTGCTAAAGCAGCTAGAATTTGAAGAGCAGGGTGATGATAAAGACGAAGCGGGGGCCCAGAAATTTGAATGGGGTTTGCTGTGAGTCATGAGCTGGCCTGTGCCATGTGCAAAGGGAGAGATGCTGTGAGGCCTATCAGAGAATGGCACCTGCTAGACTGAGAACTGAATGTGTTACCGGTGGACGATATCTGAGTTACTGGCGGTGAATCTGTGTACATCTGCAGCTACCTCAATTCTTGCCTCCTCAGAAGAAAGAAATCAACAGAGGGGCATAAGGCAGAAAAAGAGACCAAGGCAAGTTTCAGAGCAGGAGTGGAAGTTTATTTAAAAGGCTTTAGAACAGGATAAAAAAGGAAAGGAAAGTATGCTTGGAAGAGACCCAACCAGGCACTGAGGTCAAGCGCTCTGTTTAACAGTAATCTTTATAGGCTGGCCCCTTTCTCATGATTCTTCCCTTAGGGTGGGCTGCCCGCATGCCTGGTACCCCCCTCACCCGTTGGAGGTGAGCATGCGCAGCGTGTTTAAGAAGTTGTACCCATGCCCATCTGAGACTTTCTTCCCTATTCTGGTGGAGTAACCCTGGAAAGTCATACTCCGCCATTTTGTCTCTTAATGCACATGCCCAGGAAGTTGCTTCTCCCTGGTGTCTGCATTCAATTAACACTGTTAATTTAGTGCAACGGGTGTGGACTATCAGGAAATGGCCTCTCCAATTTATCTTTTTTTTTTTTTTTTTGAGGCAGAATTTCGCTCTTGTTGCCCAGGCTGGAGTGCAGTGGCGCGATCTCGGCTCACCCAAACCTCCGCCTCCTGGGTTCAAGTGATTCTCCTGCCTTAGCCTCCCGAGTAGCTGGGATTACAGGCACCCGCCACCATCCCTGGCTAATTTTGTATCTTTAGTAGAGATGGGGTTTCTCCATGTTGTTCAGGCTGGTCTCAAACTCCCGACCTCAGGTGATCCGCCCGCCTTGGCCTCCCAAAGTGTTGGGATTACAGGTCTGAGCCACCGCGCCTGGCCCAATTTATCACTTAGAGAGGCAATGTGATAACTGCCAAATCATCACCCGACATTCCTGGTGGATGGGGGGAGAGCCCTCTCCTGTCCCGCTCATACCTGTCTAACTACCTGTAACAAAGGTAGACCCAGAGTTTACATAGTGCAGAAAATGTCGGAATTCTTACTGAGAGCCACAGTAGAGATACCTTACTGAGCACCCCTTACAGTTATAACTCCAGAAAAGCCATGCCTTAGAAGTAAAGATCATGTCCTAGAATAAGATCAAAAACCTAAATAGACCCACCCTAATAAAGAATAAAATAAAAGCCTGACAGAATCAAAGGGAGCACGCAAAATATACGAAAGCTGGGAAAAGACGTTTACTTCTGTGAACCAAAAGTATCTGAGACAGGTCTCAATCAATGTGGAAAGTTTCCATTGCCAAGGTTAAGGATAAGCGCCTGAGAGGTATGTCTATGCCTTTCTCCAAAGATGATTTCAAGGGCTTCAATATTTAAGGAGAAAGGATTGATATGGGTGAAAAGGAAGAAAATTTGAAATCTTAATTCCAGCTCTTTGGGAGGCCAGTCCAGTGGACTGCCTGAGGTCAGGAGTTTGAGACCAGCCTGAGCAACATGGCAAAACCCCATCTCTATCAAAAATACAAAAATTAGCCAGATGTGGTGGCATATGCCTGTGGTCCCAGCTACTCAGGAGACTGAAGTGGGAGGACTACTTGAGCCCAGGAAGTACTGGAAGCACTCAAGCGTGAGTGACAGATCAAGACCGTCTCAAAAAAAAAAAAAAAAAAAGAAAAAATTTAAAAATGTGTGGGTATACAAGAGACAAAGGGTTGCATCCCCTTGAGTCTTTGATCAGCCTTTCACTGAATATACAATTTACATGTGAGAGGATGGGCAGAGGAATACTCACTTATGTCATTGTCTGGCTCAGAGAATCTTCATTTTTTTTACATAATACAATGTAAACAATAGGGCAGAGGAAGCCATCAGATACACATTTGTTTAAGATGGACTTTGAGTTCTGTCCTTTGTCCTGCACCTGTGAAAATAAGCTATCAGGCCTGGTGCGGTGGCTCACACCTGTAATCCCAGCACTTTGGGAGGCCGAGGTGGGTGCATCACCTGAGGTCAGGAGTTCGAGACCAGCCTGGCCAACATAGTGAAACCCTGTCTCTACTAAAAATGCAAAATTAGCCAGGCATCATGGCACATGCCTGTAATCTCAGCTACTCAGGAGGCTGAGGTGGGAGAATCTGCTTGAAACCAGGAGGTGGAGGTTGTAGTGAGCTCAGATCATGCCATTCCACTCCAGCCTGGGCAACAAGAGTGAAACTCTCCAAAAAAAAAAAAAAAAAAAAAAAAAAAGAGGGAGGAGGGAGGGAGGAAGGGAGGGAGAGAGAGAAACAGAGAAAGAGAGACAGAGAGAGAGAGAGAAAGGAAAGGAAGAAAAGGAAAGGAAGGAAGGAAGACAGCTATCAATTTACATTGCCAGGGTGAAATTCAACAAAACTGTTTTAGGGTAAAGATCCTCAGATCCACATGGAATTGCCCTGTGGGCAAATTGTAAGGTAAGTTATGTAGCTTTTTATCCTTATAGCTATCTTATTTAGGAATAAAACGGGAGGCAGGTTTGTCTGACATCATTCCCAGCTTGAATTTTCCCTTTGGCTTAGTGATTTGGAGGCCCTGAGATTTTTTTTCCTTTCACACTTCCTAACTCATTTTATCTATGACAGAAAAATGCATGAATGGGGGGAATGAAAGTGAAAGTTAAAGCCAGTATCACTCTGGAACATAAATGCACAAATCCTAAACAAATAAGTAGCAAATTAGGTCTAGCAATATATTAAAAGAATAAAACATCCAGACCAAGTTGGGTTTATAACAGGAATGAAAGGTTTATTTATAATTTGAATCAATCAATATAACTTAACACAGAATAAGACCAATCTGTTCACCTCAATACATGGAAAAAGTATATGTGACCAAAAACAATAATTATAGAATATTAGAAATTGATATGAACTTTTTTTTCCCCCCCGAGACAGAGTCTCGCTGTGTCGCCTAGGCTGGAGTACAATGGCAGTGATCTCGGCTCACTGCAACTTCCGCCTCCCAGGTTCAAGCAATTCTCCCTGCCTCAGCCTCCCGAGTATCTAAGATTTCAGTCAACTGCCACCATGCCCGGCTAATTTTTGTATTTTTTTTTCAGTAGAGACAGGGTTTTGCCACGTTGGCCAGGCTGGTCTTGAACTCCTGACCTCAGGCGATCCACCCACCTTGGCCTCCCATAGTGCTGGGATTACAGGCATGAGCCACTGTGCCTGGCCCAGGGAATATTTCATCAGAGATAATACCTGACAGGGTAGGATTCTGAAAGGAATGGGGAAGGAAATGCCAACATCGAAATTATGCATTGGGGAAGCCATGATTAATGCCTCTGGCCCTAAGATGGCAAGGTAATGTTGTTCCCAAGTATAAACCCACATCACCTTCCTCTGGTGTGTTTTACTCCTACTGTTGCCTGCTTTCTCTTTACATTCTCCCACCCCATACTCACCGCGAGCGCTCAGGCTAGGTAGTTAGGCTCCATAGAGTCAAATTGGACCCCACATTAACGAAACTAACAATTCGAGCTTTCCAGCAATGAACTCATCTGCTCTTCCATGTCTACTCTTTTCCTGTCTGCTGGTTTCCTCTCCCAGGGCTTTCAGTGTGTTCTACGCAGAAACCAGTTCAAGGACTGGGTTTTCTTCTGCAATAAAATGCTGGAGTTGTGGCAGAGACCTCCACAGTGAGAACAGCCACGGAGTTGGCTAGGAGGTGACATGATGTGGAAGTGGTGGATGTGTCCACAAGATGGCACTCCTAATTTGTAGCTTAATGCTTAATAGGACATTTTGCAATTGACAAACTTGGGATTTTATGATTTATGTAGCTGATATCATGAATTATGTTTCAAATCCTGCCACATTTTGAACAGAATTTATTTTTGCCCCTTTCTGATATTGGGTCATAACCTAAGAATGAGAGGACATTATAAGCAGGTGTGGGTGTGTGTGTGTGTGTGTGTGTGTGTGCACTTGAGTGTGGAGACTTTTGTGTTCCTCCTACCTGACCTGAACTGTTGAATGATGAAGTTACAATGATTGGACTCAGGGGTGCAGCTAGCTAACTTGGGAATTGGGGTTTTGAAGTACTGGAGACAGCTTTGTATGCCATGTTAATGAATTTGAATTTTATCCTGAAAAACGTGGCTGTCGTTGAAGAATTTTAAGCAGGCAGGTGGCTTGATCAGAGCACTGCTTCCCAGATTTCACTCAATGGTACCTGTATAACACATTCATGATTTTTGCTGTATCTCCGTATCATCAAGTTACTTAACGTTTTTACACCAACTTTTATTATTTTATAAATGTACTTAAAGAGGAAATTCACTACTAGCATTGCTTGCCATAATCAAAATAAATATATTATTAAAATGGAACAGTGCTAAATAAGGTGTACACATGGACATAGAGTGTGGAATGACAGACACTGGAGACTCCGAAAGGTGGAGGGGTGGGAGAGAGGTGAACGATGAGAAAGTACTTAATGGGTACCATGTACATTATTCGGGTGATGGGTACACTAAAAGCCCAGACTTCACCATTACTGCAATATATCCATATAACATAACTGTACTTGCGCCCCTTAAATTTATACAAATTTTTAAAAGGAAAAAATGGAAGTGTTCATCTATGTACCAACTTAAAATCATCTCACGCACCACTAGTGTTAAATCTACCACATGTGGGGAAACTGTGTGGTATGAATTGGGTTGAGGGCGTCCCCAGCAGGCACAGAAATTGGGTTGGTGCCAGGTTCTTAATGCCCAGATCTTAATTAGAGAGCCCAAGTCCGTTGTAGGCCTGGAGCAATTCAGACACAAGGCAAAAAGAAAGTACATTTGCCTATGCCTTGTAACGTCTACACCACCAGCCTTTCTGAAACTATTGTGCATACGAAGTCATCCCAGGATCTTGTAAAAACACCGATTCGGATCCAATATGGGACCTGGAGTTCATACATTTCTAATCAACTCCTAAATGATATTGATGCTGATACTGTCGGTTTCCCAACCAAGCAACGTAGCAAGGTACGAAACTCTAAAGTCCCTAAAGGGCAGGGACCACGCCTCTCGCGTTGGCATAGTGCCTAGCTCAAGGCACTTTCTGGGTTAACACTCGCTGAGGACCGGAGTGAACGCCCCCGCCCCAAGTCGTCACGTGACTGACTTTCTCCAACTGCCGGTTTCGGCTCACATAACACACCTACTATCCAAAACATTTCTATTTTCCTAACACAAAAACTATAGCTAAGTTTTTATATTCTATGTAGCCCCAGCCTAGGACGTAAATTCCACGAGACCAAAAGCCTTGTGATGATTCCCCGAGGTTGCTGACCCTCCCGGTGTGTCCCGGGCCTGCTCTGGGGGACACAGCGGCGAATACGTTGAACGAGGCCCCTGTTTCACGGAGCTAAAGATCCAGTAAGGACTTCACCCAGCGAGAGGCAACTACGCCGGGCTTCGATACCCAATACCTCTGCAGAAAGGTGGAGTGGCAGGAATCTCCTGAAGCCTCCAACGTCCAGGAACGCGGAAACCCAGGGCCTCCAGTGCAGGTGTCATCCCGGAGGGCGCATGCGGAGTCCCAAGAGAGGCGCGTCCCATTGGACAATGCTGAGCGGAAGAGCCCAAGATAGCGGGGGGAGTTGTGACAGGCTGCTGCAGACGTACTTAGAAAAGGGGTGCATACTGGATATTCAGGCTAGGAGAAGAACGCAAAAAGCAGTGACGTACATTATTCTCTGCATATATTTACTTGGGAAATTGTGCGTCTCCCTATTCTGAGTCTTGGAGGAATTGGACTGGTCCAACCTTATAAAGAGAGCAGTAGAGCGCGGCAGTATAGAGAGTACCTCACGAAGGGGACGTGGGAAAGTGTTAGCGGGGAACGCTGGGAAACTCCCGGCCTCCGCCACCATCTTGCTTTCCTTTAATCCGGCAGTGACCGTGTGTCAGAACAATCTTGAATCATGAAGCTACTAACCAGAGCCGGCTCTTTCTCGGTGAGCTCAGGTGGCGGGTTTGGGAAAGGGCTGGGGAGCAGTGTGTCGACAAGGTGATACGAGGCGGAGGTGTCTGGTCTGGGGTCTGGGCCTTGGGATTCGGTCTGCCCTTCAGCTGAACCCTGCGGGCCAAGTGGGCTGCAGACTGGGTCAGGCTTTGGAGGCCCAGCTCATGCTGTGAGCACAAGAGACCTAACACCGGGAAACCTGAAGAGAGGGGCAGGACGTGAGAGCGGAGTTGAAGCGAGTCCTTGGAGAGACTTCTGAAGGTCACTCCGGTACTCAAGTGCTGGAGAAAGAGACCGTGAAACCCAGGGGGAGCGGGAGGACGGCGCACTTAGCCCCCCACCTTCACTTTATCCGCTGCAGCCTCTGCTCCTTGGTTTATCACGGAGCGTCAGTTTCCCCAGCGAATAAAAGTATAAGAAAGGAGCTAATGCAGATAGAACACTTATTACAGTACCTGGAACTTCATTGTTAAATACTATGGTGTCTTAGTAGTCTAACGTTGCTTTTCTTGATCGTATGTTAGACGGTTCCTCCAAGACGTCTCTGTTTGTCCTCAAAAGCTCCTTAATTAAGTTTCCCCTTCAAGCCTAAATTAAACATAGCTGTCACTTGGGGAAAACTCACACATCAGGGTTATATCACTGTGGGACAGTGGTTATTAAGAGGGGTAAGGGGGAACACTTAAAAAATCATAGCGAGGGACAGAATGCCCCCAGGGAACCGGTGGCGATGTTTGGAGACATATTTAGTTGCAACAACTTGTAAGGAGGGTGCTATTGGCATGGAGAGGCCAGGGATGCTGCTAAACTTCGCCTTACAGCAAAGAATTATCTAGCCCCAAGTGCCAGTAGTAGTACCTGTGTTGAGAAACCCCCCTAGATGGAGATGCAGAAGACCAGACCTGGGCATGGAATGTTCTTATGCTTTATGTTTACATAAATGTGCTGTGGGCTATATCGATTTAGGCTGTAATTGCATTAACCTTCCAGGTATACCTAGACACACCAGTGATTACCCTTGGAGGGAAGCACGGTTAGATTGGCAAAAGACCCCAACATTTCCTTCTCCATTCTATTTTGCAACAGAAAAAGCTCAGAGAAAACAGTTGGAGAGGCCCAAAGTAAACAAATTGCAGTAAACTTGAAAGCAATTATTTATGTGTCTAATTTTAGCACTTTATATAGGAGAATAAACTTAGATATATCTTGTTATTAGAACAAAATAATTTAGAAGATTGCATGACAGTTACTAGGATAATTTGCTGATTTGAATGGGACGATTAAGAAGCACATTACCGGCGGAGCGCGATGGCTCACACCTGTAATCCTAGCACTTTGGGAGTCAGAGGCAGGCGGATCACTTGAGATGAGGAGTTCGAAACCAGTCTGGCCATCATGGTGAAACCCCGTCTCTACTAAAAATACAAAAAAAAAAAAAATAGCCGGGCGTGGTGGTGGTGGGCGCCTCTAATCCCAGCTACTCAGGAGGCTGAGGCAGGAGAATCTCTTGAACCCAGGAGGCGGAGGTTGCAGTGAGCCGAGATCGCACCGCTGCACTCCAGCCTAGACGACAGAGCGAGACTCCGTCTCAAAAAAAAAAAAAAAAAAAAAATTACCAACAAAGAGTTACTATTTGGGCACATTTGGTTGGAAAACACCTAAAATCTCACTTGGTAACGGAATTATAGATTATTCATATTTGAATTGCTATGCCCATATATCTTAAAAGTTTACTTTTTGGAAAATTATAGGCCAAAATTACAAAGAAGGTTAACTATACCATACCCAGGAAACTAAATTGATGACGATAAAGTAAAGCTAATTGTAATTCATAACTGAAAAGCAGTACTAAAAGCAAGTGATAACCAGCAGCCAACCTAGTACAGCACTAATGATGTACAACAAACAGCCTTCTGGACAGCACAGAGTGGAGGCATTGCAGACTGTGCAGGGATGTCCGGGAAACTCCAGTGAGGAGGTGTTCATTGGGTCTTGGGAGCACCAAATTTTATTCACTCATCATCTCCTCTAATAACCTCATGAACTTTAGTCATAATCAGAATGATTTGTATGGCATTGTATAATATTTGCCAAAACAAACTGAATAAAATGAATGCATTTTGGGTCCATTATCTAATATTTAATGGGACCCTTTCACCCTACCAGTAACTGCATTTTATATATTGAGAATCTGATGTGGATGAAGCCATTATTAATCTCAGGATGACATACATGTCATAAATGTTTTATTTAGTCAAAAAAACTAAGACCTTTGGTTGTGTGGTCTTAATACAGCACACAAGAGTGAAGATACAATGGAAAATATTGAGGGCTTGGAGGAAGTTGGTATATACTTTGTCTTTTTCTTTTTTTTTTCTTGAGACGGAGTTTTGCTCTTGTTGCCCAGGCTAGACTGCAATGGCACAATCTCGGCTCACTGCAACCTCCGCCTCCCGGATTCAAGTGATTCTCCTGCCTCAGCCTCCCCAGTAGCTGGGATTACAGGCATGCATCACCACGCCGCGCTTATTTTGTGTTTTTATTAGAGATGGGGTTTCTCCATGTTTGTCAGGCTAGTCTCGAGCTCCTGACCTCAGGTGATCCGCCCACCTTGGCCTCCCAAAGTGCTGGGATTACAGGCGTGAGCCACCGCACCCGGCTAGTTTGTCTTTTTTAAAGGTTACTAAGATGATTAAGGAGATGAAACCATTTCAATTGGAAATTAGACTGAACGGATGACATTCATTGGGCAGATAAAAGAAGCAAGAAGCTGAAACCTATAAAAGGTTGTGGACACAGGCCAGGTGTGGTGGCTCCCACCTGTAATTCTAGCACTTTGTGAGGCCGAGGCGGGTGGATTGCCTGAGCTCAGGAGTTTGAGACCAGCCTGAGCTATGGGGTGAAACGCCATCTCTACTAAAATACAAAAAATTAGCCAGGCGTGGCAGCATGTACCTGTAATCCCAGCTACTTGGGAGGCTGAGACAGGAGAATCGCTTGAATCCAGGAGGCAGACATTGCAATGACCCGAGATCGCACTGTTGCACTCCAGCGTGGGACACAGAGCACGACTCCAACTCAACAAAAAAGGTTGTGGATGGGGTGATCTGACACTTTTTCAAAAAATGCCAAAGCTTTAGAACTACACAGAACCATGAAACTTTTATAAGGTAACTGAAAGATAAGAAAATACAGTGATTCTTTACATCATTTAAAAAATAAGCATCAAGAACTCTATAAATCACTAATAAATAGAGGTTTAAGAATGGCTTGGGTAAACTGGTGGGTTAGTAAGTCCATAATAAGTTATGCAGCTAGGCGGGGTGCAGTGGCTCACGCCTGTAATTCCAACACTTTGGGAGACCAAGGTGGGCAGATCACTTAAGATCAGGAGTTCAAGACCAGCTTGGCCAACACAGTGAAACCCCATCTCTACTAAAAAATACAAAACAAAAACTAGCTGGACATGGTGGCACGCACCTGTAATTCCAGCTATTTGGGAGGCTAAGGCAGGAGAATGGCTTGAACCCAGGAGGTAGAGGTTGCAGTGAGCTGAGATTGCGCCACTGCACTCCAGCCTGAGCGACAGAGAGACACTCTGTCTCAAAAAAAAAAAAAAAATGTTATGCAGGTAAATCCTCCCATGGAGGTGGTTATTGCTCCTTCCACCCCCGAACACCCTCTGTCGCTTGGGTACCCTAAGATACCATGCTTTTATATAAAGCACTGTTCTTGTGAGAAATACGTGTAACCTGTGTTTTTTATGTTTAGAGATTTTATTCCCTCAAAGTTGCCCCCAAAGTTAAAGCCACAGCTGCGCCTGCAGGAGCACCGCCACAACCTCAGGACCTTGAGGTTAGTCCCACTAACTTGCTCGCTGGAAGCTATACATGCCTTACTCTCCTTGGTAATACGAAGACATTCATTATATCTCTACTTTATTTTAAATACAGTTTACCAAGTTACCAAATGGCTTGGTGATTGCTTCTTTGGAAAACTATTCTCCTGTATCAAGAATTGGTTTGTTCATTAAAGCAGGCAGTAGATATGAGGACTTCAGCAATTTAGGAACCACCCATTTGCTGCGTCTTACATCCAGTCTGGTGAGTATCTTCACTTCCTCAAGTGTTTGGAAATGCTGTGGTATCTTGGTCCTGTGAAAAAGAAAAACTAAGATCAATGTCTTTATATTTTGATTCCTTGACCTGCCATAACAAATTACCACGGACTGGGTAGCTTAAACCAAATAAGTTTATCCTGTTACAGTTCTAGAGGCTAGAAGTCCAAGTCAAGGTGTCTAAGCCAAGCCAAGATATCAGCAGGGCTGTGATCCCTCTAAAGGTTCTAGGAAGGCACAAATCCTCCCCTGCCTGTTCCTAGCTTCCAGCAGTTGCCCACAACCCTTCATGTTCCTTGACCTGCAACTGCATCACTGCAGTCTCTGCCTTTGTTGTCACATGGCCTTCCTTCTGTCTGTGTCCACATTTCCTCCTGATAAGGATACCAGTTACATTAGATTTAGTGCCCACTATAATTCAATATGATGTCATCTTAAGTACTTAAATCTGCAGAGACCTTATTACCAAATAAAGTAACATGCAAATATTCTGGCTGGACATAAATTTGGGGGGGAACACTGTTAAACCCAGTACTGTCCCCTAATGTAAAATGAGAAACCACAAGATATTTGCCACAGAGAAGCACTAAATTAGTATCCATATGAATGTTGATGTTAGAGCATAAGAAATCAGTAAACAAATTTTTAACAGGAAGTGCCGCAAATTGAAAGAAAATTAACTCTTTTTTTCCCATATACAAGTCTCTTTCAGAATAGACTAATGAATCCAGTAAGCTTGTATTTGACAGTGGAAATTTTACATGAATGTACTTAATGTAAAAATGTATACTTAAGCTTTTTGTTGAGCCTTGTTTTATAATTCTTAACTAAAAAGGATGCAGGAATTTAGTAAAATTCTTTTTAAATCTGCTCACAACAGATTTTGATATAGTGTGATGTTTGGCAAACTTGGCATTGAAAAGCTACAAAGATAATCATTCTTTCTTTTTCAAGACGACAAAAGGAGCTTCATCTTTCAAGATAACCCGTGGAATTGAAGCAGTTGGTGGCAAATTAAGGTTTGTTAAATAAGTAATAGAAAATAGTGAAAATGCCAGAAAATATTCAATTTTAAGGGAACTTTTCTCTGTTATCAAGGAGGTTGAGGATTTCTTAAGCAACATAAGAAGGAAAAGACTGATGAATTTGAGTATATCAAACTGTAAAACATCTTTATGTCTTAAAGTAAAAATTTAAGTAACTGTCTGGGAGTAGATATCTGCAATATATAGGCATACCTCAGAGATGTTGCAGGTTCTGTTCCAGACCACCACAATGAAGGGAATATTGCAGCAAAGCAAGTCATAGGAATTTTGTGGTTTCCCAGTGCATATAAAAGTTATGTTTACACTATACTGTGGTCTACTAAGTGTACAATGACATTTTGTCTTGGAAAAAAAGTACATAACCTTAATTTTAAAATATTTTATTGCTTTAAAAATGTTAACAGTTATCTGAATCTTCAGCAAGTCATAATCTTTGCTGGTGGAGGGTCTTGCCTCCACGTTAATGGCTGATGACTGATCAAGGTGGTGGTTGCTGAAGGTGGTGGTGACTGATAATTTCTTAAAATCAGACAACAGTGAAGTTTGCTGCATTGATTGACTCTTCCTTTTGTGAAAGACTTCTCTGTAGCATGAGATGCTGTTTTTAGCCGTTTACCCACAGAACTTCTTTCAAAATTAGTCAGTCATCTCAAACCTTACCACTTTTTTATCAACCAAGATTATGTAATATTCTTTTTTATCATTTCGACAGTGTTCACAGCATCTTCAACCAGGAGCAGATTCTATCTCAAGAAACCACTTTGTTTGCTCATCCATAAGAAGCATCTCCTCATCTGTTCAAGCTTTATCATAAGATTGCAGCCATTCAGTCACATCTTCAGGCCCCACTTCTAGTTCTCTTGCTACTCCCACCATAGTTGCAGTTTCTTCCCCCTCTGAAGTCTTGCCTCTCAGAGTCATCCATAAGGGTTGGAATTGGCTTCTTCCAAACTCACGTTAATGTTGATACTTTGACATCCTCCCATGAGTCACAAATGTTCTTAATGGTGTCTAGAATGGTGAATTCTTTCCAGAAAGTTTTTTAATTTACTTTGCCCAGATCCATCAGCGTCTTCACTATCTGTGGTAGCTGTAGCCTTACAAAATGTATTTCTTAAATAATAAGACTTGAAAATAAAAATTACTCCTTGATCCATGGGGTGCAGAAGGGATGTTCTATTAGCAGGCATGAAAACAGTGTCAATCTCCTTGTACATCTGCATCAGAGCTCTTGGCATTGTTGCAGTAATAATTTGAAAGGAATCTTTTTTCTGAGCAATGGGCTTAAAATATTCAGTCAACCATGCTATAAACAGATGTACTATCATCCAGGCTTTTTTGTTCATTTACAGAGCATAGGCAGAGTAGATTTAGCATAATTCCTAAGGGCTCTAGGATTTTGAGAATGGTAAATGACCTCATCCTAAAGTCACCAGCTGCATTAGTCCCCAACAAGAGTCAGCTTGTCGTTTGAAGCTTTGACGCCAGGCATTGACTTCTCTAGCTACGAATGTCCTGGACGGCATCTTCCAATGTAAGGCTGTTTTGTCAGCATTGAAAATCTGTGGTTTAGTGTAGCCACCTTCATCGATGATCTTATGTAGATCTTCTGGATAACGTGCTGCAGCTTCTATATTAGCATTTGCTGCTTCACTGTGTACTATTATATTAAGAAGATGGCTTCTTTCCTTAAAGCTCATGAACTAACCACGGCTAGCTTCAGACTTTTCTTCTGCATCTCACCTCTCTCAGCCTTCATATAATTGAAGAGAGTTAGGGCATTGCTCTGGATTAAGCTTTGACTTAAGGGAATACAGTTTGATCTAATCCAGACCAGTAAAACTCTGTATTATCAGCAATAAGTCTGTCTTGCTTTCATATCATTTATGTGTTCAGTGGAGTAGCACTATTAGTTTTCTTCAAGAACTGCACTGGTGCAAGAGGCCTAGCTTTTGACCTGTATCCGTTTTTAACATGCCTTCCTGACTTCCTTAGAAGCTTAATCCTTTCTAGCTTCTGATTTAAAGTGAGAGACATGAGACTCTTCCTTTCACTTGTATACTTAGGGGCCATTGTCGGGTTATTCATTAGCTTAATTTCAATATTGTTGTGTCTCAGGAGTAGGAATATCCAAAGAGAGGGAGAAAGACTTGGGGAGCAGCTGGTCAGTGGAACACTCAGGACAGAAACAGCATTTCTTTTTTTTTAATTAATTTATATTAAAGACAGGGTCTTGCTCTGTTTCCCAGGCTGGAGTGGAGTGGTGCAGACATACCTTATTGCAGCCTTGAACTCCTGGGCCCAAGCGATTCTTCTCCCTCCGCTTCCCAAGTAGCTAGGACTATAGGCACATGACTCCATGCCTGGCTAATTTTTTATTTTTTGTACAAATGGAGGTCTCACTATGTTGCCCAGACTGGTCTTGAACTCCTGGCCTCAGGTGATCCTCTCACCTCAGCCCAGCATGCTGGGATTGCAGATGTGAGCCACTGCACCCAGCCCAGATTTTTTATATATTGTGTTGTCAGTGGTAAAGATGATAGAGAATGTCTCATTCTGCTGATAGGAGTATAAATTGATACAACCACTTAGGAAAGAATCAAGGAATATCTGGTAATATTGAAAAACCCCACAGTTTTTAATCACATTCACAAAGGTATTCTTTATAAAGACTGGAAACGATCTAAGTGTCCATCTTTAGGGAAATGGGTAAAGTATGACAGAGTCATGATGAGACCACTATACAGCCATTACGGAATGAACTAGATCCATACGTCAACATAGCACAACTGAAGGGCAAAATAGAGTGTGAACAAGCAAGTTTCAAGATTTCTTTAAGGTATTTTAATTTTTTAAGCAGAAAAATACTATGTAGTGCTTATGATTGTGGTTTCCAGAGTGGGAGAGAGTGAGGGAATTGGTCTTGGAAGGGTACGAAAAGATCTTCAACTTTATTTGCCATTTTAAAAAATTGTGGTCAAATGTATATAACATAAAATTTATATATATATATATATATATATATATATATATATATATATATATTTTAGACAGTCTCGCTGTGTCGCCCAGGCTGGAGTGCAGTGGCATGATCTTGGCTCACTGTAACCTCCGCCTCTTGGGTTCAAGCGATTCTCCTGCCTCAGCCTCCGTGGTAGCTGGGATTACAGGCGTGCGCCACCATGCTTGGCTAATTTTTGTATTTTCAGTAGAGACCATGGTTTCACCCTGTTGGCCAGGCTGGTCTCAAACTCCTGACCTCAAGTGATCCGCCCACCTCGGCCTCCCAAAGTGCTGGGATTACAGGTGTGAGCCACTGCGCCCGGCCCAAATTTATCATTTTCTTAAGTGTGCAGTTAAGTGGCATTCAGCAACCATCACCAACATTCAGCTCCGGAACTTTTCTATCTTCTCCCACCTGAAATTCTGTACCTGTTAAACAATGGCTGCTCATTCTCCCCTCCCCTCAGCCTTTGGCAACTGCCATTCTCTTTTCAGTCTCTACAAATTTGACTACTCCAGGTACCTCATAAGTAGAATCATACAATATTTGTCCCTTTGTGACTGGCTTATTATCCTTAGCATAATGTCCTCAGGGTTCATCTGTGTTGTAACATGTGACCAGATTTCACTCCTTTTAAGGTTGAATTATTTGCTGGTTTTTAAAAAAATTTTGAATTTTAGTTGGTTAATATGTGGAGTTTTGTTATATTATTGTTCGCACCTTTTATACTTCAGAAATTTTCTTTCCAAAGGAATTGGTTGATAGAAGATTATAAGGGAAAGCTTACTATCCTGATTCAGATGATTTACTCTAGTTTATTTTCCGATTCAGTGTGACCGCAACAAGGGAAAACATGGCTTATACTGTGGAATGCCTGCGGGGTGATGTGTAAGTACCTGTGTGTGTTTAGGACTTCTGCTTTGAAAGAAATACTAAGCTGCTCACTTCTGGTCTTTGTAATGCGTCATTATGACCTCTGACTTCCATTTTGGATTATTGTTCATAAACTGCTCAAAAACACTGCTTACCACAAGACCTAAAGTTTCACATTGAGAGCATTACAGCTATGTAGAATCTCAAATGTTGGCTTTACATTTTTGACTCATAATTCTTATCTCGATGTCTTCTGTAGTGATATTCTAATGGAGTTCCTGCTCAATGTCACCACAGCACCAGAATTTCGTCGTTGGGAAGTAGCTGACCTTCAGCCTCAGCTAAAGATTGACAAAGCTGTGGCCTTTCAGAATCCGCAGACTCGTAAGTACATTTCCAGATCACATTTGATTCTAAGATACTGGGTTTTTTAGAAGATCAATTTATAGAAGAAAAAAAATTGCTGTCAAAATTTTTATTTTTATTTTTATTTATTTATTGTTTTGAGACAGAGTCTCACTCTGTCACCCAGGCTGGAGTGCAGTGGCACGATCTTGGCTCACTGCAACCTCCAGCTCCCGGGTTCAAGCAATTCTCCTGCCTCAGCCTCCTGAGCAGCTGGAATTATAGGTGTGCACCACCACACCTGGCTAATTTTTTGTATTTTTAGTAGAAACAGGGTTTTGCCATGTTGGTCAGACTGGAGTTCAGTCTTGAATTCCTGGCCTCAAGTGATCCACCCACCTCAGCCTCCCAAAGTGCTGGTGTTACAGGTGTGAGCCACCATGCCTGGCCAAATGTTTTACTCCTTGAATTTGAAAATATCTTTTTCAAAAATTTGTTATTTAGATTTATTATTCTTTTGTTTCTAAACATTTATAATCATTTTTCATGTTTGATGGTAAGTAAATTGTTTGTAAGATCCTAGAAGTTTTTCCTGTTTCCTTCCCAATGTTTTGTTTTTGTTTGTTTGTTTGTTTGTTTTTGAGACAGGGTGTTGCTTGTTGCCCAGGCTGGAGTGCAGTGGCACAATCTCACTGCAGCCTGAACCTTCTGGACTCAGGTGATCCTCCTACCTCAGCCTCCTGAGTAGCTGGGACTACAGGCACACACCACCGCACCCTGCTAATTTTTATTTTTATTTTTTTATAGAGATGAGGTCTCACTCTATTGCCCAGGCTGGTCTCGAACTCCTGGGCTGAAGTGATCCTCCCACCTCAGCTTCCCAAAGTGCTGGGATTACAGGCGTGAGCCACTGTGCCTGACCCCTAGTGATTTTTAAGAGTTGTTTTGCTTACCCCAAATCCTACACCAGTTTATTGCTGCTGCTATTATTGCTTACTATTGTATTGCTATTATTGTTTAGCCATCTCCTCTTTATTGAGTCTTTCCAAAGTAAGTAACTTAATTTTTTTAATAGGAATCTTTTTTGCATTCATATTTTATGTTTATATAATGTCTAATTATATAATCTTGACAAGTACAACTGGTAATACAAGTCTGTAAGCAAGCGCCGCTGACTCTTGGGAGTCATACAACTTCTGGTGGGAGCAGAAATGTGCAGGAAGAGCAGAAATAGCTCAACTCAGTGGCTCAGCATGGGACAGGCTCCCCTCCACATGCAGGCCTGGGGACTGATGTTATTTCATGATGATGCTTGGTGTCACAGAGGAGCATTATCTTTGTTGCTCAGGATTTCTACTGAAGAAATAGATAGAATAGTACAATTTTAGAAAAGATGACCTATGTGTCCAGAGTGGCTTCTTCCCCACTGGCGGCAGTGAGGCACCAGCCTGCATCTATTCTGCCTGAACAGTTACTGTGTAGTCTCCTGGCTGGTGTCAGCCTCCAGGTTTACGTCTTGAGTCCATCTCCCACACGGCCATTACAGTGATCCTTCTGACGTGAAAGTAAGCCTTCTTATTATCTATGGGATAAAGTCCAAACAGCATATACGTATATGGCCTTGCGTGATCTTACCCCAGCCCACTTCTCTTACTTTATGCTCTACCCTCTTCTCCTTCCAGCTGCAATTCCCATTTGAATCAAATTATTGTTATACTTTATGCCTTTGTTTTGTCTGCTTCCTGTGCCTAAAATGCTGTTCCCAAATGATTTCCCCTGGGAAACACCAGCTCATTCTGTAAGATGGATCCCACATATTACTTGTATTAATTGTTTTCCAATTCCCACTGCCCTTGCCTTGTACCTCTACTGCACTTTTGACACACTGCCGACATTGCACCCATAATACTTTATTTCACAGTTTTTCCTCTTAAAATTTGAGGGCAGGCATTGTATGTTCCACATCTCTGTATTTCTAGCACCTAGCACAGTGCCTCGCATAGGCAAGTTGCCAGGTAATGAGCAACTGAAGGAAATACTGCAGGCAAAAAGGCATTGAAGCAAGAAAGCAGGGAAAGCACCAAGCACCACAGAGGAGTAAGTCCCAGTGGAAGCTCCCATTGGTCCCCTGAAAGCTACCTGACAATCTCCTTATTACCTAGAGAGGAAACCTAGGAGTAAGTAAAATTCAGATTAAATGACTTGTCCAAGGTCACATGGCAAGATGGCGGCAGAACCATAACTAGATGGGGACTTCCCAAAACCCAGGCCAGTATACCTTCCAAGTGATACCAGCTAGGTTAAAGTTAGAAAAGTGGTTTAGGTGGACTCCAGTATATAGAAGCTGCTGCCATGTAATCTTTTTTATTTTTTTCTCAGCACATTCTACTGGCAGAAACTGGCAGTTACTAGAGGTTAAATAATAATAAATTTTAAGTCCTCTTAACATATGAATGCCAGAAGATGACCAAATTTGTATAGGCTTGTTGCTTTCTAGGTTTTAAAAATGTTGTCTTTACTGAAAGTGCATTTCCCTAAATGCTTCTTCACTTATCTCACAGATGTCATTGAAAATTTGCATGCAGCAGCTTACCGGAATGCCTTGGCTAATCCCTTGTATTGTCCTGACTATAGGATTGGAAAAGTGACATCAGAGGAGGTACCAATAAAACATATTTTGAAATGTGCTTGTTTTTCACATTAAATTGAACATCTCCCATTTCAGGTTTGTTTGTTAATTTTTCCTTTTATCTTCTAACTTTAAGAAATTCAGCGTGCTAGCTTTTTCATCCACCTGCTTTTTAACTAAAATTTTATCTGAACAATTTTTGTGTCTCCTTTAAGAAATGTTTTCATGACTAAAGGGACATGATCATTACAGAAAAATTAAAAAGTAAAATCAAACAAAATGAAGGGAAAGAAAACATCTCACATACCTAAAGGCACTCAGTGTTAATACCTGGTATATTTTCTTCTAAACCGTTTTCTGTGTGTATGTATCTTTTTTGTTTGTTTGTTTTAAATACGGGGTCTTGCTGTGTTGCCTAGGCTGGTCTTGAACTCTTAAGCTCAAGCAGTCCTTCTGCCTATGCCTCTCAAAGTGCTGGGATTACAGGCATGAGCCATTGCACCCAGCCTGTGTATCTTTTTTAAACAGTATTTAAATGTTTAAGTATCATAATAGGGGCTGGGCCCAGTGGCTCATGCGTGTAATCTCAGCACTTTGGGAGGCCAAGACAGAGGGATCACTTGAGGCCAGGAGTTCAAGACCAGCCTGGGCAACATAGCAAGACCCTGTCTCTACAAAAAAAAAAAATATATATATGTGTGTGTGTATACATATATATAAAATAGGTCCTTTGACTAAAACTCTTTGGTCTCTCTGAATTTGTAAATAAGACTTGAGCCCACTTCCTTAGCTCCTGTTCCATCCTCGCTCACTCATTCACGTTCTTCAGCACACCAGCCTCCGTTTGCTGGCTATAGGGGTTTGTCACATGCCACAGCCATATGTGCATCTTAGAACTTTGTTTCCAAAACATGAAACATTGAATGCTAAATCTACAAGTGTAGATATGTGCGTATAATCTTAATTTCCTATTCCTACCACCCAGACCCAAAAACAAATTTTATCAAAAGACATTAAGAGAAAAATTTGTAATTATCAACACCTTCAAAGTATATCTGACTCAAAAATTCAAGGTTTTTATTCTCGTTTTATTCTTAGTTAGCTGTTACAGAAAACTAAACTGTATCCCTTGCTCTTTTTGACTTATCAATTAACAGTTTGATGCCTTTCATTCATATGGCACTTTTATTTAGAAATTTTAACTTACATCATCCAACTTGAACAGGCAGCCGTTTTCATAAGACTGGACTCTAATGAGTTTTGAAATTTTTCAGAAATCAAATTCACCCTCATGAAGATGTGTCATTAAGTTAGCTAAAACTTAGCAAAAGTTTATCTACAAGGATGGCTATTGTAATACTAGTTTATAATTGTGAAAAATTAGAAACAAGTTAATATCCAGCATTAGGGAACTAGTTAAATAACTTATAGAATGGAACAGTATTCAACCATTCAAAAATATTAGTTGATACATAAAACTCCACAGCATGTTGTCACATAAAGCAATTTATGGATTAGGACATACCAAAAGGTCCCTTTTTTTTAATAAAAGGTATGTATGTATGCATTATAGACAAATATCAAGATGTTAACTGTGATAACTTGGTTATCTCAAAGTTAATAGTATTTTTTAAATGTGTCCCTAGGCTAAAGGAAACTCTAAAGAAATTGGCGCTAGAATACTTGGAGCAATGGCAGCATCAATAGAAAAACATCAATAGAAAAAGAGTATGACTTTCCAAGGTTACTCCATAGGTACAGACACCATTCATTTTAGGGCACGGATTATGATAAATTGATTAAAAGTTCAGTTTCATTACTTTAGCCCAGTGATTCTCAAAACGTTATCACTTTCCTTCCTGAGGAGCCTTTCTAGCCATTTTTTTCTAAACCTCTTACTTTTAATACCACAGATAGAGTTTATGTGCTGTATATTTGTACTTTTTACATAGAAGTCGTAAGTTTTTTTTTTTTCTTAGTTACCCCAAACCAATTTTCACCCATCTGGAAAGGATAGCATTTCTGTTGAAAGTACATGTTTTAGCCCTACTTTTGTATATTAAGCCTAAGGTGGTAATATAAACCAGTGATAACCAAGTCTCACCAATCTTCAGATCGCCTGAGTGGTTGATTGGATGGATGGGTAGTTGGTCGGTTTTAAATAAGGATTCTAGGATTCCACATTTAATATTTTATATCAGTCTGTAGGGTAAGTCCCAAGAATGGGGGACAGTGACCGTTTTTGTTTTTCAAGCTGAGTAATTGTGATCTTACAGTTTCGACACCCTGGTATAGACAATGACTTCATGGTCAGAAAAGCTTTATAGAGATTGGCTTCAAAGATGGACGAGAAGGGTGTTGTGGTAAAACTCTGTTAGCCCTGTTATAGAATGTTAATAGTGCTTCATTACTACTTATATAAACACAAAAGAAACCTGACATACTACGTAAGCTACATTATAATAAAAATCATAGTCCACGTTTTCAAGTTTAGGCCAGTGTATGCTCTAATTTCTTTTTATTCCTTTTTTTTTTTTTTTTTTTGAGACAGAGTCTTGCTGTGTCGCCCAGGCCAGAGTGCAATGACACGATCTCAGCTCACTGCAACCTCTGCCTCCTGGATTCAAACAATTCTCGTGCCTCAGCCACCCATGTAGCTGGGATTACAGGCGTGCACCACCATGCCTGGCTAATTTTTGCATTTTTAGTAGAGTCAGGATTTCGCTGTGTTGCCCAGGCTGGTCTCAAACTCGTGGCCTCAAATGATCCGCCAGCCTTGGCCTCCCAGAGTGCTGGGATTACAGACATGAGCTACTGCACCCAGCCTCTTTTTATTCCTTTTATAAATAACAGCTTTGTTGAGATGTAATTCACCATACTATACAACCTATTTAAAGTGTACACAATTCAGTGGTTTTCATTATATTCACAGAGTTGTGCAACCATGACCACAATTAGGTTCTAGTTCTTTTAAGCAATAGTTTTTATAATAAAATCCCAGGGTAATTCACCTCAGTTAGTACCTTGTAGTTCATTACAGCAACTTATAAGGCCTTATAAGTATTTATTTTCTTCCAAACTGTACTTTTATGTTTTTACAGCTTTTTATATTTATGCTAATATAACCTAATAAGTGTTTTTAACTTCCTCAGTTACATTACTTCGTTCAGAACCATTTCACAAGTGCAAGAATGGCTTTGATTGGACTTGGTAAGTTTAGAGTATTGCCTGCCTGTCAGTTTGCTTCCTTAAGAGCAGTTCCTTAAACTGTAATTACGTGAACATAGGATTGAACAAAATTTGAAAACTTCGGCCTTCTATTTATGTCAGACAGGCAATATATCATAGGATTTTAATTGCTAGTCATTTGTTTTGGAAAGCAGAATCCAACATTTAAATTTGTAAACCACTGGCTTTAAATTCTTTACAGTATTTGTAAAACCTGTGACAAAGGTGAATTTCTCAAAGCAAAGAGCTTTTACAAACTTTTTTAAAAGGAAGTACAGCTTACTAGAAAAACAGGCAAAGGGCATGAACAGACAGTTCATGGGAGAAATATGTTTGTATATGTGTAGCCAACTATCTTTGTTTTAAATGATCAGCCTCACTAATAATTAAGAAAATTTTAATCTGTGATGTTGGCAAAATTAAAAGATGGACTCTGCCCAGAATTAACCAGGGTATGGAGAAATAGGCACTCTCACAAATTGTTAGTAGGAATATAAACTAGTACAACATTTTGGGAGATCTTTTTGAACATATCTGTTAAAATTCTAGGCTGGGCATGGTGGCTCATGCCTGTAATCCTAGCACTTTGGGAGGCTGAGGCGGGCGGATCACCTGAGGTCAGGAGTTCAAGACCAGCCTAGCCAACATGGCGAAACCCCGTCTCTACTAAAAATACAAAAATTAGTCGGGCATGGTGACACATGCCTGTAATCCCAGCTATCGGGGGGCTGAGGAGGAGAATCGCTTGAACCCAGGAGGCAGTGATTGCAGTGAGCTGAGATCGTGCCACTGCACTCCAGCAAGGGCGACAGAGTGAGACTCTGTCTCAAAAAAATACAATTCCAAATGTTTACACTCATAGACCCAGTGACTTTTAAGAATTTGTCTTACAGAAACATTAGGTCAAGTTTACAAAGTAGTTGCATGAGAATATCATTTGTAATATTTTTTGTTTTGTTTTGCAAATTACAGCTTAAGATATAATTTACATGCTATAAAATTCACCCTTTTGAAGTGAATAGTTCTGTGGTTTTTAACAGATTCAACTATTACCACTACCTAATTTCAGGGTGTGTTCATCATCCCCCAAAAAGCCCCATACCCATTAGCAGTCACTCCCCATTCTCATCTTCCCCCTGCCTGTGGCATCCACTAATCTACTTTGTTTTTGTTTTTTTTTTTAAAGAGATGGAGGTCTCATTCTGTTGCCCAAGCTGGAGCACAGTGGCACAATCATAGCTCACTGCCTTGAACTCCTAGGCTCAGGTGATCCTCCCACCTCAGCCTCCTAAGTAGCAATAATCTACTTTGTCTCTATAGATTTGACTATTCTGGACATTTCCTATAAATGGAGTCATACGATATGTGGCCTTTTGTAACTGGCTTTTCTTACTTAGCATAATGTTTTCAAGGTCCGTCCATATTGTAGCATGTGTCAATTCAATGTCTTATTCCCTTTTATGGCTCAAGAATACTCCATTACCACATTTTGTTTATTCATTGATTGGCATTTGGGTTGTTTCTACCTTTTGGCTGTCGTAAATATAAACATTCACGTGTACATTTTTCTTAGGAAACCTGTTTTTAGTTCTTTTGGTTATGTCTAAGAACAGAATTGCCAGGACATATGGTAACTCTGTTTAACCATTTGGGGAACTGCCAGACTGTTTTCCAAAGTAGCTGCACCATTTTACATTCCCACCAGCAATGCACAAAGGTTTTGATTTCTCCACATCCTCACCAACACTTATCGTCTGTCTTTCTGATTATGAACAACCTACTGGGTGGGAAGTGGTCATTGTAGTTTTGATTTGTATTTCCCTAATGACAAATGACATTGAACATATTTTCATGTGCTTTTTGTCCATTTGTATAACTTTTTTTGTTTGTTTGTTTTTTTGAGACAGAGGCTTGCTCTGTTGCCCAGGCTGGAGTGCAGTGGCGCAATCTCAGCTCACTGCAACCTCCACTTCCCAGGTTCAAGCAATTCTCCGGCCTCAGCCTCCCGAGTAGCTGGGATTACAGGTGCATGCCACCATTCCTGGCTAATTTTTGTAATTTTAATAGAGATGGGGTTTCACCATGTTGGCTGGACTGGTCTCGAACTCCTGAGCTCAGGTGATCCACTTGCCTCGGCCTCCCAAACTGTTGGGATTACAGATGTGAGCCACCGTGCCCAGTCAACTTTGGAGAAATGTCTATTCAAGTCTTTGCCCATTTTTAAGTTTTTTTTTTTAATTGTTGAGTTGTAAAGGTTCTTTATATATTTTGGTTACTCAAGCTGTTAGCAGATATATTATCTGCAAATATTTTCCTGCATTTCATGGGTCCTCTTTTTACTTTCTTGATACAGTGTTCTTTGATGGACAATGCAATGTTGTTTTAAGAGCTAACTATTAGAAACATGCTAGCGTCCATTAGGAGGGGATTGATCAAATAAATGGTGGTAGAGCCATAGAAAGGGATTCTTTATAACCATTAAATATTTGATGTAGACTACTCACTTAGAAATTTGTAAATTATGAAAGATAAGTTAGAAACAATATCAATAGAATGATACCATTTTAGAAATAAATTGAAGATAATATTAACTACACAGAAAATTCTAGATGAATAGTAATACTAAGTATATAGTAAATAGTTTAGTAATAGTAAACTGTAATTGGGTATCTCTGGGAGAGTGGCATTATGGCAGGAAGACTCTTATTTATTTTGTAGTGTTAGGATTTTACAATCGTATTTTTAAAACAAGGAAAAAATATTTTACGATTGTGTTTTAGTAATTGTGGTTCTAGCTTTGTTTTTGCTTCTGTTGAAACAGGTGTGAGTCATCCTGTTCTAAAGCAAGTTGCTGAACAGTTTCTCAACATGAGGGGTGGGCTTGGTTTATCTGGTGCAAAGGCCAACTACCGTGGAGGTAAGCATTTCATTCTATTAGGGTTAATTTATCAGAAGGGCGTTTCCCCACTAGAATAGCATATTGAGGTGGAATAGGCCTGAATATTTACTACTGAACAGTCTCGGCATAGAATTGGATGGCTTGGGTGTTGTATTTTGAGCATATGTTTTGTGTGTGTTTGGGGACAGGATGGCATGGGGAAAGCACCGAGCCGCAGAAAAGACTCGTGGGTTAATACTGTGTTGTAGGAAATACTGGAGAATGAAACCAATGGTGAACAAGCCATTTTCTTCTTCCCTCTATCCTTAATCTGGCCCCAGGTGAAATCCGAGAACAGAATGGAGACAGTCTTGTCCATGCTGCTTTTGTAGCAGAAAGTGCTGTCGCGGGAAGTGCAGAGGCAAATGCATTTAGTGTTCTTCAGCATGTCCTCGGTGCTGGGCCACATGTCAAGAGGGGCAGCAACACCACCAGCCATCTGCACCAGGCTGTTGCCAAGGCAACTCAGCAGCCATTTGATGTGAGTCTGAACAGTTGGTATCTCTCTTTTTGCTTTCAAAGGCTCAGTATTTAAGATATAATTCTGATAATCTACTCTTAAAATGTAAGACAAACACACAGAAAATCTTTGTACAATTGAAGAGATAGCCAGGCTTGATTTTAGTATCTTTGAAGGCCTATCAAAAACTCACTGGCTTTTCCACTTTGTCTATTACTTGTCATTAGTAATATAAAAAGAGGAATTGAATGCTTAGAAATAAAGGGAATCCACACATCCGTTCCCTTTAGAATAAAGTTGTAGATATTAAACTTTCCCCTAGATTCTAACTAGTCTTTTTTTCTAGATTTTCTTCTGTCCGCTTCTGTTCTTTTGGTTACTTCCTGAATCTCACTATTTGTTTTCCAACCAAGTGGACAAGATGAACACCAAGAAATTGTTTACAGACTCACTCATTCAGCTTGAGATTAAATTTGAAAAGAAAAATGAGAGGCTGGGCACAGTGGCTCACAACTAAAATCCCAGCACTCTGAGAGGCCGAGGTGGGCGGATCACTGGAGGTCAGGAGTTCGAGACCAGCCTGGCCAACGTGGTGAAACCCCCATCTCTCCTAATCCAATGAAGTAATTTAATAGAAATTCCTAGTTCAGAACTCAGCCAGAAATTTAGAGTATAAATAGGATGGCCTCAGAATTATAATTAAAGAAATTGAAGTCCAGGCCAGGCACAGTGGCTCACGCCTGTAATCCCAGCACTTTGGGAGGCCAAGTTGGGCGGATCACAAGGTCAGGAGATCAAGACCATCCTGGCTAACACAGTGAAACCCTGTCTCTACTAAAAATACAAAAATTGTCTGGGCGTGGTGGCGCACGCCTGTAGTCCCAGCTACTTGGGAGGCTGAGGCAGAAGAATCACTTGAACCCAGGAGGCGGAGGATTCAGTAAGCTGAGATCGTGCCACTGCACTCCAGCCTGGGTGACAGAGCAAGACTCTGTCTCAAAAATATATATAAATAAATAAATAAAAGAAATTGAAGTGCCTTCTTATGCTTTACATGGACTGAGCCAATGGTTCTCCAAGTTTATTGTACATAAGAATTACCTGGAACACTTGTTAAAAATCTGGGCTTCCAGGCTGCATCCACAGGGACCTGAGTCAGTAGGTCCATTTTGGGAATCTGAAAGTTTGTATTTTTAATAAGAACTTAGATAATTTTTATGTAAATGGTCCACATAAACACTGCAAATCGGGTTCACCCTAGAGAGCTAAAAGCTCTGCTCAAACTAGATAACAATATCCCTGTTATTCAGAGGTTAAACTCTTGATAGCTTGGACATCTGGATAATGACCACTAAGCAGAAATTTTTCTCTAACTTTCTGACATGAGTGTATAAGAGAAATGAAAGTAAATTGGTGAAAAAGTCCCTACCAACAGCAGAGAGAAGAAACCTGGTCTGCCTAATGCCAAAGCCTATCTATATTATAATAATAATGTTTGCAGATTAGTGTTTGCATAAACCTTTAATCATCTAAAGCAGGTTAGAAAATACCCAGCATAAAGGAAAGGGAGCAGTCATTTTAGAAATATTTAAATGAAAAAACAAAGCCGTGATAGTTCTGAAAGAGGTAACCTATTTACAGAATACTTCAGTTCGTGACAGAACTGGCTAAGTAAAATATTAATCTATTTTGTTTATACCGTGAAGGTCCAAGTTTTTTCTAGGCAAACTTAAAGAAATCGTGCCCTGTTTTACTTGGTAGAATATCATACAGTAAAGTCTCATTATCTTTCAGGTTTCTGCATTTAATGCCAGTTACTCAGATTCTGGACTCTTTGGGATTTATACTATCTCCCAGGCCACAGCTGCTGGAGATGTAAGTTGCAAACTCACCAAACTTCTTTCATGAACAAGTTATTTCTCCCCCCCGCCATAAACATGTTTTCGGTTAAAATATGGAATGTTTGAATGCAGTGCAATGACTTATCAGAGCTCTGTATAGTATGATGTCATTGAAGCATTATCTGCTATAGGGAAATTTACACATGTATACTAATGCTTCCAGGAAAGAGGAGAGAATTGCCTCCTTCATGTTTTGGTTCTGGTTGGACAAGTTGCATTGAGTTGGCTCTGAGACATCTAAATTGAGAACCCAGGAGAGGGGAAGACCAGGAGGTTTATTTGCAAGTCTTCAGTGTAGAGATTGTGTTGAAATCAGGGATATGTGTGAATGATTGTAGGAAAAGAAAACTAAAGCTCAATTTCTGGGAAACAACACCATTTAAGGAGCAAGTGGCTAAGAAAAATGGCCCAGGTAAACAGAAAGAAAAAGAGAAGCTGATATATTTGAAGGATAGGAAAGAGAGTATGTTTAACACCATTTTGACCCACAGTGAAATAACATTCATTACCACTGAGAAGTCTGGTAGTTTCAGCAAGCTAGGACATCATGGGTGATCTTAACAGTTTTGACTAGAGTAGTGGAAATTGGGTAAAATGTGTAGTGATTAAGGAATGAATGACAAGTAAGAAATGAGAGGTTGGTGTGGGCTAGTGGAGCTTAGACATTCAAGGAGCAAGTTGTTTTAGGAGAGTTTACACTGAGAGATTAGGTTGAAAGAGACATACTGAGCAAAAAGATCGGAGCAGATATCGGAGATAGAAAATTATAAATGGCTCAAGTCTGAGAAAGGAATACTTGGGATCCAGCACACAAGTGGACCTTTTAGCCTTACAGACAGGCTAATATTGGAAGATATTGGGAAGATGGGGAAGTACCTCCTCAGTGAGACAGGAGGCTAAGTCATGTTTTGACAGACGTGAGAGGAAAGTTTAAAGAAAGTAGTGAAGTTTGGGACAGACAAATAGTGAGGTACACAAAAAGTGGGTATTCGCTGTAGTGTAGATGTATCCTTGAAATCAGCGACCACAAATTCATAGTACAGTCAGTCAGCACTGTCATGTAATTTTTCTTCAGTTGCATTCAGAAGCCTAATAGAGAAATGGAGGAGGTAGGTATTAGGGTTAATCCCAGGTTGGAATCCTGCAAAGTGGGCAGGTGAGAAGTATGAGGAGATAGCAAGGGAGTTGGGAGCATTGGCAAGAGTGATTAAAAGGATGATTCAGGGATCTAGGCTCAATAGAGAAGTGAAGCCAGAGGGGGCCTGATAAATTGAAAGACTGGACAAGTCAAGGAACTAGAGATCTTGATAAAGTGGAAGAATAAGGATAGTGAGATTAAAGACTGAGGTCGGGGTCTTAGAATTGAGGGCTTCAGAGGTATGCAAATTTAGGCTATGATCAGGTCTGGGGTGTGGCTCTGAAAATGGGCAGCTAAAATGAAGGGGAAACAGAGGTCCTAGAATTTAGGTGATCAGAGGGAAAAATAAGTAGCAGACCCAGCCAGCACTGGGATGGAGAAAATCATGGTCAGATTTATTTATTTATTCAACAAATATTTACCAAGTACCCACATCCCCGGAACTTTATTCTTTCTTTCTTTTTTTAAATACCATACAAGGATTCAGATTCCTTCTTGACCCTGGCTTACAAAGTATGGACAAGCCTTACAAATTGGCTGTGTATGGATTACTACTCTCTTCTTAGTGAATAGTAAGAGATAGCAGTATTAATGGCATGACACTGCAAGAGTCTGGGGAAGTTTTAAAGGTGCTTATTCTTTATGGGTGATTAGAAATCCATGTGTTTGGCCGGGTGTGGTGGCTCACACCTATAATCCCAACACTTTGGGAGGTTAAGGTGGGAGGATCACTTGAGCCCACACATCTCTACAAAAAAAGCTAAAAAATTAGCCAGGCCTGGTAGCATGCACCTGTAGTCCCAGCTTCTTGGGAGGCTGGGGCAGGAGGATTGTGTATAAACAGCTGCTTTATGAACATAGGAAGAATAAGGAACCCATAGTGATGACAGCATTCCGCATGGACACTGTGCTGTTTGTCTGGAACTAACCTTCCATCTGTGTTTTTGCCTCAGTAAAGAAGTGTGTCAGTGCTGCAGGAGACTCTGGTACTGACCACAGATGACCAACTTTTCTTATCTGTCCTAGGTTATCAAGGCTGCCTATAATCAAGTAAAAACAATAGCTCAAGGAAACCTTTCCAACACAGATGTCCAAGCTGCCAAGTAAGTCTCAGTATTAACTGTGTTTTATGTTTTTGTTATTTGAAAGTTGTATTCTTTTCAGATTATAACAATATTACAATCTATGCTCATAAGGACTGAGAAGTACAGAAAAGCGTAAAAAGGGAAACATACCCATATCCTACCACCTAAAGATATAATTGTTAACATTTTGGCCAGGCACAGTGGCTCACTAATCCCAGCACTTTGGGAGGCCAAGGCAGGTGGTTCATTTGAGACCAGGAGTTTGAGACCAGCTTGGGCAACATAGCAAGACCTCGTCTCCACCAAAATTAGAGAATAATTGTTAACATTTTTCTTAGTTTATTGATCATGCATTTTTAAACATAATTGTTAATATTGTATATATAGATGCTGCTTGACTTACACTGGGGTTACGTCCTGAGAAATGCGCATATCGAAAATGCATTTAATACCCTAATAACCCAGTCATCCAGCCAAACAAACATAAGTCAAACCATCATAAGTTAAGTTAGGGACCATCTGTATACTTTTTTATCTTATTTAAATAGCATCCTTATTATAGAAGTTTGAAAATTACAAATAAAAGACAAAAATGATCTCTGATTTCCCTAGCAATGATTCTGTTTCCATTGATTCAAATTACTAAAAATTTAAACAATATTCATTGGTGTGTCAAAATACACTTGTGCATTTTCTGCAGTTATAAAGATATCTTTGGGCTTAAAATATTTTTGTGTTTCGTATTACTTTCTTGGTGTAGATTCCCAACTAAGTTAAGAGTTATAAACATAACGAAAGACTCCATGTTAGAGTGTGTGTATGTGTGTATGTTTAAATAATACATTTGACTAGGCGCAGTTGCTCATACCTGTAATCCCAGGACTTTGGGAGGCTGGGGCAGGAGGATCACTTGAGGCCAGGAGTTCAACCAGCCTGGGTAATGTGGCAAGACACTGTCTTTACAAAAAGATATTTAAAACTAGCCAGGTGTGGTAGTGTGTGCCTGTAGCCTCAGCTACTCAGGAGGCTGAAGAGGGGGGATTGCTTGAGCCCACGAGTTTGAGGCTGCAGTGAACTAAGATCACGCCATTGCACACTAGCCTGGGCAACAGAGCAAGACCCTGTCTCTTAAAAAAAAAAAATGTATTTCTAAGTCACAAATCTAAAGAGATTGTACCAGTTTATAATCATACCACCAGTATATAAGAGTACCTATTCTACAATAGTTTCTTTCTTCATAACTAATTTATACCCAAAAAAGATCTGATTTTGTTTTGTTTTATAAGAAAGACTAAAATACTTGTCTGCTATTTGGCAATTTATAAATCCCCACTGTCCAGATTGAAAGTGCTATCAACACTCCTAATTCATTAGTAGTTCGAGGGTTTCTCTAAAAGAGACAGACTTGGGACAAAGTTGGAAATCAACCTGCATTTTCATACAGCCGCTTAAGACATTTAAGTTTGACTCCATCTACTTAGAACAATTCAAAATGTGAATCTTGCAACTCCAGTGGTCGTTATGATCATTTAGTATTGCCCACAGGGGAAGCAGAATTACAACCCAGGATGGAACAACCTTTTGGTCATTTCTGTTCCCATTAGTATTGTTAGTTTTGTTATGCTGAGCACACTACAAAGTTGCATCTCTTGTATAAGTACAACACAATTTATTAAATATTGTATACATAGAACCAAGAATCGATAGGATGCAGGGCTGCTTGATTGTACCAGAAACAAAACATGATGAGAATACATTGAAACACTGGATTTACTTAAGAAAAACCTAAGTTTTTCAAATCTAATTTATTTAAGAAAACGTATTTTCTTAATAAGTGTAACACAGTTCTTACAAGGTATGGTAATAAGCAGAAAGTAGAATTTTGAATATTAATGTCAAAGTATGTTTTCTGCCATTTTGATGGAGTTGATACTTTTTCTTGTAAGTTCTTCCTGTAGTGAAAGAGAGAAAGTGAGGTGTCATTGCCGAAAGGACACACTAATAACCTCTTGGTAGTTTATTGCAGGTAAAATCATTTTTTAATTAAGCTGACAACGTGGTAAAACTGCAGCATTAAATTGTAATTATGTTTAAATGGAAGTCTTTCTGTAGAGTGTTAAAGGATGATAAACGTTTGAGGTTCAAATAACTCGACTGTCTTATCAAACACCATGTCTATAAGTAATAAGTTTCTGGGAGAATTGTGAATTGGATTTTGTTTTATTTCAAGTGGATGCTTTTGTGCCCATATTTAAGCTGCCGTTGCTTACAAGACCTGTACTGCCCTTCCCCACCTGCCTTTTCCATCATACCCTATGCTCACAGACAAATCTCAGCAAGAGGCAGGAGTTGCTTCACTAATCAAAACCTTACATTAAAATAGTTTTACCTAGATCTAAGTTCTAGTCCCAAATCAAAAAGCAATCTGTGGAGTTTTCAGTATAATTTCGTACTGACAGCTTTCCAAATAGTAACGTAAACGGTTCACGTACTTGGTGAACTGAAGAAATAGAATGGAGGCCATTAGCACTGTAAGTTGTTAGTTTGCCTGTTTACCAAAAATATGTTGAGTTTCGGGGCACATACCTTAAAATTGCCCTGTTTCACTGTGTAAGAGGAACTGGCTTGACTACTTCACCCTTGGTGAAAACAAACAGGCCCTAAAAGAGGCAGCAACAGCTGAAGTGGATATCACAGAAATAAACAGACAGCAGAAGCTCTTCAGACACCCCCGAAACCTGCCAAAACTCACAGGTAATACAAGTGAAACGATAGCATAAGAAGAAAATAAACATGAGAATCTTCAAACTACAAGCATTGAACGGTATCCTCCATCCAAGAAGAGAACCCACTTCATACAAGGAAAAGGCAAAAGGAAAAGGTCAAGACTGTGACCTTTATAACACTGTGACCCCAGCTGTGGGCCAGGTGGAGTTGTCTGTGGTGACACCAAGTACAGGCCTGACACCCTGGTTTGACAGAAGGCTCTTCAAGATCCCTGGTCTTCACACTGTAGCAGCCAAAAGGTAGGTTTACAATATACACTGTCCCCAACTTGCCATGGATCAATTATAATTTTTCAACTTGACTATGGAGGAAAACCATCGCAATTTCAGCTTCCAGTCATGGGTCACATAACGATGGGGATACATTCTGAGAAATGTGGTGTTAGGTGGTTTCATCACTGTGTGAACCTCAGTGTTCAGACAAATCCAGATGGTATAGCCTACTACACACATGGGCTCTATGGTATAGTCTATTGCTCTTAGGCTACAAACCTGTATAGCATGTACTATAGTACTGAATACTGTAGGCAGTTATAACACAAAGGTAAGTATTTGTGCATCTAAACATAGGAAAGGTACAGTAAAAATACAGCACAAAAGATAAAAAAATGGTATGCCATTTTTATGGCATAGCTCCTGCTTTCGAGTGAGTCAGTGAGTGAGTGGTGAGTAAATGGGAAGGGCTGGGACATTACTGTGCACTGCTGTAGATACTAAACACTGTAAACATAGGCTACGCTAAATTTATTTTTTTAAAATTGCACTACAACATTATGTTGTCAGTAAGTAATAGGAATCTTTCAGCTCCCTAATAATCTTAACGGGACCACCATCATATATGTGGTCCATCATTGACCAAAAACATCATTATGTAGTACATGACTATACCTTGAATTTCGATCTTTTCCTAGGCTAGTGATATGCAGTACATGAGATAATCAATGCTTCCTTACAAAATGGGCTTATGTTAGAAGACTTTTGCCCAGCTGCAGGCTATTGTAAGTGTTCTGAGCACATATGAGATAACCTGGGCCAAGCTATGATGTTCGATACGTTAGGTGTATTAAATGCACTTTTGACTGCCATCTCAGTGGATGACAGCCTTCTCACTGACAGCAGAGATCTTCCTCACTGTGCCAGTGGGCAGGAGAAAGAGCATGCTGCGACTGGCCAGTGACATGCAGAGGATCCAGATTGCACAACCGGATCCAGAGGCCTTGGGAAGCATTAGGGAGCTCTCCAGCTGTCTCACTCAAATCTGTAGCAGCATATGGACCCACAAATGGAGGCCAAAGTGGGCCCTCAATTGGACACTTTGGCAACCCTGAAGAGACTTCTTCCCTTCAGACTTACTGTTTTAGTATGTTCCAGAGAAGGGAGTGGCATTCTTCTTGGGGAATTCAGGAAGAGGGAGACACGCTGTTACTCTATCCATTAAATAAAGCTTTGATGTTCACAGCCCCCCGCCACCACTCAGAAAAAAAAAATAATTGCCTTGCTCTCTAAAACTGACTTCTGCCTTTTATTGGACAGGAACAAGCTGAAAGCTGGATACCTAATGTCAGTGGAGTCTTCTGAGTGTTTCCTGGAAGAAGTCGGGTCCCAGGCTCTAGTTGCTGGTTCTTACATGCCACCATCCACAGTCCTTCAGCAGATTGATTCAGTGGCTAATGCTGATATCATAAATGTAAGTAAATGAAAACTTAACGATTTAACAACAGAGAACTTAACCTTAATGATCCAATTTCAGAAGGATGCATAAGCGTCCTTGGGCAGTGTATTATTCTCATGTTTGGTGCTCATCTACTTAATGTGGAGGCAGGAGGGCTCATTCCCATAAGATCCGCAACAAGCTTCCCTGTCAGCTCGAGTATATGTATCTTCCTCCTTCAAATAAACTACCATTAGGTTAAACTGTGATGTCAGTAAGAGGGCTGCCATCCACTGAGATGGCAGTCAAAAGTGCATTTAATACACCTAACGTATCAAACGTTAGGTTAAACTAATGGTAGTTTATAAAATGGGCTTATGTTAGATGACTAGAAGTAAAGAAGAGTCAAATATTAGCAGTTTCATATGATCCAACCTAAATAGTGAAGTTTGCTATTTTTCCTCTTCAGTCCTAGCAATATTTCACCATCTAGCATCTTAAGATTTTCTTTACTCTTCTCAGCCTAGGACATTCTCTTGTTCTTGCTAATTTTTTTTTCACATATATTATTGTTCCCTACAATATTGAGCTGTTTTGAGGGCAAGGACTATGTCATGTACTTCTTTGTGTTCCCTGCTGTGCCTAACAAGCACATGACCTACAGAATTAATCCAAAGTAAGTGGGTTTTCCCCATTTTCTACATTAAACTTGCCAACTTGCTTTCTACTGTAGATGTCTCGGCCATCTTCTCACCAACAGGTCTACCTTGTATAGGGACAGTGGGGATAAGAAAAAATAAAAAACTAAGCTGGGTGCAGTGGCTCATTCCTGTAATCCCAGCACTTTGGAAGGCTGAGGTGGGCAGATTGCTTGAGCCCAGGAGTTCAATACCAGACTGGGCAATGTAGCAAAACCCCATCTCTACAAAAAAGTACAAAAATTAGCTAGGCTTGGTGGCATGCGCCTGTAGTCCCAGCTACTCAGGAGCTCATGGGGCTGAGGTGGGAAGGTGGCTTGAGCCTGGGAGGCAGAGGTTGCAGCGAGCCGAGATCATGCCACTGTACTCCAGGCTGGGCAACAGAGTGAGACCCTGTCTCAAATAAAAAAGAGACAAGGCTATTTTAAGATAGTAACCCTGACTTGATTTCACTTCGCCCCAATCGTCATTTCATACTCTTCTTTTTTTTTTTTTTGAGACGGAGTCTTGCTCTGTTGCCCAGGCTGGAGTGCAGTGGCGCGATCTCGGCTCAGTACAACCTCCGCCTCCCGGGTTCACGCCATTTTCCTGCCTCAGCCTTCCTAGTAACTGGGACTACAGGTGCCCACCACCACGGCCGGCTAATTTTTTGTATTTTTAGTAGAGACGGGGTTTTACCATGTTAGCCAGGATGGTCTCGATCTCCTGACCTCGTGATCCACCCGCCTCAGCCTTCCAAAGTGCTGGGATTACAGGTGTGAATCAACGCGCCCAGCCCATTTGGTACTCTTTTAAATGGCTGTCTTCATCTTATATCCTATCATTATGTGCGTCCCAACCCGACTGCTTCCACCACCACCTCTCCTTCATAGTAATAAGATAAGCTGGCCTGACAGAATATGGGGGCTGCTGCTCCACCTACACCTGACTCATGATACTACACTTAACCAGCCTTTGAACTTGGAAGTAGTGGCATAAAGAATCCTCTAGGGTATCAAGTTTTACTTTTAAGTTAACAATCAATGTATTTTTATTGACCCAGACTATTTGCCATTGTAATACCGAAACAGGAAAGTATATCCCTGCCTGAAGCCACACTACTCTATTTGACAGTGTCAGTGTTGTTTTCCTTATCTCTCTTTGAACAGCTACCCTCTTACCAGTGTTGCTCTTGCTTGGTTCATTACACATACAATGGGACTTTCAGAGAAACAGCTAAGCTTTTCCTCCCACACTGTCCCAAATTAAAGCACCAGCCATCTCCTAGTTAATTTTCACAACAGCTATTATAGTAATTGCTGGCTTAGAATGTCCTATCGAAGGCCAGGTTGGTGGCTCACGCCTGTAATCCCAGCACTTTGGGAGGTTAAGGTGAGTGGATCACTTGAGGCTAGGAGTTTGAGACCAGCCTGGCCAACATGGCGAAATCCCGTCTCTACTAAAAATACAAAAATTAGCTGGGCATAGTGATACATGCCTGTAATCCCAGCTCCTTGGGAGGGTGAGGCAGAGAATTGCTTGAACCTGGGAGGCGGAGGCTGCAGTGAGCCAAGATCGCAGCACTGCACTCCACACTGGGTGACAGAGCGAGACTCCACCTCAAAAAAAAAAAAAAAAAAAAGAATGTCCTATCCATAAATTCTTGAAATGACAAAATAAGTTCGCCTGCTTGATGATATATATTTTTATTTTTGTTAATTTTGTCTTTTGTTTGTTTCTTTAAAGGCGGCAAAGAAGTTTGTTTCTGGCCAGAAGTCAATGGCAGCAAGTGGAAATTTGGGACATACACCTTTTGTTGATGAGTTGTAATACTGATGCACACATTACAGGAGAGAGCTGAACGTTCTCTCAGCCCAGAGCAGCAAACACATGAAAGTCAGAAGTCTCTAATATATCATTTGTCTTTTTTCCAGTGAGGTAAAATAAGGCATAAATGCAGGTAATTATTCCCAGCTGACCTAAAGTCAATAAAACATTCTGTTTAAGTGTTTTTCTTACGTTTTTCTCAATGAGTTAATCAACAAGTATTTATTATGTGCTGATATCTTTGTTTTAGATGCTTTAAAGGAGACAGGAATATAATTATTGAGTATAGAAGCATCAGAAACTATTAAAATTAAGGCTAAGTGGCTATCGGGGTAAATAGTGCCAGATTACTATTGGTGGCGTTTAAGATGAAAGCAAGTTCAAAATTTGTCATTTTGGGTGTCAACAGCTAAATGGTCTGGTTTTTACCCCTGTTTTGCCTTTTTTGCAATAAAATTATTTCCAAAAAACATACATTTCCTATCAATCATATCCTATATTCCCATTCATTCATTTTTTTATGTCTGATTTATCTTCATTGACAGAGTTTTGTTTTTCTCTCATCTCCTGTCTCTCCCTTATCTGTTACTATCCTGTCTCTTCCAAATAATTAACTCTCAATTCAACATTTACAGTAAAAGAAGGGCTAAAAAGGGGAAAAAAAAAGAATTCTAATGTGAATAACTAGCCAAAGAATTATGTCTCTTAGTTATTTTAATTATAGTACTTGAAGTTTACCAAAAAAAAGAGAGAAACTAAATATTTAAAGAAAAATGTAGTGTTTACATAAAGTGACATTCTCTACTATGTTCAGACATTCTGATATTGGATTTCTCTACGGCATTTTCTAAAAGAAAGAAATTCTTCTCAAAAAGGAGGGTCTTATTCTGAAAATAAGATTTGTGAGGCCTGCAAGAACCCAAGGAAGTCTTTAGATAATCCTGTTGAAGAACATCTCTAAAGGCTTTATAACGCAGTCATAAGAGAAGAGAATTGGTGAGTCTACAGACAGTCCTTGATAAGTACAGCAAACTTGTGCCTGGTGAGGCACAAAACTTGGGTGTCTGCAAGATAAATGCTCATATGACCACAGATTTGCTAACCAACCTTTGATACCAGTTGGGCTTTACCCTCTTCAACTTGGGCACAATCTTCCAGCCAAAATGCATCTGAGGTAGAGGAGGTAGAGGAGGAAGAGCTTTCATTGTCTTGCTTCACCATTATCCAGTATGGAGAAGGGGCCCTCACTTCTTTCTTGTCGTCTCTGTGAATCATCACGTCACAATTAATGTCTTTTCCTACACTAATAGTATGGTTCTTCTTCTTATATCCATGCCAGTCTCTGGAGATGGATATTGGTCTCCTTGCAGGGTGATGCACAGTTGACCACGGATATCTATAATATTGAAGTCTTTTATCTAAATCTACATTTTCATTATCATCACTGCTTGTGAAAGATTCATCTTTTGCCAGCTCAATTTTCTTTGGTGTGCTGAAATGAAAAGAATAGTGAATAAAATAGATTCTTCATGTCTAAACATTTATGGTCCCCTAACAAGATGCCTTATAACTTGCTTTGACTCATAAAAGATACAATTTAGCTTTAGCATTACCTTTCTGTGTCATTGAAATGTTTCTCTTTTTTAAATCGTCTTGAAATCTTTTTCCATTTCTAAATGGAAATCAAATTCTGCCTTAAATTACTTCACCATACCTTAAAAAGTTTTGCACAGACTTATACTAGACTACTGACCAGAATATTAGGAGGTGTTAAAGGGTAGGTTAATTTCACTGCAGCTAAAGTGACGGATTCAACCTGGCCATCTCCTGAGAACTCTATTCTTGTGGCTCACGTGGCATTAACACAACATTACTGATTTCCAGAGGAGTCAGGAAGTCAGGAAATAGTGGGCCTTAAGGATCTTCAACATCCTAGTCATTAGTAAGTCTTAGAGTCTTTTTTTTAGAGAGGGTCTTGCTCTGTCACCCTTGCTGGAGTGCAGTGGTACAATCATAGCTCACTGCAACCTTGAATTCCTGGGCTCAAGTGACCCTCTGGCCTCTGCTTCCAAAGTAGTTGAGACTACAGGTGTGTATGCTGTATGCCACCGCACCTGGCTAATTTTTATTTATTTTTATTTATTTATTTATTTTTAAAACAGGATCTCCCTATGTTGCCCATGCCTGTCTCAAACTCCTGGCCTCAAGCAATCTTTACTTTGGCCTCCAAAGTGCTAGGATTACAGGCATGAGCCACTGTGCCCAGCCAGGTTTTTGTTGTTGTTGTTGTTGTTGTTTTTAACTTTCTCCAATTATTGACTTTCTTGATTGTTGAAACTAGGTGGTGCTTGCCTGCTAGCACCTCCAGGTCTCTGAACTTTCCTAATGCCTACAGTACCTGTGCTTGCTTTAACTTTCCAGAATGAATGCTCTGTCACCTGCTTTCCCTCATCCTGGTGCTATTGCCCAGCAGAACCAAAACTAGATCTTTGTGATTACAAATCTCTGGTACATTCTGCCCTGCTAAAAGGAAATAGGTTTCTTCCCTGCCAACCTGTTAAGACTTCTGGTGTTATCACTAATAACCTTGGCAGTCTGCCTGTTGTATTTGCTTCCAATAATTTGAATGGCTTTTCCAAAAGTTTATCTCTTCCAGTAATAAACAGTTGATAATGAGTAATTTTTACTGAGAGCCACTAGTCTTAAATACTGATTTTCTTTGTCTGATTTGCCTTCAGACACACCTAGGTCTTCCTGAACAGCACATGAATTTTTTTTTTAAATCCAAGTATTAGTAACTTTTTTTTTTCAGACTGCAGGGGGAATCCTTGGCAACTCTGATGGTTAGGTAACCATAAAGGACAGGTAAATTGTCATTAGGTAATAAAGCCACAACCCTGCAGAGGTCAGGATTGGCTAGAAACAAACTTTCTATACCACTTGGCCTACCCAGAGCGTTACATGGAGAATTTCTCCAGTGTGTATACCCAGTGCCATTTTCTCCTGGAAAAGTTTATACTAGCTTTGTGAAAGCATCTTTTTCCTTCTTCTTTCCCTGCCGTGTTATACATAAGTTACTAAAATGCCTCAGATATGGGTACTTTGCCTAATTAAGAAAGGGAATCAGCAGGTGCTTGGTATTGTTTGTGGGTTTTCGCCTCTTACTTAAGTTGTACTGTTCTATCTTTTCTTTGCTTTTGAATGGTCAGTCTACCATCCTTAGAATTTAATATTCTGGATCTCAAAACTCCTCCATGTAATGAAAATGCTTAGAACATAGTTGTTATGTAATCACATGAGCCCAGGCTTTTAGAGTCGTGCCCTCCAGTGTAGGAGTCGCTGAGCAGGATTTGATTGTGAGTTGTGATCGTGCTACTACACTCCAGCCTGAGTGACAGAGTGAGACCCTGTCTCAAAAATAAGACTTTTAAAATTAAAAATTAAAAACAAGTGAACCACTGACCACATGAAAGTCCTAGGGCAATTTTAGCAAAACAAGACAGACTCAGTCCCTGCCTTGATGGAGTTCACATTCTCCCAGGGAAACACAGTGAACAACTGATTACACAGATTATTTCATTAAAATTGGGATAAATGTGAAGGAGCGAGCTGTGAGAGCATATGTCAGGTGGACCTGTTTCTAGGAAGACCCCTTGGAGAAGTTACACTGGAGCCTTCAAGGGTGACTACTGAAGAGCAAAGTTACAAACATGTTGCACACAGAGAAGAGCAAGTGCAAAGACCCTGAGGCAAAACAAAAGGCAGAGAGCTGGAAGCTAAAGGGGGCTAGAGAAGGATGGGGAAAGCAGTATGAGTTGAAGTTGGAATGGTTTGCAGAGGCCAGCTGAACCCCATAGAGCATCATTGGCCAATGTGAGGATTTTGACATTTATCCAAAGAACAAAAAGTCTTAAGAGATTTTTTGCAGGAACATGCCAGGATCAGATTTGCATTACAAAAAGATCATTCTGGCCAGGCTTGGTGGCTCATGCCTGTAATCCAACACTTTGAGAGGCCGAGGCAGGCAGATCACCTGAGGTCAGGAGTTCGAAACCAGCCTGGCCAACGTGGTGAAACTTCGTCTCTATTAAAAATACAAAAATTAGCTGGGTGTGTTGGCATGCGCCTGTAATCCCAGCTACCCTGGAGGCTGAGGCAGGAGAATCACTTGAACCCGAGAGGCAGAGGTTGCAGTGAGCCAAGGTCACGCCACTACACTCCAGCCTGGGTGACAAGAGCAAAACCTCGTCTCCAAGAAAAAAAAAATACAGTTTTGGTGATAATACAGTTTGAAAGTAATTAGCATGTGGATAGTCATAGAAACCACAGGCATCAATGAAACTGGCTAGGAGAAAGGACACCAAGAGGAAATGGCCAGAGGTAACAGGAAAATCAGGGGAGTGTGGTGTCACAGAAGCCTGGGAAGTGCTATTTCAAGAAGAGAGTGGGTGGAAATTGTTAAGTGTCTAATGCTGCTCAGAAGCCAAGCAAGATAAAGACAGAAGAATCTAGTGGGATCAGAAGTGTGAAGGCTATGGGTGGCCCTGGGAAAAGGACTCAGCCAAGGGATGAAAGCAAAGCCTAGATTGAAGTGGGTGGAGGAGTGTCTGGGAAGTGGCGTCTTTCGAGGAAACGGAGGTGTCTAATACAGCTTTTAGCAAGTTGGGAGTGGATGCAAAAGACTCCAGTGGCTAAAGAGGGTAGGGAGAGGAGAGTGGACTGAAGATAGGATTTGCCAAGATGGGAGAAGTTTAAAAAGGCTTAGATGTTATTGGGAAGGACCCAGAGAACAAAAAGTTGAATACGGAAAAGAAAATAGGATTTGCAAGAAGCACTTTTTTTTTTTTTTTTTTTTTTTTGAGACAAAGTCTCGCTCTATCTCCAGGCTGGAGTGCAGTGGTGCGATCTCGGCTCACTGCAACCTCCGACTCCCTGATTCGAGCGATTCTCCTGCCTCAGCCTCCCGAATAGCTGGAATTACAGGCACGCGCCACCACATCCAGCTAATTTTTGTAATTTACTAGTAGAGACGGGGTTTCACCATGTTGGCCAGGATGGTCTCGATTTCGTGACCTCATGATCCACCCGCCTCAGCCTCCCAAAGTGCTGGGATTACAGGCATGATTCACCACACCTGGCCCACAAGAAGCATTTTTAAGGGCTGACTCGGGAAAGAGGGGCACCATACAGGTAGGCATGGGGACAAAATTCCCAACCGATGACTTGTTTTTTAACTCCAGGTTGACTTCATCGTGCTTTCTCATATTAGATCCTACAGATCTAATACCAGAAACCCAGGAAATTACTCTGACAGTGTCACCAGTCCTCCTGTCATGATCCTTATCATTTGATAATTGTCACATTAAACCATCTATGCCTCACAGGCCCTGGGATTCTGTATTATAACAAAGAGTTCCTAAAATGAACTATTTACCTTGTTACTGGGAATTTGGCCTCAGGGATTAAATCATATATTTCTTGCCATTCTTCAGGAATGTTAATAAAATCTCGGTAAACCTTGATTTGTAGCACTGTTCCAATAGTGATATGTTGCAAAAGCTGTAAAAATTCTCGAAGAGTATATCCTAACACATTGGCATGGCCAACACTAATCAGAACATCACCTGAAGAGGGAAAAAATTATGTATCAGTAAAACTAGAGGTTTAAAGGGACTATATTGATTTCTGGCTTTATTGTGAGGTATTTCATTTTATGGGTTCATATTGTTGATTCTTTTTGAACCAAAACCAGGCTTCAGCCTTTTTTTTTTTTTTTTTTTTGAGATGAAGTCTAACTGTCACCCATGCTGGAGTGCAGTGGCATGATCTCAGCTCACTGCAAGCTCCGCCTCCCAGGTTCAAGTGGTTCTCCTGCCTCAGCCTCCCAAGTAGCTAGGATTATGGGCATGTGCCATCAAGCCTGGCTAATTTTGTTTTTTTTTTTTAGTAGAGATGGGGTTTCACCATGTTGGCCAGGCTGGTCTCAAACTCCTGACCTCAGGTGATCTGTCCACCTCGGCCTGCCAAAGTGCTAGGATTACAGGCATGAGCCACCGTACCCGGCCCAGCCTTTATTTAATAAAGATGTTCATGTCCATGATATGAATGTCCTTTGCATACTGAAGAATGTATGCAAGATGTTTCTTAATAGCAGTATATTGGTAGACATTATATGATGTTTTTGAGACGTTTCTGAAGTTCTTGGTGTGACAGAGGCTAAAAAACATTTATAATCGGAACCAGCTGTTAGGATTCTAAAAATAGATTAGTTTCAGATAAAATGAATGGCTATTACTAGAAAAGAAAAAACCACTTACACTAAGTGGTGAATAAATGACCTACTTTCTATTATACCTGCCTGGCAATTTCCAGTGCCCTCCACAGTTAATAGACCATATTAAACATAAAGCCTTTCATTTTAATTCTCTACCCTTGTGCAGTATTAGTTGAGCAAATAATTCTGTATAAAACATTGGGCAATTAGGCATGCTTTAACTGTAAGATGTGTATGCAGTGAGTATGTTGGTTTAAAGGGATTTGACAGCTAGGTTTCCCTACCTTAGGGCAACGCAGGATAAGGAAAGAAACAAGATGGGCAACCATGCAGCTTCCGAGTCCCTGGCAGGTGGGAAGAGGACTACATCTTGAGCACTAACCCCCGAAACCCCCAAATTGAAGGAAGCTAAAAAGACCAATTTTTCACTTGCTCCAACCTCCCCCATGTCCCCACCTCCAGCAGCTAGGTCATGGACCTGTGAGTGAGATCCAGCTACTTGACACTCCCACCTGGGTCACTGAACCTGGAGGAGGAGATGCAAAAGAGTGACAGGAGCTTCTAGTTGCTAGGGGTAGTTACACACAGCTCTTGGTTCTCTCACCATTTTCCAAGCCTGCTTCTCCAGCCTTTTGGGAGATTCTGTCAGACTCAGTATCCCAAATTCAGTGCATTAACAGAAGTGTTTTCTGTTTTTTGCAATGAGGAACCCTGGCTGCTACAACGGCATTCAGCAAGACTTCAGAAAGGAATACAAAGGATTTGCTTTTTAAGGACCAGCTCACATTGGGCAAAATCTTAAGTCTTCAGATCTTACTAGTACTGACCTTCTGGAGACCCTCAATCAGCCTCATTCTAAGACAGCTGAAGCCTAACCTCAAAGAAGAAAAGGGTCAAGAAGTGCCTTCTCTGATGCATGCACTGGGCTTCAATCAGGAATTACACTGATCCCAAAAGAAGCCTCTAAGGATGCCAAGGACAAATGTCCATAGCTCTAGATCCTATCAGAAACAAAAGTTCCCAGAATTCCAGAAAACAAATACTTACAAGGGTGGAGAAAAACCTTCTACTTTGGTCTTAAGCAGTAGCTGGGGGTAATACAATCAACCATGTATCTGAAGCTCACTTCAGAATGAAACAAGGCTACCTGCAGCTTGAGCAATATGAAACAGCTGCTCATCCTACTGAGGTTAATTACAATGGCAAAACAAAACAAAACAAAACAAAAACAAAACCCTCCCCGGATGAGCTTACTTACCTAATGTTAAAAGCAGTGTTTATAGCTGAAAGCTATGGCTTGGCATTCTGCTTAATTATGTTGTAAAAGTGTGACTTTTATCAAGAGGGCAGAAAATAAACAGCTTAATTTCCTGACCGTTCTGGCTGTAAACCAAACATGTCAGCATGTGAATGTGATTACTCTAGCAATAGATATTAACATTGCCCTTCATACAGAAACACCAATTTCGTACTTATGAACACCAACCTCATTACACCTTTTTTTTTCTGTTTTAATGGGCTATAGGATGACATTATATAAACTTTGTCTCGATTACCTACAGTAAATCAACTTTGCAGCAGCCAAGCCACTACTGAAAAATATTTTCTTTTTCATCTCTCCCAACTAGGCTGGAAGTTCCTTAAGTTCCTCAAGGCTAAGGACCATGTCTGTGCCGTTCACCACTACACCCCCAGTGCCTAGCTGGGTGTCTGCACACACCAGGCCTTTAGGAACTGCTTAGGCAGTAGCCAGTCCATGACTTGTATTTACTGTTGAAGCTACATTAATTTCTTTTTTTTTTTTTCTCCTGAGACAGGGTCTCACTTTGTCACCCAGGCTGGAATGCAGGGATACAAATACAGCTCACTGCAGCCTCGACCTCCAGGGCTCAAGCAACCCTCCTGCCTCAGCCCCTGGAGGAGCTGGGACTGCAAGCGCATATGCCCACCATGTTGGGCTAGTTTTTGTATTTTTTATTGAAATGGGGTTTTGTCATGTTGCCCCAGCTGGTCTCGAACTCCTGAGCTCAATTTGCCCGCCTCAGCTTCTCAAAGTGCTGAGATTCCAGGTGTGTGCTATCGCACCCGGCCTACATTAATTTCTCAAGACTTAGAATGTCAGAATCTGTTAAGGCCATACTGCCCAAAAGGAACTAAAAGTTTAGCCAGAATAAACTAACACTAAACTAAATTAGGAAATCAAGGTGAAACCCTATCCTGAAACACCAAAGGAGAGAAATTTCAGCACATAGATAAAAGATAATGGGGCTGGGAGGAAACGGGGTCAAAGAAATAGCATGTTTCTACAATTATCATCTCTCGAGATCTTATCATCATTGTCTAAAACCACTGAGTTACAGATTTTAAAGCCTAGAATGATGCCGAGGAGAACTGGCAGGCTTGTCACGAAGAGATTTGGGGCTCTGGACTTCCTCTGTATTCAAATCTCATTTCTAGTTGTTAGGCAATTGACTAGAAAGGTATGGGCTTTCTAGGCACACATCGGTTCAAATCCCAGCTCTGAACACAGACTCAGTTGTGTAACTAAGATGAACAAGTTATTTCATCTCTCTACGCCTCTATATTTCATTATCTACATTTCAGGAGTGTTGCAAACTTTAAATTAGATAACACGTGGGGCCAGGTGAAGTGGCTCATGCCTGTAATCCCAGCACTTTGGGAGACTGAGGCAGGAGGATTGCTTGAGCCCAGGGGTTCGAGGCTGCAGTGAGCTATGATTGCGCCACTGCACTCCTGCACTCCAGCCTGTGTGACAGTGAGACCATGTCTCTTATTCAAATAAAATTAAAAATTGGAGTTAAAAAAAGATAATAGATGGGGAAATATCTCCCACAATGCCTAGGACAAATATTTATTATTTATTTATTAAGCAAAGACATAACAAATGAGCCACTACTTTAGGTGTGACGGTTAATATTGTCAACTTGATCGGTTCAAAGGATGCAAAGTATTGTTTCTGGGTGTGTCTGTGAAGGTGTTGCCAGAAAAGATTAACATTTGAGTCAATGGACTTGGAGAGGCAGACCCAACCCTCAATCTGGGTAGGCACCATCCAATCAGCTACCAGCAAGGCTAGAAAAAGCAGGTGGAAAAAGGTGGAATGAGCAGACTTGCTGAGTCTTCCAGCCTTCATCTTTCTCCTGTGCTGGATGCTTCCTGCCCTCGAACATCAGACTCAAGTTCTTTGGCTTTTGGACTCTTGGACTTACACCAGTGTTTTGCCAGGGTTTCTCAGGCCTTCAGCCACAGACTGGAGGCTACACTGTCGGCTTCCCAACTTTTGAGGTTTTGGGACTCGGACTGAGCCACTATTGGCTTCCCTGCTCTTCAGCTTGCAGATGGAGGGGCAGAACAATATGGTTTGGTTCTGTGTCCCCATCCAAATGTCATTGCCGATTGTAATCCCCACCTGTGGAGGGAGGGAGGTGATTGGATCACGGGGGTGGTTTCCCCCATGCTGTCATGATAGTGAGTGAGTTCTCATGAGATCTGATGGTTTTATGAGTGTTTGACAGCTCCTCCTTCACACACTCACACTCCCTCCTGCCGCCTTGTGAAGAAAATGCCTGATTCCTCTTCCACTATGATTGTAAGTTTCCTGAGGCCACCCCAGCCGTACGGAACTGTGAGTCAATTAAACCTCCTTCATTTATAAATTATCCAGTCTCAGGCAGTATCTTTACAGCAGTGTAAGAATGCACTAATACAGTAGGTGAGTCCTGGATTTAAAAGATGAAATTCAAGACTGCTTCTAACCTCAAAGAGCCCACTAACTATAGCCGTGCCATGAGATTCTCTGTTGCCCACCTAAAAGCATACTCCTGTCCCACTCTAGCACCCTGGAGTATGCACCCGGATCATCACCCAGCATCTGTCACCTGACCTTGAAGAAGCTGAGAAGCAGCAGCTTCCCCATGGGACCTGTCCTGGAGTTCTTTTGTTCTGGTAAGTCCAGAACTCTCCACCGGCCGCCGTTTATTCTCCACCACCAAGTAGTGATGTGTGGGGAAAATGCTTTGGATTTTAAGGTATAGCAAACTGTTTCATAAAACCATTATGTATCTGCTTTCTTCTTTAATCCATTGCTTGGAACCCTTAGCTGCAAATTAGAATCACCTGAGGAGCTTTTAAAACATAAACTGCCCTGTCCCAGTCCAAGAACGATTGAATCAAAAACCTGTAGGGAGATAGGGACCAGGCATCTTGGTTTTAAAAACTTCCCAGATGATTCTAACAGGTAACCAGAGTTGCAAACCAGTGGCTTAATCCACTGGGACCCCCATACAGCCATCATTTTTTATTAAAACACACACATGCAAAAGTCTAGAGAATCTGTAAGAACAGCCTAAGAGATGATTGCCAATATTTCTGTAGCACTTCAGTTTTAAAAGCACTTTCATAAAAATTATTTCATCAGGTTGGGCTCAATGGCTCACACCTGTAATCCCAGTACTTTTGGAGGCCACATGGGAGGATTGCTTGAGGCCAGGAGTTTGAGACCAGCCTGGACAACATAGTGAGACACCACCCACCCACCACCTCCATTGCCCATGTCTACAAAAAAATAAAAAATAAAATAAAAATTAGCTGGGCATGGTGGTGCACGCCTGAGTCCCAGCTACTGAGGAGGCTGAAGCAGGAGGATCACTTGAGCCAAGGAGTTTAAGGCTGCAGTGAGCCATGATCAAGCCACTGCACTCCAGCATGGGTGACAGAGTGATACCCCATCTATCAAACAAACATGCATTATTTCATCAAATCTGCGCAACCTCTGACAAACACAGGAATATCCCAATTCAAAGATGAGGTGACTAAGGCCTGAAAGGTTAAGTGGCTTTGCCCAGGGTCACAGAACTAAAAAGTGTCAGACCCTGAGCCTGAATCAGGACAGCTAACACAATGTTTTTTCTTTCTCACCATGGCGCCAGCCCATTCTGCCTCCCCAACTCCTGGGCACAGTACTAGGCCCAGGCCAGGCACTGAGAAAACACCTCTTGAACTGCATGGAAAATTCATTCACCCAAAGACACGAGGAGCAGGGCAGTATTGGTAAAGCCCTTAGGCTCTGAAGTCTGACAGAGAAGGTTCAAATCCCAGCTCCTCAGAGTGACCATGGGAGAGTTACTAAACATCTGATTCCTTGTCTGCAAGGTGGTTTCATGCAGAATCTAGCTCAGGGATTGTGAGAGTGAAATGAGATCGTGCAGCTAAGTGTTAGCAATGCTTAATACTGCCTACGAAAGAAAATATCTTTACGCACTGAGAGCCATAGCTCTGGAGTAACATGGTCCCTGAATCCCCACTTAGGAGAAACAGGTGACCTGGACAAGGAACTCAATCTCACTGACCCTCATTAAGTAAATTTAATTTTTTTTTTTTTTTTAGAGGTAGGGTCTCACTCTGTTACCCAGGTTGGCATGCAGTGGCACAATCATAGCTCACTACAGCCTCGGCCTCCTGCACTCAAGTGATCCTCCCACCTCAGCCTCCTGAGTAGCTAGGATTACGGGCACGCACCATGCCGGGCTGCTTTCGTTTTGTTGTAGAAATGGTGATATGGTTTGGATTTGTGTCCCCGCCCACATCTCATGTTCAACTGTAGTCCCCGGTGTTGGAGGAGGGGCCTGGGGGGAGGTGACTGGATCACAAGGGCAGATTTCCCCCTTCCTGTTCTCGTGATAGCGAGTGAGTTCTTATGAGATCTGGTTGTTTAAACGTGTGTAGCACCTCCCCCTACTCTCTCTTCCTCCCGCTCCAACCATGTAAGACATACCTCCTTCCTCTTCACCTTCTGCCATGATTGTAAGTTTCCTGAGGCCTCCCCAGCCATGCTTCCTGTACAGCCTGCAGAACCATGAGCCAATTAAACCTCTTTTCTTATAAATGACCCAGTTTCAGGTATTTCTTTATAGCAGTGCAAGAACGGACTAATATAGACAGCATCTCACTGTGTTGCTCAGGCTGGCCTTGAATTCCTGGCATCAACGGATCCTCCCACCTTGGCTTCCCAAAGTGCTGGAATTACAGGTGTAAGCCACTGTACCCAGCCAGAATTAAATGAATTAATATGCCCAACAGTGATAGTTATATAAGTGATAGCCATTGGCTGGCCCATAGAAAGTTCTCAACTAATGTCATATCCTTTTTTTTTGAGACAGAGTCTCACTCTGTCACCCAGGCTGGAGTACAGTGCTGCCATCTCAGCTCACTGCAACCTCCGCCTCCCGGGTTCAAGAGATTCTCCTGCCTGAGCCTCCTGAGTAGCTGGGACTACAGGCGCCCGCCACTAGGCCCAGCTAATTTTTGTATTTGTATTTATTTTATTTATTTATTTATTTAATTATTTTTTGAGACGGAGTCTCTGTCACTCAGGCTGGAGTGCAGTGGCGCGATCTCAGCTCACTGCAACCTCCACTTCCTGGGTACAAGCGATTCTCCTGCCTCAGCCTCTCAAGTAGCTGGCATTACAGGCATGTGCCACCACGCCTGGCTAATTTTTGTATTTTTAATAGAGACAGGGTTTCACCATGTTGGCCAGGCTGGTCTCGAACTCCCTACCTCAGGATCCACCCACCTCAGCCTCCCAAAGTGCTGGGATTACAGGCATGAGCCACTGCTCCCAGCCAGTTTTTGTATTTTTAGTAGAGACAAAGTTTTACCATGTTGGCCAGGCTGGTCTCAAACTCCTGACCTTAAGTGATCCACCCCGCCTTGGCCTCCCAAAGTGCTGGGATTACAGGCATGAGCCAGCATGCCCGTCATATCCTTATAGTTACACTGAAACCCGGTGACCCGAGTCACCCTGCAGGCAGATGGGCAGGATGGGTGGTTGGGAAGCATGGCGAAAGGGCAATCACCTGGCTGGAGTTTCCCGTCGTTGGCTGCAGCCCCCTTCCTGATGAGGTGGGTGATCTGGAGGTAGGGTCCATGCTGGATGATGATGAGGCCTAATCCCAGGCTACCCACAGTGAGTTTGGTCTGCTGTGTTTTGCTCAAGTTGTGTACAGATGTTTTGACCTTGTTGCTGACTCCTCTTTCTAACCAAAAGAGGGGAACTTATTTCAGTCCTTCACCAAGACAGAAGCATGGCCATACCTACTGGGGTTCTGAAGCCAGATCCCTGGGACAGTTATTTAATCCCTGTTCCTCAGATTCCTTGTCAGTAAAATGAGGATAAAAATGTTCACCTTGGAGAGCTCTTCTGAAAATTAAATGGGTGCATTAAAGGGCTTTTGCAGAGTCTGGCATATTGTGAGTGCTTAATCAATATTAGTTAGTATTATCTGTTCACTTAACAAATATTTATTGATACAGTGTGCTAGGCCCTGGGTTTACCATGGTGAGCAAAACAGATGTGTTGGGTTTTTTGGTTTTAACAGACAATGTCTCACTCTGTTGCCCAGGCTGGAGTGCAGCAGCATTATCAGGGCTCACTGCAGCCTCGATCTCCTGGGCTCAAGGGCTCCTCCCACCTCAGCCTCCTAAGTAGCTGGGACTACTGGCATGTGCTACTATACACGGCTAATTTTTATTGTTTTTGTAGAGACAGGGTCTCACTATATTGGCCAGGCTAGTCTTGAACTCCTGGACTCAAGCAATCCTCCCACCTCAGCCTCCCAAAGTGCTGGCATTACAGGTGTGAGCCACCGTGCCTGGCCCACATGTGTTTCTTGTCCTCATGAATTTTACAGCCTAGTGGAGGGGACAGATATCAATCAGTCATGTAAATATATGTTGGATAACAAACTGTAACTCATGCTATGAAAGAAAAGGACGGAGGGCTCTGAGAATGAGTAACAGAGGGCCAAAGTCTCATCTGGGGATGGCGGGTCAAGCTTCCAGCAGGGCTAAAATTTGAATTAAGGCCAAAAGGACCAATAGGAAATATTTAGGCAAAGAAAGGTGGATCCGGAGCAAATTGTGTTAAGGTCTGAGAAAGGAAGGAACAGTCCCTGTCAGAGGAGGGGGAGGCAGGAGGAGCGAGGACCAACCAGACAGAGGCTGCTTCTCAGACTTCCTTAGTGAAAAGGCTCCGAAGTGAGTAAAGCTGGACATGGTTAGATGAAATGAAATGACATGAAAATGACAGGGTCCTGGCACATGTCATGGCAGTGACAGCGGAAATGAGCAGTGGATGGATCCAAAAAGCACATGGGGGAAAATCCGAAGGCCTTGGAGACAAGGGGTAGTGGGAGAGGTTGAAATATGTTTTCTACAGAACCAAATCTCACAAGAAAAATTTCAGGGACTAAAAGGACATTCAAAACAACAAGTTAATTTCCCAAGAGGAAGTTGCTAGGAAACTCCTTTTCGGTACACAGGAAGCTCCTGGGGAGATCTGTTTTCAGCACACTTTTCCAGCATTTCACACACAACTCCTTTCCATAAGGACAGGTGACACACAAGCTTGCCAAGTCCATGTGACTGTGGTGTTTTCAGGGCCACTGCTGAGGGAGAGGCTCCCCCAGCTCCCTACCTCTGGCTGTGGGGAGCTGGAGGGGTTCATGGCCCTTTCCTCTAAAGCAAATGTCCTTGCCCATCTCCAACCTCACCTTCCCCCAAACCACAGATGCTCTCTGTTTGGGAAAATAAAATAGCATAATATAAACAAGATACCATCTTCAGAGACCTTTCAGGGTTCTGGGAGCAACTGGGGGCAGGATACGCCCTGCCTGAGCCTCTGGTTCCTGAGCAAACAGAGAAGTCACATCTTGGGCAAGGTCCAGTGGTTCCTATCTCAGTTTGTAAATTCAATATGCTTATAAGGTAAGCTACCAGGAGCCCACTTTTAAAAGTCAGCAGGGTTAAGTAAAAGAAGCCAGACTCAAAAGGCTCCTTACAGAAGAAGGACATGTCTCAGGAGTTTGATCCAGACCTCTATAAGCAAATGCAGAAGTTCGGGAAGGCAAGAAACACAAGTACATCTTGAAAAAAAAACAAAAAAAACTTTGTGCAAGGCACGGTAGCTCACGCCTGTAATCCCAGCACTTTAGGAGGCCAAGGCGGGTAGATCACGAGATCAGGAGTTCGAGACCAGCCTGGCCAACATGGCGAAACCTGTCTCTAAGTTACAAAAAATTAGCTGGGCATGGTGGCGCGGGCCTGTAATCCCAGCTACTTGGGAGGCTGAGGCACGAGAATCGCTTGAACCCAGGAGGCAGAGGTTGCAGTGAGCTGAGATGGCGCCATTGTACTCCAGCCTGGGTGACAGGGCGAGACTCTGTCTCAAAAACAAAAAAAAATTATCTGGGCATGTTGGTGCATGCCTGTAATCCCAGCTACAAGCCTGGGTGACAGAGCAAGACTCCATCTCAAAAAAAAAAAAAAAAAAAAAAAAAGAGAGAGAAAAAAACCTTGACAAAGTGAAGTTGGATGTAGATTTTCTTGGAGCAAGTAAATACATGCAATCTCCTGTCTCAAATGCTAGCAACATACCAGACCACTCTGCTTCATTTTGGAGAGAAGACTTCTCACACTATGGCAGCCATCCATGAGAGCTTCACAGGTTATCAGCCATATGAAGTCACTACTTTAAAGCACTTACAAAACCCTCTGAAAAAACTAGTTGAGAAAGAAGAAAAGAAGCTCACCCAGCAGGAAAGCACAGATGTAACAGTGCAGGAGCTGAGTCAATTAATTTCATTAGAGGATGAAAACCACGACAAGGAAAACACTGAAGATGGAAAAGGTATTTTATGTGTTTTAGGCAAAGGCTCTTCACACAGTGCATGCTCAGGATGAACTATTAGACATGAAACCTGAGGAAAGTGCTCGCTAGGGCCCAGTGGCAGGGACCCTGGAACCCGAAGGTACTGACAAAGATGATCCTACTGCTGTTGAAAGTGAGATCTTCAATGCTTCCTCCCTGGAAAAGGGTGAGCTCAGAAAAGAGTGAGCTGCTGTGTTTGGGGACAACCAGGTGGAGGAGGCAGCACTATGGTCCTCGGAGAGCCAGACCCCAAGCACCAGACTAAAATATGAAAGACTTACAGGTTTTGCTACAAGGCTAGTCAGACAGCAATGTCAACCTTCCCAAGGACAAGCAGTCCAAATGACAACAGCCCTGCAGTGAAAAAGCCTAAGGCTGTCTGGCACCTGCCTGCCTAGTTCAGCCTCTTTGCCAACCTCAAGTCTTATCAAATCCTGATGCTGTGCGGAAAAAAGCCATAAAGAACAAGAATTGCTCAGTGCAGGAGTCTGCATCCTTCAGTAAGCCCACCTGGGGGCTAGCAGAAGTATAAAGTGATTAGAGCCTGGGCAACATAGTGACACCTCATCTCTTCTATTTAGGCTGGGCATGGTGGCTCACACCTGTAATCCCAGCACTTTGGGAGGCTGAGGGTGGGCGGATCACTTGGGGTCAGGAGTTCGAGACCAGCCTGGCCAGCATGGTGAAACACCGTTGCTACTGAAAACACAAAAATCAGCCAGGCGTGGTGGTTCACGCCTGTAATCCAAGCTACTCTGGAGGCTGAGGGGCAAGAATCGCTTGAACCCGCCTGGAAGGCGGGGGTTGCAGTAAGCCAAGATCATGCCGCTGCACTCTAGCCTGGGTCACAGAGCAAGACTCTGTCTCAAAAAAAAAAAAAAAATTAGCTGAATGTGGTGGTGCATGCCTACAGTCCCAGCTATGGGAGGCTGATGCAGGAGGATTGCTTGAGCCCAAGAATTGGAGGCTGCAGTGAGCCAGGAGCATACCACTGCACTCCAGCCTGAGCGACAGAACAAGACTCTGTCTCTAAAAATAAAATACAGTGACCCATATGCTATTTTAAGATTTATGTGCCCTTTTAATAAAAATGAAAGGGCCAAAGTCCCTATTTACATTGGTATAATTTTTTAAAGGCTCCTTACTATGTGATTTCATTTTTATGATGTTCTCCATGGAAAAGGCAAAAAAAAAAAAACGCTGTAAAAAACAGATGGGGGTGTGAGGAGCTGCAGTGGGGTGGGGTTTGGCTGCAACTGGGCATTGCAAAGTAATTTTAGGGAGTGGTGGAACTGTTCCCTATCTTGATGGAGGGGGTGGTTCAACGTGGGTATAGCTTGTCAAAACGGTAGCTGTACTTTTAAAAGGGGGGATCTTACTGCATGGAAATTATACCTTGATAAAAATAACGATGGCCAAGGCGGGCGGATCACTTGAGGTCAGGAGTTTGAGACCAGCCTGGCCAACATGGTGAAATACCATCTCTACTAAAAATAAAAAATTAGCTGGGCATGGTGGCAGGCACCTGTAATCCCAGCTACTCGGGAGGCTAAGGCAGAGGAATCACTTGAGCCTGGGAGGCAGAGGTTGCAGTGAGCTGAGATCGCGCCACTGCACTCCAGCCTGGGGGACAAAGCAAGACTCCTTCTCAAATGATGATGATGATGATGATGATGATGATGATGATGATGATGATGATGATAATGATGATGATGATAACAACAACGATGGAGAGAGGTTATCTCCCAGGCCAAGAGTGCACCGTTGCCATTTTACAGAGGAGGAACATTGACGAAGGCTTGGTCCCCAGGGCTTCTTCACCCGCTTCCTTCTCCCCAGTTACCTTTTTTGTTTTTGTGGGAGGCCTTCTGCATGGTCCCGGGAGGTCAGGCAGCCCGGGAGGGCCTCCCGGAGCAGAGGCTGGAGTCAGTCCCAATGCCAACAGTTTCGAACCTTGCCCGCGGGCACTGCCCTCGGGATGGCCGCCAGGGGGCGCTGCGCCGCCACTGCCCAGAAATTGGGCGGCAGTGAGGTCGCCGCAAGGCTTCCCGTGGACCCTGCAAAACGTGGCGTGGGCATTGCACACCATTGTACTGTATGGAAACTTCTGCAGAGGTTAGCACCGTGCCTGACCCACGGTGGTTTCTTCATTCCTTCTTTTCTTTTTCTTTTTTTAAGAGACGGGCAGGGGGTGGGGGTCTCACTATGTTGCTCAGGCTCAACACAACTGTTGCACTATGGGCTCAAGCGATCTGCCCGCCTCAGCCTCCCAAAGTGCTGGGATTACAGGCATGAGCCACCGCGCTTGGCTTCTTCATTCATTCTTGGTGAACCTAAGAAATAGGGAGGGGGAGAAGGCACAGAGGAGGGTGTCTCAAAGATGTGAGGTGGTCTGCAGAGGAAGATCACAGCCAGAAGATCACAGGAGATCACAGAATACCTAGAAGATCAGAGAATCCCCCGCTGCACTTCTAATAATGGTATTTTAAAAAAATTGTTACATCAGTAGCTCCAATGCTTTGGAACTGCACTTTTTTTCATGAATGTTTTGAATAAGAAAAGGCCCCAGGGTGGCCTAAAAAAAAATGAGTCACTATTAGGAGAGGCACTATTAATGCTTCCTTCTTTTTTCCAAGATAATTCTTCCTCCCACACACATTCACTCATACAACAAGTATTTACAGGGAGCTGTTCTGTCATTTACTGATACTGGGGACACAACAGTAAGCAAGACAAACACAGAAACACAGGCTCTATCCTCTTGAAACCTGTACTTAAAAAACAGATGAAGTGGACAATTTTAGGAAAATATAAATTATTAAAAATAAATTCTAGGCCAGGTGTGGTGTCTAACACCTGTAATCCTAGGTACTCAGGAGACTGAGGCAGGAGGACTGCTTGAGCCCAGGAGTTTGAGATCAGCCTGGGCAACATAGTGAGACCCTTTCTCTATAAAAAAAATTTAAAAATTAGCTGGGCATGGTGGTGCACATCTGTAGTCCTAGCTACTCAGGAGGCTGAGATGGGAGGATCACTTGAGCCCAGGATTCAAGGCTGCAGTGAGCTATGATTGAGTCACCACCTTCCAGCCTGGGTGATGGAGCAAGATCCTGTCTCAAAAAATAAAAATGAATAAATGAGTTAGTAAATTCTAGAAGAAAGAGAAAACCTAATGAGGTAGGCCCTGGTGTTATCCCCGGTCTGATGAAACTGAGAGGCTAAGCACCTTGCCCCATCCCTTCAACAAACAGTCATTAACCACCTATTAGGTGTCAGGCACTGTGCAAAGATTTCCATGGTAGATCTGGTTATGTCCAAGCTTATTCTGTTGTTTCTGTGGCTCTACACAGACAATAAGCCAGGGCAGATTCCTCTTTAGGTTCCTTTTTTTTTTTTTTTTTTTTGAGATGGGGTCTCATTCTGTCACCCAGGCTGGAGTGCAGTGACAAAATCTCAGCTCACTGCAACCTCCGCCTTCCAGGCCCAAGCGATCCTTCCACCTCAGCCACCAGAGTAGCTGGGACCACAAGCCTGTGTCACCACGCCCAGCTAATTTTTGTATTTTTAGTAGAGACAGGGTTTTGCCATGTTGGCCAGACTGGTCTCCAACTCCTGAGCTCAGGGTGATCCACCCGCCTTGGCCTCCCAAAGTGCTGGGATTACAGGCGTGAGCGCCAGGACAGATTTCTCATTAGATAAAACCTGTGTCGTAGAGACCAGTACAAAGGGCTATTCTCCACCTCAAGTCTCCTGTGGGTGACTTCTTGTGACAGGTCACCTTTCCTCTTCCAAACAGTCTGGCAGGGGTCTACATAGATACCAACTTAATTCTATCATAAAATACATCTTTTTCCTCCATCTTCCTACCAGCAGGGGAAGGGTAAGAGTTTGTGGGAATAGAGCCCATCAGCATATATGGTTCTGTGATGGAGCATATCAGTGCCTGGCCTCCCCTTAGTCTTCCCTCCACCCCAGGCTAAAAAGTGTCTTTAAAGCGGAGGTCTCTACACTCCACCAAGCCAAGTAAGCCAAGGTCACACTGATTGGTGGAACTGCAGGATACAAACTGTCCTGGGTGCTGTGCTGCCCAGATCCCCCTTCAGGGCTGAAAGACTTACACTTCCCACCCTCACTACTACTACTGGCTAGAAAGAACGCCTTGCCCAAGATCTCACCTTCCTAGATTAACTAGCATCTGGTGACTGGTCAATGCAGGGCCATCCCAGGTTCAGAACTCCCCACGTGGTCCACTGCAGCCTTACTTTTCCCTCTGCCCTGTCCTGCTTCATTCCTTTTTTTTTTTTTTTTTTTTCAGAGAGAGTCTCACTCTGTTGCCTAGGATGGAGTGCAGTGGAGTGATCTCGGCTTACTGCAACCTCCACTGCCCAGGTTCAAGCAATTCTCGTGCCTCAGCCTCCTGAGTAGCTGGGATTACAGGCACCCACCACCATGCCCAGCTAATTTTTGTATTTTTAGTACAGACAGGGGTTTCACCATGTTGACCAGGCTGGTCTCAAACTCCTGACCTCAGGTAATCTGCCCGCCTCAGCCTCCCAAAGTGCTGGGATTACAGGCATGAGCCACCACGCCCGGACCCTGCTTTATTCCTTCTTCCAAAGAGTAGATGCTAGGATGGATCACCTAATACCCAGGTAATAATGAGGTGCCCATCCCTGGTACAGGAGGAGCATAGCTAGCCTCTGGCAGAGGGAAACTCTAAGATGGCTAATTTTTTACAGGCAGTAAATGGGATGGTATACCAGGGGGAGAAAGCAGACAAGAGTATTCAATTACCGGGAAGGAATCAGGCTGAGACTTCACATCAGGGCAGGGAGGAACATTGGGCACCCACGTGATCTATTTAGGTGTCTCTTAGTACTCCTTTGCCCTATTTGGACAGTAAATGGACAAATGCAGCAACCACTGCCTGAGAAGTGCACAGCAACTAGGTGCTCAGGCTCTCTAAGGATGGAGGTCTAGACCACCCCATCACGCAGGCCACCTAGATCATCTGAGGTGCTGGCAGAAGGGAAGAGGTTTCTAGGATGGATAGAAGAGGGGACTGAAGGGTATGTTCGTTATGCCTCTAGATGAGCTGTAGCGGCGGCAGGAGCTGTAGTTCCCACTAACCCTCCTCTATATGTTTCCCACAGGAAAAGATTCCCCAGGGTCCTGAAAGTGCTGCTCTCCAAACTTAAGTAGCAAATGAGAGGCACAGCACCATGTGGGCACTATTGCAAATGCTGCACTACACTGCCTCGGTCAGGACTGAAGGACTATTCCCCGCCTACCGGGTGGGTGGTAGGTTGACAGATCTCAGCTGTCAGCCCTCTTGAGGAATTGTCTTTGTCTAAAGAGAGCTGCCCTCCAAGCTCCATGGCAGGTCAGTGCAGGGATGAAAAGACTTGGCCCATTTACTCCAACTCAGGCCAACTCAGCAGCTATCCTAGTTTCAGAACTCCCCTGGGGGTCTGCCAAAGCCTCCCATGACTGCAGCACAGACTGACTTCTCCCTCTTCCCACCCCTGCTTCCCTTTCCCCATAGGACTTGATTCTCAAAGGCTCTCTAATAAACTTTCTGCACTAATCAATAATCGCATTTCTGAGTCAGCTCAAAGGGAACCAATCCATGAAACAAACTGAGATTTGAGCCCGGGCGCAAGCTGCTAACTCTGGATTTAGTTTCTTGTGTCTTCTCTAACCCCAGAAACCCCAGGTACATGTGTGGTGCGTCCACCATGCTCTTGGCCCACGAAACCTAACCCCTAGGGAGACAGTGTGTTTATTGTCAGGCTGAAGATACTCCTTAAAGAGAAGAGTGATCACACAGTCCCTTCCACAGCTTTGCCCGTGGTCCCATCTGGATTCAGCCTCTTCTGGCCAAGGCCTGCCATCCATCACAATAGAGCATGCCATGTTCATGGCCCTTTAACAGCTGCAGAATGGCTGTTTATGACTTCAGGCTGCACAGCATATCTCCCTCCTGGAAGCCTTCTATGTTCTTCTGGGTCCCCAAGGCTTTCTGCCATAAGGAGTCTTGTGGCTCATTTCTGAAAAGTCCCAGCTGCTCTGCTTAGGGGTGGGTGAGAGGATGGGACGCTTCTGTCACCGAGGCCAGGAGTCTTGTTAGGCCAGATGGGGGGAAAAGGCCCAGAGAGGTGACATGGCTTTCCCAAGGTCAAGTCAGGAGCAGGGCAGGAACTAGAACATAGTTCTGTATTCTCTCTGCTTCACTCCATCACCTCTCCCAAACCCTTAGGGTTTGCCTCTGCTAAAATCTAGACTGAGATACAGAGAGAAGGGGACTGATCTGTCCTGCAGACCTCAGAGACTGGGGACTCTGAAACACCAGCCAGGCACAGTGGTGTGGGCCTGTAGTCCCAGCTACTTGGGAGGCTGAGGTGGGAGGATCACTTAAGGCCAGAAGTTGAAATCCAGCGTGGACAACATAGTGAGACCCTATCTCTGACAAAAAAAAAAAAAAAAGGAAAGAAAGAAAAGAAAAGAGCTATAGGGATAAAAAGAGGGATTAATGGGAAATCTGTAAACAGTTTGGCCCCTGCCAACCCCACCTCCCATTCTGGATGGTAGGAAGGTTTGGGATAGGTGACTATTCTCTGTACTGATGTGCAGCCATTAGTATGATAAAAATGTTTTAAATTCTTTTAACTCAATACTGGTTGTTCTTGTGCTTTAATCTTAGACCCAGAACCATTTGTAAAGGGTAAAAGGAAGAACTGTATTATTTATTTATTTTATTTATTAGAGACAGGGGTCTCACTGTGTTGTCCAGGCTGGTCTTGAACTGCTGGACTCAAGTGATCCTCCCACCTCAGCTTCTGGAGTAGCTGGGATTATAGGTGCAAACCACCACGCTTGGCTACTTGTATTTATTGTAAACACAAGAACCCAATCATCATCATTCTATTCAGCTGGAGTTAGAATATGTGCAAACTGTTCAAACATTCAGCCCTAGGATTCTTCTAAGCTGGCCAGTAGAGAACATCAGTGGATATTATCTGGGAATTTAGTCCTGTATAGTTACAGTTTCTTCTATCACTGGGCAATAGAAAACCCCAACAAGAAGCCAAATATGACTCAATTAAATTTCTCCAGTACTTATTTAAAAAAAGAAGAAAAGAAAAAAGAAACTGAAGACTATTGCAGTAATGTGATATGCATTATATCTGGATCCTTGGAGTATATGAATTATCTTGTGTCAATTTCTGTGGCAGAGGAAAAATAAATTGTATAATAACAAAAAAAAAAAAACCTTTCCCCCAAGAGACCAATGTTTGGACAGAAAAGTCAATATAGACCAGCAATCAAACCCTTCCTTCTCCCAGCTATGTAGTGACACTGATACTCTGTTGCACATTTCTGCAAGGCTGTTGGATTTGGTGGAATTTGAAACCTCCTGAATTTTGTGGACATGTAAGCATTCCAAAAATAGAGACAGATGTCACTCTTCTAGGTCCTTCTAGAGACGACCTATGTGGCATTTAAGGAGAAAATGAGTGTTTCATCTCCATCTGCTGCACGGAGTACCATTAGGGAGAGCTGGATCAAACATCAGGGTTAGTGGTGATTCGGCCCATGAGCTGTGGAAGAAAAGAAAACCTCCACCATAGCATATGCTGACAAATTATGCAAATGCCTTATTTTCCTGTTTATTCATCCAACTTAAGACGCTGCACACACAACTCAGTAAACGGGATCATAACACCTGGTTGCTCAGGTCAAAAACTTATTCTTGAGTTCTCTTTCAACTCCTTCCCCATTATCAGCAGGTCCTTCCCTCTATCTACAAAACATCCAAATCTGTCCATTCCTCTCCATCTTCACTACTCTCACCCTAGCCAAAGCTACACTTCTCTCTCGTGGACTACTTGGCCTCTTAACTGGCGTCCCTGTTGTCATCTTTGCCTTTCCCCCATACAAGCTACACTATGGATCTTCACAGATTAAGTAAGATCATGGGATTCTGCAAACACCCTCCATTGCCTTCTCATTGCACTCAGAACAAAATCCAAGGCCCCCAAAGCCCTACACCTAGCCTCTGCCTACCTCTTGTCATACTACTCTCCTGCCACACAGGCCATTTTGCAATTCCTTGGACACGCTGATCTCTTTCTGCCCCCCTCCCCTAATGATCTTTGCATTGGCTGTTCCCTCTGTCTGGTCTTGCGCCAGGTCTTCAAAGTGCAGATCTTTACGATCGTGATGGTCTCAGCGGAAATGCATCCTTCCCTATCGCAGGTATCGCTCCGACTCCCATCACACTGACCTCCATTGAATTCAGGGATCTGCACCTGAAATTATCTTTATTTTACAGATAGGTTCTTAATGTGTTTCTGTCTCTTCCCACCAGAACGTGAGCTCCCCAAGAGCGGGCGCCTTGCCTCTGTCCACTCCAGCACCTCTGCACCTACAACGTCTGACGAAGAGGGGTTGTCGAAAGCTATTTGCTAAATGGGGCAATCCTGGGAGCTGACGGCCGCGGAACGGGCAATGAGAATACAAGGTGACAGGGACCGCGCGGGGCCCGGAGTCGCTCGGCGGGAGTCGGGGCCCGCCTCCTGCTGGAAGACGGGCAGCTCCCCACTCTCATTCCAGTTTTGCTTCTGAGGGGCTCAGGAGGGGCCGCAGCCTGTGCCCAGTCATCAACATCAACAATCTTATTAGTGGGCAGAAAGCCAAGAGGTGGCGTGGCCTGCCAGAAGAGACCGGGACCCGGGCAGGGACCGGAGCCGGGCCGGTCGGGTCCGGGTCCAGAACGTAGAGGCGGGCGGTGCGGGGAGGGGCCCAGGGCGGCCGGCCGAGCCGGGAGGACGGAGCTGGGGCGCGGCGGCTGGGGAGCCGGGACCGGCCTCGCCAACGCCGCGGCTTCGCTTCCGGGTGAGGGGCGGGCGGGCCGAGCAGTTCCGGGGCGGGCGGCGGTTCCGTCTGTGCGGGCCGCGCCGCGGCTGCTGGTCCCGGGCGCGCGGAGGGCGCGAGCGGCGCGCGGGGGCCGAGGGGGCGCGAGGCAGCGGCGCGGGGACTCCGGGCCCCGGCGGCGGCCCATGGGGCGGGAGGCGTGAGGCCGCTGCCTGTCCGGGGCTCGGGGGGTGGGGGGAGCGGGGCGGGGAGATGGATAAACTGACCATCATCTCAGGATGTCTCTTTCTGGCCGCCGATATCTTCGCCATCGCCAGCATCGCCAACCCGGACTGGATCAACACCGGGGAGTCTGCGGGTGAGCCGCTGGCGCGCCGGGCCGGGCGGGGGATTGGCTGAGGGCGACGCGAGAGAGGGGAGACCCGGACTGAGGAGAGGACGGGGTGGAGGGTCCCGGCCGGAGGCTAGCCTGAGGAGACCGGGGGCGGAGGGGAGACCCGGGCCGCGGAGGAAAGGGATGGAGGAGAGGAAGCCGCCGGGCGCCAGCGGGACCCCCGGGCTGAGGGGAGAGGCGCCCCAGGCCGGGTGAAAAGTGGCCGAGGAGACCTGGGCTGGGCTGGCAAGTCCCGGACCGGGGAGGAGGGGAGCAGCCCTCCGATGTGAGGGATCGCAGAGGAATGAGCTTCGTTCTGGATTAAAAAAAAAAAAAAAAAGTCAAGGTGGGAGACGGGAGGAAACTGAGGCTCCTGCAAGGGAATTAGAAACCAGGCGGAGAGGCTAGGGCTGAGAGTGAGGCAGCCTGCGGGGCAGTGCGGGAGCCACTAGAGAGCTGGTGGGCGAGGGGAGGCCGAGAGGGATCAGGTCCGACCCCAGACCCTCCACCACCAGAGGAAGCTGCGGCCGGGGGCGAGCCCGGGCTGCGGGCGCTGACCCCACCAGGCAGGGTGAATGGTGGGTGCTGGGAGAGCTGGTGGGGTTGGTGGGAGTGGGGGGCGCCGGATTGGAGCCCCTCTGCACCGCCGCCCCCGCCCATCCCCTGCCCGCTTGGCAATGTTTGAGAAGCTTGTGGCTTCGGATTTTCCCTTTGAAGTGTGTATGTGGTTATAATTCTGCTTTATTTTAGGCCCGGGAGCTATAATACTACTAATAATAAACCTCATTTTATGGAGCGTCTTTCATTCCAGCGCATCACAAAAACGCTGGAGAGCTCTTAATAGTAGTTACAAAATTAAATAACACATTACAGTTGCAGGCAGCCCGGCAGCGGGAGCAGTGCTTGCTGTACCACCACGGAGCTGTGGGCGGGAGAGGCAAGGTGGTGCCCTCGGGAAAGAGGCGGGCATCTTTCTGAAGGGTGCCCCAGGTGAATGCGCTTCCAAGATTTTTCTCAGCTTGGGCCACTTCTTTCCCTGTTACCTCTTCTCCCTCCCCTCTTCCCCCGCCTCTCTTTCTCCCTCTCTCCCAGACCTGTGAGACCAAACCTTAATTAATGTAAACAGCTGTCAGGAGAGCTGCTCCGATTTAAGGAATGGTCTTGTTTTTTAACTGCTTGTTCAGTGCAGGTGAAGGAACTTTTGGAGGGTTGGGAATGTCAAGCTCCCTCCATGGATAATTTCTTATAAAAATGCGGCCGGGCGCGGTGGCTCACGCCTGTAATCCCAGCACTTTGGGAGGCCGAGGCGGGCGGATCAGGAGGTCAGGATTTCGAAACTAGCCTGACCAACATGGCGAAACCCCGTCTCTACTAAAAATACAAAAAAAAAAAAAAAAAAAAAAAAAAAAAAAAGAGAATTAGCCGGGCATGGTGGCGTGCACCTGTAATCCCAGCTACTCAGGAGGTGAGGCAGGAGAATCGCTTGAACCCGGGAGGCAGAGGTTGCAGTGAGCTGAGATTGCGCTACTGCACTCCAGCCTGGGCGACAGAGCGAGACTCTGTCTCAAAAAAAAGAAAAAGAAAAGCATCACTGTGCTGTCAAAACTTAATTTTTAAGTATTACTTATGGTTCTGTATTTATCCTGCAATATTTTTAGCTCTTAGAAAAAAAGTGGTAGCTGGGACATTTGTTGCTTCCTCCTCCCTCCCTTCTCTCCCCCAATCTAGACCTAGTAACACAAAATCATGCTGTCATATTCACTGGTTATTAAAATAACACTCTAAAAATTCTGCTACTTTTCTTGCCCATAGAGTTTTAGCAGAACTCTTAATTGTAAAAGATATGAAGAATCAGGATGGTTTCGAATTTGGTGGTACTATGGGCTTTGTTTATGAAAATATTGTTGCTGCCCGACAACTTAACACGGTTACATGTATGACATCCAGTTCGTGACCTGTTGATGTTTTTATCCTACTTACATGTGTATTGACTCCTTTTATGAGACTTTCAGGCTTCACGTACTTAGGGGAAAAGGGGTTTCGGTGCTGTAGCAGAAGGAATCTTTTTACAAAGAAGTTTTAGATAGAATCCCAATAGATAAAATAGACTAAATGACCATGCAAAAGATATAGTTGAAAGAGAAGAATTGTTACATATAAAAGAGAAGAAAGATAAGTGATAGCATAACGTTCCTAAGATGGAAAAGGGCATAGCCGGGCGTGGTGGCTCATGCCTGTAATCCCAGCACTTTGGGAGGCCAAGGCGGACGGATCACCTGAGGACAGGAGTTTGAGACCATCCTGGCCAACATGATGAAACCCTGTCTCTACTAAAAATACAAAGAAGTTAGCCGGGCGCGGTGGTGCATGCCTGTCATCCCAGCTACTCGGGAGGCTGAGGCAAGAGAATTGCTTGAACTTGGGAGGCGGAGGTTGCAGTGAGCCAAGATCACGCTACTGCACTCTGGCCTGGGCGACAGAATGGTACTCCGTCTTAAAAAGAAAACAGAAAAAAAAAAAAAAAGGGCAAGCTCCTCTTGTATTCAGAAGAAAGCAAGGATAGAATGAGTATAACTCTTTAAAATTTGGAGGCAAAATTGGCTGTGAGTTGCCATGGAGATAGGAGCAATGGATGTCCAAGGTCTGAGGAAATAGAAACTGTTCGAAATAATTGCAGAGAAAGCTTGCCAACGGTGATAAGTAGGTTTGTCTAGCAGCACTGATGCGTCGTGGAAGTTGATGGTCATGAACATACAGTGTGATAACCTATCTGCCCTCTTGACCTTTTCTAGTAGTGCTATGTCATTTTGGTACTAAGGTAGGTGAATTTTCCAAGTGTTCTTGGAAATAAGGAAACATCAAGAATAATGTAAAAGCCTCATATACAATAATGAATAATAAAGAATAATGTGAAGGCTTCATTCAAGGTTGGGGTTTGCCAGATACATTGCAACAAAATGACAGAGCAGCCAAGGTATTTAGGATAGTGGCCAAAGTATTGTAATGATGGCTTATGGAGTGTCAGCTGGATAAAGAGTGAAAATGAATAAAAACTAATGGATTGTTCAGTCGAATAGCAGATGGTACAATGGTACATGGCCAGTAGAATAGGGGACCCAATAAAATTGAAGACCAGTCAGAGTGGGAGTGATCAATCCAGCAAAGTGGAATGGCAGGGGATCGTAGGCACAAGGTCCAGAGTGTAACAGTGACAATGTGTGGCTGATGTGGGATCGAGGAAGTGATTGTTTTTTTTCTAAAAGTTTTCCTTGCCATCTCAGGATACCACTCCGTTAAATATTATGGCTAGAAAGAGGAATAAGAGATACTAGGAACATAGGAAATTTTTAAAATTCTTATCTAGCATGTATTTCTTACCTTACATATGTCAGGCAGTAAACCCCCCAAAACATAAAACGAATGGGACAGTATGTTCCTTGGTTTACCGTTGTGCTTGAGCTCGTATGCTGTACAGTCTCACCTGAGCAGGCAGATGTAGTCCTGAGTTAAAAAAAAAAAAAAAAAAAAAGTGCAGAGTTACACCTTCCAAATCAATGAAACATTTACAAGAAGTTCAAGTAAGATCTCAGTGGTGACAGGTCTAGCTTATTTCAAGAGCTGCACAAAAGCCACTTAACCTGGCAACAAAAAGTTAATGTGTTGGTTCCCTTTGGTGTATTATATTCAGTCTATTAAAGTTTTGATTGTGATGTTTTCATTGCAGTTTTTATACCGGATAAAATGTATTTTAGAAGTAGAACTTTTGGAGCTGAAATAGTCTGCAGAATGTAGCTTGAAAACCACGGCAGTGAACTACTAAGGGAAAGTTTCAGAATTCAAGTCTAGACTTCATCACTTCATAGCTCTGTAGCTTTAGGGCAGGTTCTTTAGCCTCTCTTTGTCTCCGTTTCCTCCTGTGTAAAGTAGGGATAATAAAAGTATCCATCTCACTGGGATATTTTGATAATTAACTGAGTTAACCCATGTCAAACATTTAGAACAGTACCTGACACACAGTAAATGCTCAATAAAAATTACATATTGTTATATTGCTGTTCTAGTTTATAAGAACAGGTGTCAGAATCCAGTTTTGAAATGAAAGCCCAGAACTGTGAGAAATGATGTTTTTCTCTATTAGATGTTCTAGGAAATAAGGAAACATCAAGAATAATACAGCCATGCTTAGAACAAGTTAAATATATGTCCCTCTTGGCTTTGGACTTTCTCTGTCACTTCCGTGCTGTTCTTCCTCTTCCAGTCTCTCCATACTCTAATCTCTGTTCTCAGCTTCTACTTGAACTACCATAGAAGGAATAGAAAAAAAAAAAAAAAAAAGAGTAACTTCCTGAAGTCCCTATTGATAAACTGTTACTATAAGATTATGGACCATACTTTGGACAGCAGAGTTTTTCATGTTTTTATTGTCTTGGTCTAGATACAGAGAAAGTACATCCCTTTTATTTTCACCTGTGTGATTAACATTTCATCTACTTCTTGTAATGGCTTGTGGATTATGCACAAACTTTTGAAGATCTGAAACATATTGTATGTATGGGGGAAGGCACTCTAATGAAGACTGTTTGTGTTAGTGTAACCAGAAATATTAAATGTAGATGAATACAGTGGCAAAATTACATAATTCTGCTATGCTAAGGTCAAATTTCTGCTGGTTACTGGAACTCAACACCAATAGGAATATCTTTGATTTTATATAATGCTTCATAGTTTTTGAAGCACTTTGACATCCATTACTTGATCTGATTCCTTAGGATGTTTATATTTGGCCAATGTAAAATAGTCATTTTCACATTTTCCCCCACATGGTAGTGCTTTGCATGTGAGATTTGAGTTTCAGTGCTGCAAAGATTCCATTGAAGAAAATTCTTCACTGAAGTATTACCTATATGTTATTTATGCACACCTTTTACTTATCTTAAATGAAATTAAAATTCTTCAGTGGCTGGAGGTTTTCCCAGATTACAGAAGAGGGAAAGAAGGAGACTTGGGGGTCTTTGCTTTGTACAAGCTTCTTAATTTCACTGTCACTCTCTTCTCACCCCTGAAGAGACTTTTTGTCAGGGGGAAAAATTAGTGTTAGTTAATTTTAACAAGATAAACAGTTAAGTAAAGCTGCGTCTCTGATAAATATAAATGGTCTGCAGATCCCTTTAGTGAGGAAGGCATTATCCCCTCACAGCAAGGATTTCAGTGACCGTAATCCTAATCATCCTAGATAGATTTGCCTTATGTTCTTTATGAAGATTTCCAGATGTTCCCCAAAAGTCTCTTTCAAGTAGCTGAAAGAACTTCTCCCTTATGTCTCGTCAAAATTTCCCTAAAGTGGTTATCATATTCATGTTATAGTTTGTCATAACGAAGTTAAGGTTAGTGTATTCATTTCTGAAGATATTTTCATTCTTGTTGTTTTTAAAATTGTCTAGATGGGATGTTACTGTTTGGGGGGGGGGAATCTCAAAAACTGACATGTTTTTCCCTGCTTGTATTCTGAACTAGTTGAGGGGCAAAAAAGAAATAAGGTATTTAGGGGCTAAAATATTATTTTATTACTAAGAAAGAGGATATTGGAGAATGTCACTTACATTTGGGGGCACGTGACGTCCTACTCCTGGACCTTAAAATTGAGCAGACTTAACAATCCAGTCCCAGACAGAACTGGGGGAACTGCCCCTATAACACTTCCAGCATGACAGAGGAGAGATGAGTGCTTCCAAAGACAAAATGTTGGATCACATATGCCCATTTTCTCCTAAACTACCAGTCAGATGAAGTCAGTCCTTGTGACCTGACAAGGATTGAGTGAGGAGACACAAATGAGCTAAAAGTATTATGCCAACAGGATTCTGTCCTCTCCCCCGGTCTCCATTGCTCATGGATAATAAAATCGGGAATAAGGAGAAAGCCTTATGTGTTTAAAACCCACTATATGTCTAGCATTTTGTGAGGAAGAGTTTTCATTTTCTTCAGGTCTAAAGATTGGCAGGTGTTCAGGGAAGTGAAAGCCTTGGTGAGGGGTATCATTTCCTATTCTGCTACCTCCTACCTACTTCATAGGAAAATCTGGTAAACCTCAGATAAGGGACTGTGGTGCTTGACATCTATCTCATAAGGGTTCAAGATCTACAGGTAGATCCCAGCCTATGCACTGGGGATCCTCAGTTTAAAACACTAAAATTACAAGTTGCTCAAGCAGACCTGTTTATTAAGTAATAGAAAATGATTAAATCATTAGTCCTTTCCCTGGAACTGTAACAACTTCAAAGGTCACAAAGGTACTTTGACATGAAAGAACTCTGTAACATCAGTTGTTAAACAAACCTATCTCAAACTTTATTTTATTAATCACTTTGGACATGATTTATAGAGGACAGGATTTGGTTACCTAAAAGGGCAAACATTTTGAGATTGTGTTGTCCTTGAATTTAAAAAGCATTAATAATATTTCTTCATTGGCCTTTTGAGCCTATTTCCAGTAAATTTTTTTTAAAGAGCTTTATTGAGATGTAATTCACATAATACTAAAATTCATCCATTTAAAGTATACAAATAAAGTATTTAAAGTATACAAATCAGTGGCTTTTAGTATCTTCATAAAGTTGTGTGCTACCATCACCATAGTCCATTTCAGAACATTTTCATTACTCCAAGACCAGGCTAAGAGGTGCCTCTTAGCCTCCTAGGCAACCCCTAATATGCTTTCTGTCTGTTGATTTGCCTATTCTGGACATTTCCAATCATAGAATCTATGTGATCCTTTGTGACAGGCTTCTTAAACTTAGCATAATGTTCTCAAAGTTCATACATGTTATGACTTTTTTTTTTCTTTAAGAGACAGGCTCTTGCTGTGTTTCCCAGGCTCAAACTCCTGGGATCAAGCAATCCTCCAGCCTCAGCCTCCCAAGTAGCTGGGACTATAGATGCACGCTGCCACACCTAGCTATGTATTTCTTTTTTATTGCCAAGTATTCCATTATATGGATAGACCACATTTATTTAGCCATTCATCAGTTGGTGGACATTTGGACCACTCAGTTTTTTACTTCCAAGCATAAAAGTCTATGAAGATAAAGTGATTAAAGATGTTTTTTAAATGTGATTTTTTAAAAAGTGACATTATCAGTATAATCTATTTCAGCATATCAAGTAATAATTATCAATAAAAATTCAAAAACCGGTCTTTTTACAGTACTCACAGGACATGCTTAAAGCTTGAGATCATTTATGATACTGTGAATTCCCAGAGTGGACTAGATTTTCCAATAGGAAATTAGATCTCCTGAACAAAGCATTAATATTTCCTTTACAACCTTAGTTCCAAACATCATCTCTTTTATCATTACCAACAGAGATGGAGCCACTTCAGAATTAAGACTATAAATAAGCCTAAATGTTTTTGGAGAAGGGGAATTTAGGATGAAGAACATGAACAGCAGGCATGAGTAAATGGAAATCACTAAAAGAAGGAAATTCAGAAGAAAAAAAATTAGAGTAAAGACTGCTGATGCATTTGTTAGATTGGCCATACTTATTGAGTCCTTCCTTATTTGGCTGCCAGAACCCCTTTCAAATTTTGCATAGTAATAGTTACATATATCAGTTCTCCACTGTTCTGCTTAGTGTGACCAAAAACATCATTGTTTAATCCCTTTCCTGGTAAATACTGAGTTTGTATTGGAGTTGCAGTATAGTAAAATGGTTCTGTAGGATTTGGAGTCAGGCATATCTCTATTTGATTCTTGGATTCCTTTTTTATTAGCTTTATGATTTGGGGCATGTAATTTGATTTTTCAGCTATAAAATGGAGACAATACATTTACCTCAAAGGATAGTTGTGAGGAGATAAAATGTGGCATATAAGAGATTAGCACATTGTCCGATACTTAGTAAATGCTCAAATGTTAGTCATTTATTACATAAAAGCTCAAAACATCTGGATTTTTAGTGTTTCCCTTTTGTACTGTCTGTCTTATTTATTTACTTATACCTGCCTTGTTCCAGAAAGAGATTTAAGGCAACATAATGTGTCTGTATTTGAATGTTCGTGAACCCAGCTGGGTCCAATCTGGGAAGAGAGACTGCATAGTCAGTTGTTGTGGTAATACACACTTATGGGACACATGTAACTACCAAAACCAAGGAGTACTTGGGTTTTTATGTTTCTGGAACAGATTGAAGAGGTTTTCTAAGTGAAAGACAGCCTAGCATAGTGGAAATGGCACACGGGCTTTGGGGCAAACCAACATGTAGCCAAGTCCCTGTCCTACTATTTACGAGCCGTGTAATTGATCTTAGACAAGTTGCAGTTGAGGGTTTTTATTAATGAAAATTATATCATTCAGACCTGATTAATACCTCTTTCAGCACTTCCAATAGTTATGCAGGTTTAGACTCCAACTTTGTTCTCCTGTGGGTTAAAGAATATTAACCACAGTGTATTGTTAAGATCATTTAGTTCAGAGGTTAGTTTTAAAGGAATTTAAGAGCTGGTAGTACAGTTGGAGTATCAAGTCAATTTTTCTCACCTCAAAGTGTGAAAATAAGTTTGAAATATATGAGATAGTTGGTTCTTTATAGAAACCTGGCAAGCGATATAGCTGAAGATTTAGTTTATGGAATAAATTTTTTTCTAGTTACTAGCTTCTGTAATGCAACTGTGAGTTCATTTTTTCCATAACCCATTTCAATGCATACTTAGGTGGTGGGCCATATTGCATAATCTTATAGGGGAAATTTAGACATGTAATGAAGTGTTCCTGTTTATGAAATTGTCACCATTGAATTATAAATAAGAACTTGTTCGTGCAACCTGAATGCATAATTATTTACATAGTGACCGTGTTTGATATGCTTCTCTAAGAGACCCAGGAAATTAGGTTGTACGGTGACAGCAGTGACAAGTATATAGGTATAAATTTCATATTTACAGCTTTACCTTTGTGATGGTTTATATAACATGACATTCATGTCTTTTTGGTTGTCAGAATGTTGTATTTTCAAGTTCTGAAGCTACACCTTTTTTTCCAAGTACTTTCTAGAATTCCCCGCCCAACTAAGCAGCTAGCAGCTTTATAATTAGAAAACCTGATCCGATTGATAACAACAGATTGAAAGTAGCAGTTATTTCATCCTTTATCAACTACAAACTGATGAAAAAGTAATGTTGGGAAAGCTGTTGTAGAAATCCTAAAGAGGCTTAGATAAGAGCCATGAGGAAACCTGAAGATCTTTGAATATCAGGATACCTAAAAATAGGTACCTGGATTAAAACCATTTTTCAATAATATACCCTTACTGTGTATTTCACCTAAATTTACTGTGTTTGTAAACTTTACTGTGCATTCTCTTGTTAACTGCAAATTACACGGAGGAGAATTCTTGCCAAATATGCAATGAGCAAGTAGAATGTGACGTTCCTTTGGGGTTTATTGCTTTAGAGTTGACAAAAAAAAAGAGCATTTGGGTTTGGGTGTTGCTATCAATGGTACTTACATGTATTTGTGAATATGTACCAACTAACATGTATAGTTTGCTTAAGGGAAGTTTCAGTGTGTGACTCCAGTTCACTTTTGAAGCAAACTGACAAATCTTTGAATCACTGCTTTTTTTTTTAATTAGCAAAAGGCTGCACTTTGTGTGTCTCATTATACTAGCTTTGCTATAAATAAAATATCACATTTGGCATTTTGACACTTGCCGTTGTATATATTGAGCAAAAAGGCAGCTGTTGACTTTTAATATAGATCTGTTCAACTAGGGACCATATTCTACTATAGTTAGAGATTAAACAGGAGTAGAAAAAAATGCAGTTGGGTGGGTCAAGTAAGAAAAAGGAAGAACAAAATTTCATTATTGCAATATATTCACAGTAAGTTGTTTACCTGGAACATGGTTGGGTCCAATTTCAGCCATAATAATAGAAGTTCTTTTCAAAAATAGGCCATGTTCAGATCAGTTCTGCTGACCAGGCCACTGACCTCCAAAGACAAAAATCTTTAAGGCCACTTAGACTGTCAAAGAGATATGACCATTTGATTTATAAGGTACCATCATTTTGATAAAAGAAATCTTTAATTTACTATGAATATTTTAAAAATCTTCCCATAGATATTCCCTATGCGATTGGACTTCATTCCAGACCATCTTGCAACAAATGCTATTGACGTATTTGTGGTCTGTAAGGAATCTGTACTGAAATAATCAGAGAGATTATGTTTAAGCAAATGAAAAAAGTCCTTGAGGTACCCTATACCCTGGGAAGATAAAATTGTATCTTGCATGTCTTACATCTTGTGAGTATGTACCAACATATGCATAGGATCAGGCAATCAGAGAGGAGGTGGAATTTGAGCTTAACAGATGATACATTTAATAATGAGTAATAAGGAAGACTTGGGTGGTTCTTGTTCTTGAAAAGGGAATGGCATGAGTAAAGGTAGAGAGGAGGCAGTGAAATTTCTATTCCAGTCCATTTCTCTGTATTGCAACTTACTTTATCTTTCTAAAGAACAAATAGAATAATAAATACTTGTATAGCATTTACTTTGTGACAGATTCTTTTCTAGACACTTTACATGTGTTAATTGATCCCCACAATGCCCCTGTGTAAGTGCTGTTATTTAGACAGCCTCATGAAAATACAGAGAAGTCACTTGCCTAATGTCACACAGTGGATCCTGGCTCTTAACTATTGCATGTGCTTGTACCAGAAACCTTCAGTGACTTCATCTTCCACAGGACAAAAGACACTCAAGGATTTTCACAATCTGGCTCCAACTTATAATACTTTCTGGCCTTAGATCCTGCTTTTTTCCCCGCATGAATGTACATTCTAGCCCCTCTGTATTACTTTCTGTTTCCTGTGTGTAATCTGTATTCTCATCTGTAATTCTTTGGTCCTCTCACTCTCTCCAGTCCCTGTTTTATCAGTATCCTACCCATCTTCCGAGCATATCAGTTGCTATCTTCATAAAACCTTTTTTGATCCCTTACCTAAAGTGATTTTCCAACCCCTTGGTAACACTTTGCACATTTTTTATGGTAGCATATCTGTGTCATGGTTATTTGTGTGGTACTTGCCCTATTTTCTAGTATAATTTTTTTGTAGTATAGATTTTTTTAAAGTTCTTTGAGAGCAGGGAATATGATTTGTTGATCTTTGTATCTTAGGCAGCATTCAGTCTAAGCTTGCACAGGGCAGGAAAGAGGAAATGTTATGGTTAACACTAAGATTTTGAACCTGGGCTAGGGAATAAAATTGGGAATTTAGAGAGTGAGGTGATTGTAAAAAGTGAGGAGTTGATTTAGACATGTTCTGTTTGAGGTGATAGTAGGATATGCAAGAAGAAAGGGACTAGAGCTCAGAAGACAGGAATATTTGGCACTCCCAGTCTTATCTCATTTTCACAAGTATGATACTTAAATTGCTACATATCAAATTAGCTGCATATCCATAGAATTCAGGCTTCTTTTTTTTAAAAAATGTATCAGTTGGGGCCAGGTGCGGTGGCTCACGCCTGTAATCTCAGCACTTTGGGAGGCCGAGGCGGGCAGATCAGCTGAGGTCGGGAGTTCAAGACCAGCCTGACCAACATAGAGAAACCCCATCTCTACTAAAAATACAAAATTAGCCAGGCGTGGTGGCACATGCCTGTAATCCCAGCTACTCAGGAGGCTGAGGCAGGAGAATCGCTTGAACCCAGGAGGCGGAGGTTGCAGTGAGCCAAGATCGTGTCATTGCACTCCAGCCTGGGCAACAAGAGCGAAAACTCCATCTCCAAAAAAAAAAAAAGTATCAGTTGGTTTTTATTTAGAAAATGAAGTCCAGCTACTATATAATCATTCCTGACTTTAATTTTTTTTTTTTTTTTTTTTGAGATGGAGTTTTGCTCTTGTTGCCCAGGCTGGAGTGCAATGGCTTGATCTCGGATCACTGCAACCTCCGCCTCCCGGGTTCAAGTGATTCTCCTGCCTCAGCCTCTCAAGTAGCTGGGATTACAGGCATGCGCCACCACGCCCAGCTAATTTTTGTATTTTTAGTAGAGACAGGGTTTCTTCATGTTGGTCAGGCTGGTCTTGAACTCCCGACCTCGGGTGATCCACCCGCATCGGCCTCCCAAAGTGCTGGGATTACAGGCGTGAGCCACCGCGCCCAGCCCTGACTTTAATATTATAAGATGAAACTTAATTTGTAGGTTGTTTTGTTGATTCTCTGGGTCAATACGGAAGTTAGATTTCTAGGCTAGCCCACAAGTCCATGTTGTAGTTGAAATACTTACTTCTGCAACAACAAAATAGTAGAAAGCAATACAGTTGCTTTACTATTTGCATTTTCAAAAGATAAAAAGGAACAAGAAAGTGCAGCTTATTTTTCTTATTCTTGATCGGTTTGACTTCAAAGCTTACAGCATTCCTCCTATGTGATATAGTTGTTCACTGAGATTCTTCTTATATATGTCAACAGTGTTTTGGGTTTTCTGGCCCTATCAGAGGAATTACGGAGATTGTATGTGTAAGAGGTTTCCTGAAGTGGAATAACCTGTGGTAGAGTTAACTCAGTAGAGCTGAGGAAGATACGTATGAGTGAATGCAAGTGCATATGATATGTGTAGTTTGCTGTGGTGGGGGTGGGTAGGGGATGGTGAGGAACTTGTAATGGGTAAATAATCTCTCCCATGAGGAAGCAAGATGAAATGGAAGAGGTTGGATCCAATGTTCCTCATCTGAGCCCACGGGAAGGGCCATTGGTCTGGTCTAGAATGGTTACTGCTCGTTGAGGGGACCTCTATGGTTGGATAGAGTAAGGAGAAAAACAGTATTTTGTATGCCAGTTTAAGTATGATAAGGTGCAGATTAAGTCTTTTATGTTGAAATCTGGGTTCTGATTCTGGCTTTCCCATGGTTGTTTTGTTTGTGCTTGAAAATTTACCTAAATTTTGTTATTCTGTATTTTCCCCCAACTGAAAAATAGTTCCTGTCCCCCTTCATCTTCATGAATATCCTCTTACTTGAAAATAAAAGTGAGTGTATATGATATGTTAAATTCTTAGGAAAGTATTTTATTCAGAAAGTTAAAAGAGTATGGGGGCTGGGCTCACACCTGTAATCCCAACACTCTGGGAGGCCGAGATGGGCAGATCGCTTGAGCTCAAGGAGTTCGAGACCAGCCTGGGCAACATGATGAAACCCTGTGTCTACAAAAAATACAAAAATTAACCCGGCGTGATGGCGTGTTCCTGTAGTCCCAGCTACTCAGGAGGCGTAGGTGGGAGGATCTCATGAGCCTGGGAGGTGGAGGTGGCAGTGAGCCGAGACTGGACCACTGCACTCCAGCCTGGGTGACAGAGTGAGACCCTGTCTCAAAAAAAAAATATATATATATAGGGGAGAAGTCAGAACTCAGTTCAAATTCTGGTTCTGTTGTTTACCAGCTGAGGGGCTTTGAGCATGTTTCTTGGCCTCGGAGCTATAGCTTTTTCATGTATAAATGGGGATAATACTTCTTACCTTGAAGGGTGGTTGTAAGAATTAAAGTTAATATATCTGAAACATCTACCACAGTACAGGCACACATGGTAACTGCTGTTATTGTGGTTAAGCAACTAAATGGATTAATCTCTTATCACATTTGATACATGGAACATAAACATTGCAGTTGATTGTTTGCCCACTATACAGTTACTGAAGGCAATCTGATGTTTTTAAAGTAGGATATATCATTGTTTTATCCTTGGCTGCCCGTATCACTTTTTTTTTTTTTCCATTAAAAAAAGTAGTCTCGCTATGTTGCCCAGGCTGGTTTCAAACTCCTCCTGAACTCAAGCAGTTCTCCCGCCCTGACCTCCCAAAGTGCTGGGATTACAGGCATGAGCCACTGCCCAGGCCCTGCCGGTATCACTTTCACGATGTACATTCTAACCATGCCCCTGATACCTGGATTGCTATCTTCTTCCAGCTCAGTGCACTAAGAGTATCAGACAGCCTATCCAAATGTTTATATGCAGGTGCTGTGCTGCATATCAAAGGTAATGTGTATTTGGGGATTTTTCAAGTGTGATGACAGATTGTACTAAGCCACTAGCATCCTTCAACCTTCCTACACTAGCCAACATTTGCTAACTGGGTTATGGATGTAATCTGTAGTCCTAGGGTAGATTTCCCTGACTGGCTAGGTATGTAAACCATAACCCTAACCTCATTAGTTGAGGTTAGTCACTATCATGGACTGAATGCACCCCTCCTTCCAAATTCACATGTTGAAATCCTGACCCCCGATATGGTAGTATTAGGCAGAGGGGATTTGGGGAGGTGATTAAAAAGAGGTCTAGCCCACTTTGTGCTATATGAAGATACAGTGAGAATTTACCAGTTTGCAACCTAGAAGACCCTCACCAGAACCGGACCTTGCTGGCACCCTGATCTCAGATTTCCAGCCTCCAAAAATGTAAGAAATGAATTTTAATTGCTTTTAAGCCACCTGGTCCTTTGTTACAGCAGCCCAAATGGACTAAGACAGTAACCAAGTGTCAGTCAAGGGTTGTAAATGTAAAGGATGATTGATAATCACAGGTAGCCTACAAGATAATTTATGGTATAATCTTATTCATCTTCTTATGATGAAACGTAAAATGTGAGACTCTGTTTTTTTATTCTGTAGACAAAATACTTTGGGTTTAAAAATTTTTTAAATTGAGTCACTTAAGAAACCATAGCAAAGAATCTTACTAAGACAAATGTAGACAGTCATATATCAGCCTACTAAATCACCTTTTAGACTCCCACTCTGGATAAGATTTAGTGGATTAGGATTAGAAGACAAACCCTTTTATGTTGATATGTTGCTAATATAGGACTAATCCTAGAAACCTCATACTCTTTCTGAGGTTCTTACCATTCAGTAGGTAGCTATTATCGTGTAACCATTTAGAATTGCACCATTAGTTAAGTAAGATGTTGGCTTTAAGTGGACCACCCTGTATTGAAGATTTAATTATCCTTTATTGTGACTATCTTGACAGTTATCAGGGATGTTGGATACATTATGGGTTTTCCCTACTGTGCTATTTCTTTTATTTTTTGCCTCTGTAAGTTGCTGGGCACTGCTTTTTTTCTCTTTTTATTAGCCTAGAATTAACTAAAAGATTGTATCTCTTATCCATCACCTCCTACTGTGCTCTGCCCTTCCTCTCTAGGAGCCTCTTGTGGCAAATCTCCAACTTGGCCATTCAAGCAGTTCATACCCAGATGAAAAAGTTCAAGGTACAGATATCAGCCATTCTCAGTGGTCAGTTTCCATTGTCTTTACCAATAGCTCTCTGCTGTGCTCAGCTCCTGTTTCTCTGAGCTTGGGGTTTTACTGAGTTTTTTTTAGAAAATCCGTCAACTTATCTAATGAAGAAGACTCTTGTCTTTTGACTGTATTGATACAGGCTACAGAGGTACTTACTCCTTTTCTGTGAACCTGTTTTCTCTTGTATAGATTCAAGAAATTCTTCAGTGATTCTGCTTTGTTGATGGTATTCTTGTCATTTTCTCATGCTGCTATAGAATTTTGTACAAATTATATATATATATATATATTTTCTTAAGAAACTTAGTTTATCCAACAAAAGGACTATAACACTATTTTACATTCTTAATTCTGATATAAAGCACATTTTCAAATTAGTTGCCAACCTTTGTTTTAAAATTATATTGAAATCCTGGATCTAGATCTTCTAGACAGTTTCTTTGGTATATTATATTGGTCATTTCAGTGGGGTTTGGAGAAGACAGGAGAATAAATTGACTCACTTTACCTCCCAGCAATGTTTAATGAATGTTGATTGAATGAGTGAAATTAGTGGTTAGGTAGAGCAGTTGATTTGGCCTAAATAATATTTACAAATATGTATAGGAGATTTAGTCTACAGCAGTTGATTATCTTTGAAAACTTTTTTTTTTTTTTGAGACGGAGTCTTGTTCTGTCACCAGGCTGGAGAGCAGTGGTATGATCTCGGCTCACTGCCACCTCCACCTCCAGGGTTCAAGTGATTCTCCTGCCTCAGCCTCCTGAGTAGCTGGGACTATATAGGCTTATGCCACCACACCCAGCTAATTTTCGTATTTTTAGCAGAGACGGGGTTTCACCATGTTGGCCAGGATGGTCTCGATCTCTTGACCTTGTGATCTGCCCACCTCAGCCTCCCGAAGTGCTGGAATTACAGGCATGAGCCACTGCGCCTGGCCGAAAACATTTTTAATAGTGGGAAAGTTATGATACAATAATTTTCTTAAGGTCACACATTTAAGTAACCAGAAAAGGTTTAAGTTTTATGGCTCCTATTTATGGCAGGGACATATGTGTAATCAGTTAGAATGCAGGAGACATTATATTAAAGTGGCTAACAGGACAGACTGTAGAGCCTAGGTTCAAATTCTACCTGTTCTGTCTGGACATGACGGTTCATGTGCCTGTAATCTGAGCACTTTGGGAGGCTGAGATGGGAGGATCGCCTGAGCCCAGGAGTTTGAGACCAACCTGGGCAACATAGCAAGACTTCATCTCTACAAACATTTTTTTTTTTAATTGCTAGTCATGATGATGTGTGCCTGTAGTCCTAGCTACTCGGGAGGCTGAGGCAGAAGGATCGCTTGAGCCTAGGAGTTCAAGGCTGCAGTGAGATATGATTGTGCCACTGTACTCCAGCCTGGGCAATGGAACAAGACTCTGTCTAAAAAAAAAAAAAAAATTCTATCTGTTCAGCTTACTAGCAGCATGATTTTGGGCAACATACCTCAGAGGTCTGTTTCATGTATATAAAACACTTACAGTGCTTGGCACATAGCACTATGTAAGTGTCAACTAAAGTTAATCAGACTAACTTTTGAAGATCCTTAGCTATAGTCTTTTCGGGAGCCATAGGCAGTTATCTTAAAAATTGATCATAAATACTTTATTGTAATAAATATTAAGTTGTAGATATAAATGTTACCATACCGATTCTACTGTTTACATATAAATTCTAGTCCATGGACAACTGGCCACAGTGTTTACCTCATATGAATAGTACCACTACTGTAAAGAAGAGTAGTCTTACTGTTGAAAAAAGTAAATTTCAATATTGAATACAAATTGAAATCAGTGAGCCTAACTGTACATCAAATTAATCATGTAACCATCAAGGAAAAAAGGAATTATCAAGTAACTTTTCAACATAAAACTCTGACTGTGCTCTCTTAATGATGGGATATAACCTAAGGACAAAAAGAACTGCAAAGAAATACTGATCTTAGTAGGTAACAAACCCCCTACAACAGCTCTGCAGGGGAAATGTCCCCATTTTGCTGTTGAAGAAGCATATTCAAAGAAGGGAATGATTTACCTGGCATTAAATGATGCTGGAGTCATACCACACTGCTGTTTTTATAGTGTGCTGTTTCTGATGAGTCCTGTTTTAACCATCCTGGTTTGTTTAGTACCTCTCTCTTATTAACACCCTCTGTAATTATTAGAACCACATTTTCAAGAACTTAGTAACCATTTGAACCCCCTTTTTTCAATAATTTCATTCCATGTAATCAGGCCTAGTTTTTTGAAATCTGCTTTCCTAAGGGGTATTTGACCTACCCATTCTTTACAAATTCTGAGATGACCTAGATGACCTAACAGCTTTTTTCCTAATTCCTCCTGCTTCACCAATAACTAGTTCCTGGAATATTAGCTAGTGTCCAAGTCACAATTATTTATGGTCTGTATGATAACTAAGTCTGGAAGTTGGATATGAGAGAATTGCATTCTTTTTTTTTTTTTTTTTTTTGGAGACAGGATCTCACTCTGTCGCCCAGGCTGGAGTGCTGTGGTGCGATTTTGGCTCACTGCAACCTCCACCTTCCGGGTTGCAGTGATCCTCCTGACTCAGCCTCCTGAGTAGCTGGGATGACAGGCACGTGCTACCAAGCCCAGCTAATTTTTGTATTTTTAGTAGAGACAGGGTTTTACCATGTTGGTCAAGTTGATCTCAAACTCCTGACCTCAGGTGATCCGCCCACCTCGGCCTCCCAAAGAGCTGGGATTACAGGCATGAGCCACCGCGCCCAGCCTGAGAATTGCATTCTTAAAGACATTAATCTGTTTGTAATTTAGGATGTCTTATAGTGATTTGGTGGTGAGACATACGGGAAGGGGTGGTAAAGAGTGCAATTGTTGGACCTGTGCTTTTTACGTGAAATAGCGGAAATGAGTATTACTTTACAAACTGGTTTTGGAAATGATTCATTCATTAAAGAAAGCAAATAAAAATAGCAATAAAACTAGGACATAATAACTGGTTGTTAAATGAACTCTATGTCCTTTGAAAAGGAGATGATTAAGGAAGAAAATATGTAAATAACTTGGGTACACAAGCTGCTATTTGAAATTCTGCTGAGTAAAAATGATAGGAGGAGTTAAACTGTTCAGGAATTTAGCTCTTGCTTAAAGTATTCGTGTAGCAAGTCTCTGTTTTTTTTAAATTACAGTGTTTGAAGATCCTCTTCTTGAATTAACAGAATCAAAGTGAAATTCCATTTTTTAAATCACTCCTAAACTGTCTTTAGTGTGTGGCTTTAAAATATAATTCTATGTAATATACTAGAGAAATTCTCAAGAAAATCTAGGACTAGGATTTCAATATAATTTTAAAAGGAAGTAAGGTGGGCAATCAGATTAATTTGAAAAAGTGCTTTATATCACTAGTAAGAATGCAAAACTGTGTTATAGTGCTTTCATTAGGTTAACTGCGTTTCTAAACACCTGGAGAAAATTATTTTAGTATTTTCTGTCCAAAATAGCGGTTTGTGGAAAATGCGCCACTTGTCTGGGGAAATCAGTGTTTATGAGACATCTTTGTTAATGTTTCTAAAGTTTTAACTCTCTGGACAAACATTCAAGAAAAATTTAACCGTTATACAAAAATATTCCTACATAGTAAACTTTGAGCACACCTGTGGAATTAGACTTGGTTCATGTTCTAACCAACTCCTTCTAGCTGGTACCTTGTCATTTAGCCTGTTACTGAGTTTCCTTATTGAATTGTTTTGAGAATTAACTTGAGCACACATAAAGCACTTAATACTACACCCAGCACTAAGAAAGCACTCAAAATATAGTGGCAGCTATTATTATTTATCCTTCTTCCTCTCCGTTTTCTCCTCCAGATTTATGAGTGATAGGGACAGAAAATTTCTTATCAGAGTGCCCTTTATTTTAATCTCAAGGTTTTGAAGTAGAATTTAGGACAAAAATAGATTTTTCTGAACCAAAACACTGAAGATTCTGTTTGGGAAGTGAGAAAGCAAGCTGCTAAACACCTACTCTACTTGTGCAGTGACAAGAAAATTGAATTTCTCATTCGTTTCCTGCCCCTAGCCCTTGCCTTCAGTTTCTCTGCCTCAGTATGAAAGTATCTGTATTCCTTTGGGGACAGTTGCCTCACTGAAGCCACAAAGAGCAGTCTCCAGGAGTTGTGTGGCAAGCTAACTATAACCTTTTGGAAGAACATCTGGATACAGTTTTCATTTTTAAAATGTATCGTTTTTTAGGTCATTAGATTTATATAGTTCAAATTTATTGGTGTCAGTTCTCTTCCTAGGTTGTACCATCCATTTTGAAAAGATGTATGTCTTTTATCCAGAAGATGTAAAGTATATAGGGTCATAATCAATAAAAATCTCTATCTTCAGTTAAACTACTGGAGTTTTCCCTTCTTCAAGTTTTCAGAATATAATCATTATACCAAACACACGTGTGCGTATGCATATATATCCATCCATACAAATATAACTTTCCTTTATTATGATTACTCAGTTGCAAGCAGTGTAGAAGTTATAATATTTGTTTTATTATAATCATTTCAGCAATATGGATAGGGCTACTGGACCCTGGAATTTGAAAAGAGAGGATCTTTTTTATGTTTTTTTTTTTTAATTTTGATAAAATATGCATAACGAAATTTACCATCTTAACCATTTTTAAGTGTACAGTTCAGTGGCATTAAGTTTATTCACATTGTTTTACCACCGTCACCCCGATCCATCTGTAAAGCTCTTTTCATCTTGCAAAACCAAAACTCTACACCCATTAAACAACTTAAAAAGAGAGGATCTTAACATCAGAATCACATAATTACTACTCTATAAACATCTGATGGGTGTTTACTTCTAAAACAACTGCTTTCTTTTTTAATTGACCTTTCACTATACTTAGCCTCTTCTAGGAATTATTATATGTAATCTACTCAGTCATATTTTCTTTAATTTTTCTCTTTCTACAACTTTACTTTTCCAAAGGTGATGTAAATTACATGTTTTATGTTCTCCCATGTTTATACTCTACTTAACCTTCCCTCACTCCCATAGGCTTGATGAGTGTATATTGTCAGAGCATTATTTCCTGTACCCACTGCTATGTTTGTTTGTTTGTTTATTTATTTTGAGATGGAGTTTTGCTCTTGTTGCCCAGGCTGGAGTACAATGGTGCAGTCTTGGTTCACTGCAACCTCCACCTCCCAGGTTCAAGCGATTCTCCTGCCTCAGCCTCCTGAGTAGCTGGGATTATAGGCACCTGCCACCATGCCCGGCTAATTTTTGTGTTTTTAGTAGAGACGGGGGTTCACCATGTTGGCCAGGCTGGTCTCGAACTCCTGACCTCGTTATCTGCCTGCCTCTGCCTCCCAAAGTGCTGAGATTACAGGTGTGAGCCACCACGCCTGGCTATGTTTATATTTTTAAAAGTCCTAAAAGTCAGATGGTTTAATGTACATACATTCTTGACATTTTAAATACCTCCAATTTTGAAAGCATTCTTTCTCTGGGCTGTTAGATACATGTATGATTCATAAAATGAAATAGGGTTGCCTGTAGTTATTTCTTGAGTTGCCATTTAGAGTCTTCTGGCCTTGTCATCTGTCTAGGGAAGAAATCCAGCATACCTTACTGTCATGTATGTCATTGTAGATCTTATAGCTTCAGAAAATTCTCTTTCCTTTTCTTCAGAATTCACCAGTTTTAAAGCTTTTTCCTCTCCTTCAATTTTGTCACCAAAATGTGGCTTTGCAGTCACTTGACCTGTAACTTTACACACTTAAGTCTGCTAGACAGAAAAATGCTGTTGCATTCTTAAAAGCTTTTAAGCAGTTATTTGGACTTTTAGTAGAATTAATTAACTAATTTATTTATTTATTTATTTAGAGACAGGGTTTCTCCCTGTTGCCCAGCCTGGAGTACAGTGGTGCAATCATAGCTCACCACAGCCTTGACGCCCTAGGCTCAAGTGATCCTCCCATCTCAGCCTCTCCCATAGCTGGGACTACAGGCATGGACACTACCATGCCCAGCTAATTATTTTGCTTTTTGTAGAGGTGGGGTTTCACCATGTTGTCCAGGCTGCTCTCAAACTCCTGGGCTCAAACAGTCTTCCTGCCTTGACCTCCCGAAGTGCTGCGATTACAGGCGTGAGCCATGGCATCTGGCCAGAATTTCTGAGTTACCAGATTGCTAAACAACTTCACAGAAAAATTAATAATAGTCTCAAAATATTGTTTTCTTCTGACTCCTCTCACCATAAATTCATGCTTCTCCACTCTACTCTCCCCAGCAGATTCTGGAAGTTTCCTAGCAAAATTGCATATTGAAGCACATTCAAACTTAAGGTTGAAGAAATCTACACAAAGGACATCATTGTGTTATTTTAGACTCTAGGTGGAGTCTGTACTATTTGTTCTACCTTCACCCTTATTTAGAATTGATAAGAATGCACTGAGCCTTAGTACTCTCTGGGGTCTGACTCTGCAGGCAGATAGATATTCACTGGGATCCAGAACCTATCATACATCACTGTAGAAAAAGATTCAAATACAGTCAACGTATTTGAAAATCAAAACCGTATTTTCCAAACAGTCAAGTTAAAAGTGTATGTCTGCACAAAGCCTATCCAGTTAAGACAGTGTGTGTCACTATTTTTCCTTTTGCAAACTTCCTTAGTGTCTGAACATTAAGTGCATATTTCTTAGGCAAATTATGCATCAGTACTTTTCTCTTCACAATTAAATATTTCCAGCAGTTTGGGACTCATTTTTAACTATTCCTCTCCCTGTTTTTTGAGACAGAGTCTCACCCTGTTGCCCAGGCTGGATTGAAGTGGCGCAATCTCGGCTCACTGCGACCTCTGCCTCCCAGGTTCAGGTGATTCTCAACCTCCCAAGTAGCTGGTATTACAGGCATGCTCACCACACCTGGCTAATTCTTCTATTTTTAGTAGAGACGGAGTTTTGCCATGTGGGCCAGGCTGGTCTTGAACTCCAGGCTTCAAGTGATATGCCCACCTTGGCCTCCCAAAGTGCTGGGATTACAGGCATGAGCCACTGCACCCAGTCTTTTTTTATTATTATTATTTTAAGCATTCTTCTGAGCTGACAAATGATTATCAAAGTGATTCTGATTTATGATTAGTTTATCCCATTTTTTGAAAAGTATGTTTTACCTTCTCTAGGCCAACCTGCAATAAATAAGACCCAGTTTTAGTGGGAGATACAATTAAACAGTTGACCGGAAGTCAGTAAGAAGAGTGCTAAAATAGTAGTTAAGTGCATATTGCAGTTGAAGCATATTAGATGTGCCTCTAACTCAGGCATGGAAGGTTAGAAACGACTACATAGAGGAATGACATCTAAGCCAAGATGTAAAGAACAGATAGGATTTGGCTAGAGAAGGAAGGGCCGTAAGAATGTTCCAGGTAGAAGGAAGCCTCAGAGGTTTAAAAGAATATATTACATGTAGGGGTCCTGGAAGCTCAGTGTAACAGGAGGAGTTTGAGGGAAGGAGAGGCATCAGATGACTCTGGATGGGGAAACAGGGACTAGGTAATGAAGAGCTATAATGAAATATAATTCCACTTTTCTTTTTAAAACAGATTTATTGAGGTATAATTCACATCATACAGTTTACCCCTTTAAAGTGTACATTTCATTGTTTCTTTAGCATATTCACAGTTATACAATCATCACCACAGTTGATTTTAAAACATTTTTGTCACCTCAAAAAGAAAACCTGTACCTTTTAGCTAGCACCCCTCCAACTACCCTAGTCCTAAGTAACTACTAATCTACTTTCTGTTTCATACAGTTTACCTATTTGGATATTTCATATAAAGGAAATGATAACGTGGTCTTTTGTGACTGGCTTCTGTCACTTAGCATAATGTCAAGGTTCATACATATTGCAACATGTATCAGTACTTCATTTTTATTACCAAATGATATTTCATTGTATAGATATACCACATTTTATTTTTCCATTCATCAGTAAGTAGACATTTGGGTCCTTTCTACTTTTTGTGACTATTACAAATAACGCCTCTGTGAACCATGTACAGGTTTTTGCATGGACATACATTTTCATTTCCCTTGCATATATACTTAGCAATGAAATTGCTGAGTCATACAGTCATTGTATCTTTAACTTTTTGAGGAACTATCAGACTGTTTTCCAAAGTGGTTGTACCATTTTCCATTTCTGTTACCAGTATAGGAGGGTTCCAGTTTCTCCACATCCTCACCAGTACTTGTTATTTGTGTTTTTGATTCTAGCCATCCTGTTGGGTATGAAGTAGTTTCTCTTTTGGTTTTGATGCGCATTTCCCTGATTACTAATGATGTAGCGCATCTTTCCATATGCTTATTGGCCATTTCTGTATCTTCTTTGGATAAAAGTCTATTCTGATCCTCTACCCTTTTCTTTTTTTTTTTTTTTTTTGGTGAGAGATTCTCACTCTGTCACCCTGGCTAGAGTGCAGTGGAGCAATCTCGGCTCACTGCAATCTCTGCCTCCCAGCTTCAAGTGATTCTTGTGCTTTAAGCCTCCGGAGTAGGTGGGATTACAGGTGCATGCCACCATGTCCAAGCTAATTTTTGTGTTTTTAGTAGAGATGGCTTTTTGCCATGTTGGCCAGGCTGGTCTCGAACTCCTGGCCTCAAGTGATCCACTCGCCTTGGCCTCCCAAAGTGCTGGAATTACAGGCATGAGCCACTGCACCTGGCCCTCTACCCATTTTTAAATTGGATTACTTGTCTTTAATATTGAATTGTAACAGTTCTCTTTTCTTTTGTTTTTGAGACTAGGTATCACTCTGTTGCCCAGGCTGGAGTGCAGTGACCCCAATCATAGCTCACTGCAGCCTCGAATTCCTGGGCTCAAGGTATCCTGCTACCTCAGCCTCCCAAGTAGCTGGGACTACAGGTGCACATTACTCTGCCCATCTAACTTTTTAATTTTTTTATAGAGATGGGGTCTTGCCATCTTGCCCAGGCCAGTCTTGAACTCATGGCCTCAAGCAGTCCTCTTACCTCGACCTCCCAAAGTCTCGGCATTACAGGTGTGAGCCACCTTGCTTGGCCTGAGTTAATTTTATATATGGTGTGGGTAGGGGTCCAAACTCATTCTTTTGCATGTGAATATCCAATTGTCCCACTGCTACTTATCAAAAATACTATTCTTTCCCAATTGAATAGTCATGTCACCCTTGTTGAAAATCAACTGATCATAAATGTGAGAGTTTATTTCTGGAATCTCAAGTTTTTTTCCATTGATCTATGTCCTTATACCAGTGCTACATTATCTTGATTACTATAGCTTTGTAGTATTATAGGTTTTGAAATTGAGAAGTTTGAATCCTCCAACTTTTCTCTCTTTAAAAAATTCTATGGCTATTCTGAGTCCCTTGCATTTCCATATAAATTTTAGGATCAGCTTATCAATTTCTGCAACAACAATGACAAAAACCCAGCTGGGCTTTTGGTAAGGATTGCATTGAATCTGTAGATCAACTTGGAAGTATCGTCTAAGTCTTCTAATCTATGAGTATGAAATGTCTTTCTATTTATTAAATCTTTAGTTTCAGCAACATTTTATAGTGTTCAGTGTACAAGTCTTGTACTTTTTTTGTTTGTTTTTTTGAGAGGGAGTCTCACTCTGTCGCCCAGGCTAGAGTGCAGTGGCACGCTCTTGGCTCACTGCAACCTCGGCCTCCTGGGTTCAGGCAATTCTCCTGCCTCAGCCTCCTGAGTAGCTGAGATTACAGGCACCCGCCATGATGCCCAGCTCACGCCTGTAATCCCAGCACTTTGGGAAGCCGAGGCGGGCAGATCACGAGGTCAGGAGATCGAGACCATCCTGACTAACCTTGAAACCCCGTCTCTACTAAAAAAAAAATACAAAAAATCACCCGGGCATGGTGGCAGGTGCCTGTAGTCCCAGCCACTTGGGAGGCTGAGGCAGGAGAATGGCATGAACCCAGGAGGCGGAGCTTGCAGTGAGCCGAGATGCACCACTGCAGTACAGCCTGGGCGGCAGAGCGAGACTCCATCTCAAAAAAATAAAATAAAATAAAAAACATGCTCACAATACTTACATTAGCCTATAGTTGGGCAAAATCATCTAACACAAGGCTATTTTATAATAAAGTGTTGAATATCTCTTGTAATTTATTGAATATGGCACCAAATGTGAAAAACGAACTGGTTTTATAGGTACTCCAGTACATACTGGTTTTGCACGATGGTCAAGTTGAAAAACTGTAAGTCACGGACCACGGGGACACTCTATGTACATTTAGAACTAATCTAAGTTCACTTTCAAATGACACTATACCACTTAACAAGTAGTACAATTACTTTATAACAGAATATTCCCAATTCCTTTGTCCTCTTCCTTATTGCTGTCATTCATTTTACTTATCCATAAGCTGTAATCACTGACACATTGTTGCTATTATTTGTTTTGAACAAACTGTTGTCTGTCAGTTAGGAATAAGAAAAAGATTTTATTTTGCCTTCATTTATTCCTTCTGTAATGTGCTTTCTTTCCTTATGTAGGTCCAAATTTCTGACTGAAATCATTTTCTTTCTCTCTAAAGATTATCTGTTATCATTTCTAGCAAGACAAACTTTCTGGTGAAGAATTCTCTCAATTTTTGTTTGAGAAAGTCTTTATTTCTGTTTCATTTTTGAAAGATAATTTTACTGGATACAGAAGTCTAGGTTCATGTTATTTTTCTTTCAACACTTAAAATATTTCACTCCTCTCTCCTTGCTCGTGTGATTCCTGATGAGAAGTCTCATGTAATTCTTATCTTTGCTCTTCTGTAGGTAAGGTAGTTTTTTCTCTGGCTTTTTTCAGTATTTCCTCTTTATCTTTGATTTTCTACAATTTGAATATGATATACCTGTGTGTAGATTTTATCTCCCTTGATGTCTTTGGGGTTTAGAAACTGTTTTTTTTGTTTGTTTTTTTGGGTTTTTTTTTTTTTTTTTTTTTTTTTTTTTTAAAGACAGGGTCTCACTCTGTTGCCCAGGGCGGAGTACAGTGGTTGCCCAGTCTCAGGTGATTCTCCCACCTCAGCCTCCCAGGTAGCTGAGACTACAGGCATGCGCCACCATACCCAGCTAATTTTGTTTGTATTTTTTGTAGAGACGGGGTTTTGTCATGTTGCCCAGGCTGGTCTCAAACTCCTGGCCTCAGGTGATCCATCCTCCTTGACCTCCCAAAGTGCTGGGATTACAGGTGTGAGCCACGGCGCCTGGCCTAGACTTCTTAAATAAGGCCTGAGATCTGCAGTTCTTTGAGTTATATTCCCCTTTGATCATACAGGAGTCCTGTCAATATGAATGACGGTAAGGTACATGGGGAGGGGAAGAGTTCTATAATCCTATGAGGAGATCTCAGTCTTTGAGTGAGCCTGTGCCCTGGGCTGTGATCTTCACAAGTGCTTCTTGGTGCCTTGCCCCACTTAGGTGAGACAGGAAAGCTAGAGAGGGCTGGAGTTGGGTATTCAGTTCAGCTCCGGTGAAATAGTTTCTTTTCAGGCACGCCTTGTTGAAAACAGTGTGCTCTGGGCTTATTTCAAAATGACTTATTTCCCCTTTCCCCTGCCAGAAGCAGGAGGGGATTTTTTTTTTTTTTTTTTAATCTTCACTGTGAGGACCTCATAGGGCTCCTAGAGATAAAATGCAAAAATGTGCCCTCACTCTCCTTGCTCAAGCCTGGGCCCCTCTGGAATTTTTAACTCTCAGATTTAATCATACTGAGCCTCAGGAATTCCTCTTACAGGTTAGATTTTCCTACCTTCATTCAGGTTTCTGTGGAGGTTTTGAGGTTTCCGCACCTATAACTTGTGATTTTTTGTATCTACCTGTTTGTCTTTCCAATTTTGCAGGCAGCGGTTTGCCCTGTGTCTTCAGTTCTCTGATGGATTTAAGAAGAGTTGTTTATACTGATTTTGTTCAGCATTTTTCTTATTCCATGAATGAGGATGACAACTTGTAACCTCCTTACATGCCTGACTGGAAATCGGAAGTTACCTGCTTAGTTAAATTTATTCCTAGATTTCTTGTTTTGGGGTTTTGTTGTAGTTGTTACTTTTTTGTAGTTGTTTGCTTGCTGTTATATTATAAATGCATTGCCTTCTTAGTTTTTGGATTTCTCACTGCTAGTGTATAGGAATACAATTAATTTTTATATATTGGTCTTGTATCCTGCAATCTTTCTAAGCTTATTAGTTCTAATAATGTTTTAAAGAATTTGTTTTTGCGCTTAATTGCTCTAGATGTTACCTCCAGTACATGTCGAATAGAATTTGGAAAAGTAGAAATCCTTGTCTTTTAAATTTTATTTATTTATTTACTTATTTATTTTTTGAGACAGAGTCTCGCTCTCTCTCCCAGGCTACAGTGCAGTGGCCCAATCATGGCTCACCGCAGCCTTGACATCCTGGGCCAAGTGATCCGCTTACCTCAGCCTCTCGAGTAGCTGGGAACCATAGGTGCACACCACCATGCCTGGCTAATTTTTGTATTTTTGTGGAGACAGGGTCTCCTGATATTGCCCAGACTGGTCACAAACTCCTGGGCTCAGGAGATCCTCCCGCCTCAGCCTCCCAAAGTGCTGGGATTACAGGCATGAGCCACTGCGCCTGGCCTAAAATTTTTATTTGTTTTTTGGTTTTTAGGGTTTTTTTAGAGGCAGGGTCCTGCTCTGTCACTCAGGCTGGAGTGCAGTGGTCCAATCACAGCTAATTGTAGCCTTGAACTTCTGTGCTCAAGTGATGCTCCTATCTCCGCCCCACGAGTAGCTCGGACTACAGGTGTGCACTACCGTGCCCAGCTAAGTTTTAAATTTTTGTAGAGACAGCATCTCACTGTGTTGCCTAGGCTGATCTCCAGCTACTGGCATCAAGGTATTCCCCCACCCCCACTTGGCCTCCCAAAGCACTGGAATTACAGGTGTAATTCTATACCCAGCCACAAATTTAGTGTTTAACAAACTGCCAAATTGTTTTCTGAAGGGCCTTTTACACTGTGTTAAGAATTTGGACCCCATTGTAAGGGCAGTAGGAGGCTATTTTAATATGAATCCTGAATTTAATATTTTGAATTTGAAGAGGTTGTCAAACCAGAGAATCTGCCTAGTGGGCAGGTGAAACTCATAAGTCAGACTAGGATTGGAGATACAGAATGAAAAGTCATCAGCCTATGACTGATTTTGGAAGCTATTGTAGGAATATTTTCCAGGGAGAGTAAGAAGAGTAAGGAGAAACAAGAGAACCCAGGAAAGAACCCTGAAGGTCACCAGCATTTTAAGGATGCTGAGAAAAAGCTAGACTCAAGAGGAAAACCAGCCAGGCATGTTGGCTCGTGCCTATAGTCCTAGCTACTGGAAAGGCTGAGGTGGGAGGATCACTTGAACCCAGGTGTTCAAGGTTGCAGTGAGCTATGGACTACACCACTGCACTCCAGTCTGGGTGACAGAATGAGACTTGGTCTCTAAAAAGGAAAACGAAACAAAAATTTGATACTATAGAAGCCACGGGAAAATGTATTTGCAAGAAGAAAGAAGTGGTTGGCAGTCTTGGCCAAAAAGGAATTAAGGTATGAAATCAGTTTCTCCAACTATGCTCTCACAACACGGAAAACTTCTGTGACCAAGTGTGTGTTTTTCCTGCACTCACCAAGCAATTCTACGGCAAGTATCAGCTGGGTGTCCTGTAATTCAACTCAGTTCTGTTGCCATCTACCTGGCATATAGATCCCATAGATTGAGGGGTCAAACCTACAAGCTGCCCCCAATCCTAAGCCAGTTGCAAGCCTCGGGTTGTTTTTACCTGTGCTTCTGATCAACTGGTTAGAAATCAACTTTCCCATCACCTCCTCCTCAGTTTCAACTACTTTGCTGGGACAGCTCACAGAACTCAGGGAAATACTTACTTACCTTTACTGGTTTATTATGAAGGATACTACAAAGAATACAGATGAAGAGATGAATAGGGCAAGGCATGTGGGAAGGGGCGGGAAGCTTCCGTGCCCTCTCCTGGCATACCACCCTCCAGGAAGCTCCATGTGTTTAGCTACCCAGAAGCTCTTTGAGCCCAATCCTTTTGGGGTCTTGTGGAAGCTTCATTACATAGGCATGATTGATTAAATCCTTGGCCATTGACGAGCAATTCAACCTTTAGCCCCTCTCCCTTACCTGGATGTTGGCAAGGTGGGACTGAAAGTCCCAGTCTTCTAATCATGCCTTGATCTTTCCCATGACCAGCCCCCATCCTGAAGCTACATAGGGGCTGCCAGCCACCAGCCATCTCATTAGCTACAAAAGAAACTCTCATCACTCTGGAAATCCCAGGGATCTCAGGGGCTGTGTTGGGAAGCCTGATGAAAATCAAATATTTATTTCACAGTATAACAAGATGAAATTGAAAAGTACATTAGTCTTAAAGAGATTGTTAATAGCCTTGGAGAGAGACGTTTCAGAGAAGTGGTAAAGTAGGAGCCTCATTCACAGTGGGTTGCAAAATAACTAGTAGGGAGAGTAAGACAACAGTGAAGATGGAATTTTGCCTGTGCAAGGGATAGTGAGGTTAGTCAACATCCATCGTAATGAGAAGGAGCCAGCAGAGAGGGAGGGATTGATAATGCACCAAAGTTGATAGATCAAGGACCCTAATAGTACCAGAGTGGTAAAGCATAACAGAGGGATAGATTTTAGGAGACAAGAAACACTTTGTGACATGAGGAAAGGAAGTGAGGACCAATGAAGATGAAGTTAGGTTACAGATAATGGTGGTAGGAAATTGAGGGAGTCCACCTCTGTGACTTATAGAGATAACAAGAAGGGTCACTTGCTAGGAGTGAAATGGGAGTGATAATACTGGTAGGAAGTTTGAAAAGAGTATATATTTTAAAAATGGTTGAAAAGCTACTGTACAGAATAAGAGAGAGCCAGCTAAAAAAACAGATTTCTGGGTTGTATTGAGGGGCTAGTTGGGTCCATAAAGCATAAATTTTTTAATGATGCCAATCTTACAGTTATGTACTTTTATCCAGCAGAGTTTAGTAGTCTGGGTAGAGATGTGGGAAAGGAGACCATTGTGTTCATCCAAAACTGACATGGGAGAAAGCAATGACATGGGAGAAAGCAATGAATGAACTAAGCATAGTGCTCTGTAATAGACATTGAAGTCAGGTCTCAGGTCTAATCTTGACTGCTTAGTGAGTTAGGCAGATTACTTAACCTTCTCTCAGCTTCAGTTTCCTAATAATCATACTGAATCATATCAGTTTTCTAATCATAATCATCTATTCAGGCAGATTATTCAACCTTCTCTAAGCTTCAGTTTCCTAACAATAATCATACTGAATCATATCAGTTTTCTAATGATAATAATCTGTTCTCAGTGATGGGAATTAAATGGACAAGTGAACTCCTTAACGCATAGTTTGGGATACATGATACATGTCAATAAGTAGCAGTTTTTAACATTATTTGTGACCCAATTCTGTCACTTATAAGCTAGGTGACCTTAGGCAAGTTTCTTTCCTTTTTATCTATAAAAAGGAAATTATAATACTTGTTAGGGATTTTCAGCTGGGTATATTTTGAGGAAAAGATGTCAAGCTCTACGCCTGATACAGCCTTTAACAACTCAGTAAATGCTAGTTGAAGCAGAATCTGTAAGGAATTTTTTAGAAAATTAGGTTGGAAAGTTAGGTTTGGAATTTTGGCCTTTGTCTTATCATTAGTAGGGTATCTTTAAAAGTTCATGAGCAGGCTGGGCATGGTGGCTCATACATGTCCTAGCACTTTGGGGGGCCAAGGTGGGAGGATTGCTTGAGGCCAGGAGTTCGAGACCAGCCTGGCCAACATAATGAGTCCTTGTCTCTTACAAAAAAAGAATTCATGAGCCAGGAGATAACATAAAAGTGGTATTTTAGAAATATGCATTTATAAGTAGTGTGGTAGGATCTATGTCTCAGCTGGATATCTCCTTTTCAGACAGGCCTTCCCTAACCACCCTGAATCTAAGATAGCAGCACTCCCTCCTCCTATCTAATGCCTTACCCTGTATGATTTTTCTTATGGCATTTATGACTGCAATTACCTTGCTTATTAATATGTTCACTTTTTTACTGGCTCCCTCCACTAGAATATATGCTTCATGAGAAAAGAAATATTATCTGTCTTACTACTGCTATATCTCAGCACCCAGAATGTGCCTAGCACATGGAAGGCATTGGATCTGTTTGTTGAATGAATGAAATATAGTAGGAACTGGAAGTAGAGAAACTAGTTAAGAAATTATTGGAATGATTTCAACATTAGGACATAAAGATCTGGACAGGAATAATGATAGCAATGGAAACAGAAGGAACAAATAAGAAAAATTGAAAACCAAATACATCATGTTCTCACTTATAAGTGGGAGCTAAATGGTGAGAACACATGGACACATAAGAGGGGAACAACACACACTAGGGCCTATCCGAGGGTGGAAGAAGGGAGAGGATCAGGAAAAAATAACTAATAGGTACTAGGCTTAATACCTGGATGATGAAATGATCTGTACAACCAACCCCCATAACACAAGTTTACCTATGTAACCTGCACATGTACCCCTGAACTTAAAAGTATTTTAAAAATTACAAAGAAGGATGATTTTTGACATATTAGAGGGCATAATAAGAAGCAGGCAATAAGAATGATACCAAGATTTCCAAACTGGGTGATTGATGGAGTGACAGTATTGTCATTGAAGGTATCTGCCTTCAATAACTTTTTATGACCAGATTTAGAAGAAACAGTGCCTGGCATACACTGATGGGCAGTAAATATCTGAATGAATGAAACAAAATGGGGGAAGTCAGAAGGTTACATGTAAGATACATTATATGTTTAAAGAAGCAATAGAACATCTAAGCAGATGGAGAAGAAGGCTAAAATTCTAGAAAGAATAAAGGGCCTTGGGATTTACAACATTCAACAGAAAAGCTGCAGCCCTAGAGATAGGCAAGCAGCAGGATTATGGTTTTAAGAAAGTAAAGACACAAAGACACGCCTATAGTCCCAGCTACCCAGGAGGCTGAGGCAGGAGAATCGCTTGAACCTTGGAGGCGGAGGTTACAGTGAGCCAAGATCGCGCTACTGCACTCCAGCCTGGGCAACAGATTGAGACTCTATCTCCAAAAAACAAACAAACGAACAAACAAAAAAGGTAAGTAAAGACATTTAGTTCCAGGAAGGGAAGAGATAGCTACGAATATTACATGCTTCAGAAAACTGAAGAAAATGGGGACTAGGGAAGATCTTTGGATTTAGAGATTTAGAGGACATGATCTGGGAAAGAACAATTTAAATACAGTAATGAAGTGAAAGTCATATTACAAAAGGTGTGAAGAATGAGTGGACAGTGAGATAAATTTCACCCACAGAGGTAATGAGAAGAGAGACACTGTGGTGATCTGAGGTGGAGTCATTTAAGGGAAGCTTAGCTTGCCTTGTTTTGTTTTTTTATGAATACAGAAGCATAGTTTAGAGAGAGAGCAGAAAGATCCATAGCCTAAGACAATTGTCAATTTTTAATATGCACAAGAATAACATGGGAATTTTGTTTAAAATGCAGATTGCTAGCACCACTTACAGAGAATCCGATTCAGCAGGTCTGCAGAGCAGGACATTTTTAAACAAATAACCCTCATCACCACCAACCCCCAACCTGCACCCAGGTTACAACTGTAGTTAAGTATTTAGACCGTACTTTGACTAACACTAGTTCAGGGAGTAATTGAAGTAAAAATAAATGGATGAGAAGGGAATTTGATTTTTAAAAACCAAAGTAAAGGGTTAAGCTTCAGGAAAGAGAAGAAGTTCATCTTCTTTATTTTTTAATTTTAACTTTAATTTTTTTTTTTTATTTTGGAGACACGGCCTCACTTTGTTGCCCAGGCTGGGCAGTTGCTCAGTCATGGCTCACTGCAGCCTTGAACTGGGCTCAAGCATTCCTCCCACCTCATATTCCTTAGTAGCTGGGACTACAGGCACATACCACCATGCCTGCCTACTTTTTTTCTATTTTTATTTTTGTAGAGACAAGGTCTCACTATGTTTGTTGCCCAGCTTGGTCTTGAACTCCTGGCCTCGAGCGATCCTCCCATCTTGACTTCGCTAAGTGCTAGGATAACAGGTGTGAGCCACTATGCCTATTCATCTTCTTTAAAACAAACGGAAAAAGAAGATGGTATAAGAGAAATTTTGAGATGTTCGGAACTGAGTTTCCAGGAGATTTTTCAGGTGGAGGAGGGCAAATAAGGTTTGCTTCATTTGTATGACCTTGATTTTTTTCCTTTGAGTGGGAAGAAAGGTTATCTACTTTGGGCAGATATGAGAGAACTAAGAGTGTGAAGAGGTTTGGAACAGCTGCTCTGGGGGCTGCAACAGTCAACAAAGGATGAACATAAGCATCGCTGAGCAGCATTAAGATTCTGCTAAGTAGGTGGCATATGAGTTTTTGGTGGACCCAGTCGGCAGTTATTTGACACCTTTTCTAGGCAAGGAATAGTCCTAAAAACATGTATCTTCTAATAATTCATCCTGGCTCCATCACCTGGAGTTTACTTAAACCTTTTTGGATGCTTTCAGCCTACGCCACTTCCTACAATAATGAACTTTATATATTTACTGTATAAAGTATCTAAAAGTTACCTTTCAACTCAAAAGATACTTCCTTTGATTTTCTAGAACATATTTACATTTGTTCTCTCCATACTGTTTAAATTTTTCTGGATTTGATCACAAGACATGTAATGCTTGCCATCATTTCACCAACTGTTATTTCTAAGACCAGCCCTGTTGGAGGTATATATTTTCACACGGGCACCAGAAGTTACCACCCAGTGCTCTATTACCATAGCTGTCACCAAGCGAATTCAGTACTCTGGGTTAGGGCAAAGGAAACCAACCTGCTGAGTTTTCTCCAGGCTCGCAAAAACGGGAGTCCGTTCAGATGAAGAGGGGGCGAAGCACCTGGGCACTGTGTTGTTATTCTACTCTTAATATATGCAACAACTCTGAGATAGATAACGGAATCTCCCCATTTACAATGGAGAAACTGAGACTCACATGCCTGAAGTGCTTCAGGTCATAGAGGAAAGAAGCTGGAGAGCTGAAAGTCACACCCACCTCTGTCTTATTCCATACCCCATACTCCTTTTTATATCATGCTGCATTTGGTGGGATACTGTCCAGCCACTTTTATTTTTATGCATAAATTAACAGTGGGACTATTGACTAATTAACAGTTTATAATTGGGAGCAACTTCTTACCCTGTAAAGATCAACAATTAAAGACATGCAGCATTGGGAATTTAACATATGGAAAATTTTTCATCTGTTTCTGTGATCTTTTAACTGTCTTAGGCCATTAGGTTGCTAGCATGACACATAGAAACTGTATATTCTTCATGAGGACAGATAAGCATTATGAATAGCAAGAATTTTAAAGTTTTCTGCTTTTTTTCATTAAATTCTGATGGTACCCAGCATTTTAGTCTTTTAGTCACAGCAGTACATTTCCATTTCTGACATAACTATCATTTGACACATATAGGGATTATTTTTCCTTAAATATGTATCTTTACATTGCTCACATGGATGCTTATCATCTGACTATTCACACACTCTTGCCTCATCTTCCTATATTTTATCAGTGAATATTTATTGAGCACCTCTTTTATTCTAGCCATTTTGCTAGGTATCCCAAGGAAAGCCTACTGTGTTCTGAAAAATTGGAATTCATTAATTAAATTAAACAGGACTAACATACTATACTTTTCCATCCAGAGAAATGCAAAATTATACCTTGATTCAAGACAAAATAGTTTGTCCCTCCCAGCCATAGAGAAAGCTGAGTTGTTTGTTACTTTTAGATCTTAGGTACAGAATCTGATAAAGTCTAGGTGGTTCTGTATACCAGCAGTTGAATTTATAATCGTAGAGACTTGCCTTAAATATATGATCAGTTTAGGTAAGTTCGAGAAATTCTGAAGTGTCAATTATGTTGTATTAGTCCGTTTTCATGCTGCTGATAAAGACATACCCAAGACTGGGTAATTTATAAAGAAAAAGAGGTTTAATGGACTCACAGTTCCACGTGACTGGGGAGGCCTCACAATCATGGCAGAAGGTGAAAGGCCTGTCTTACATGGCTGCAGGCAAGAGAGAATGAGAGAGCCAAGTGTAAGGGGAAACTCCTTATAAAACCATCAGATCTCATGAGACTTATTCACTACCATGAGAACAGTATGGGAGGGAACCCCCCGCCCCCATGATTCAATTATCTCCCACCAGGTCCCTCCCACAACCCGTGGGAATTATAGGAGTTTCAATCAAGATGAGATTTGGGTGGGGATAGAGCCAAACCACACCATATATAAAAATAGTATAGATAATAGTTATATGGAGTACTACCCACTGAAGGGATACATGTTTACCTGTTCCCCCAAGTTAGGTAGCCAGAAGTGTTGTGTTTGCATTGTTGGCACAACCTGTCAACATTAATAATAACTAATTTATTAAGTACTTCTGTGTGCCAGGGATTGTTCCTAAGCTTCCTACAAGAATAAATTTATTTAATCTTCCTAAGAATCCTGTGAAGTGGGTACAGTTGAGCATCCCAAATCCCAAATGCTCCAGAATCCAAAACTTTTTGAGCACTGACATGATGCTCAAAGGAAATGCTCACTGAAGCATTTTGGATTTTTGGATTGGGGATGCTCAACCGTAAGTATAATTAATGCAGATATTCTAAAATCTGAAAAATCCTGATATCTGAAACACTTCTGGTCCCAATCATTTTGGATAAGGGATACTCAACCTGTACTACTTACTCTCTCCATTTCACAGATGAAGAAAGTGAGGTAGGGAAAAAGATAAGTAACTTGCCCAAGGTTACAGAGCTGGTAAGTGGCAGATCCCCAGGCAGCCTTGCTGTATAGCTTACTGTCTCCTAACCATTATTCTATGCTACCTTTCATGGGCCCTCATGTTAAGAGTAACTCTTCAGTTTAGCAAATTATTCTGCATTATATGATGAGCTTACATATAATAGCAATAATAGACCAGAAGCGGTGGCTCACACATGTAATCCCAACACTTTGGGAGACCAGGGTGGGCAGATTGCTTGAGTTCATGTGTTCAAGACCAGCCTGGACAACTTAGCAAAACTCCATCTCTACAAAAAATACAAAAAAAAAAAAAAATTAGCCAGGTATGGTGGTACATGCCTGTAGTCCCGGCTACTCGTGAGGCTGAGGTGGGAGGATTGCTTGAGCCCAGGAGTTGGAGGTTGCAGTGAGCCAAGATCGTGACACTGCACTCCAGCCTGGGCAATAGAACCAGACATTGTCTCAAAAAAAAAAAAAAGGCAATAATGTAACTAGGTGAAAGGAGAGATTCAGTTCTTCTCTGTGGTTTCTTATACACAATCAAGATTCTAATATGTTCATAGTTAATTCATAGTGTAAAGTTTGGGTATTTTAGAAAAATGTGATGTTTTCTGATGTGACTTTACAGGAGTGGGAAAGGCATAGAAAGGCAGCGCTGGGGCTAGAGCACCATAGTCTTTATAAATAAAATGTATTGTGTTATCAGTATTGGCTCTGGGCCTTGATGGGTAGTAAAATATTTAGGAACTGAGAAAAATGATTAGGTATTAGATCCTGAAAATAAAAATTTGCTTTTTGCATTTCTTAAAAAGATTTCCTACGCTAAAAGGGTGGCAGTAAGTTTAAAAAGGTTTTAGTTACTGTTTTAAAAAAATAATTGCATAGCATATTTCATTTACTCAATAGCCACATGTGGATTTTTGGATTTGGGATGCTCAACTGTAAGTATAATTAATGCATATATTCTATGGATCATTTATGGATCCATAAAATATTCTAAAATACTTATGGATAATTTCTGGGGAAAAATTGCAAGTCTTTTTGAATGAATTTAGGTGTCAGTAGTAACTCATTTTGATTTCTTTAATTCTCTTTGGGGGCCTTGTCAAGAAAAATTTGAGTTAAGAGATATATATTTTTTTCTTTCTTCACTAGAACTCTTTTTTTTTTTTATACTTTAAGTTTTAGGGTGCATGTGCACAACGTGCAGGTTAGTTACATATGTATACATGTGCCATGGTGGTGTGCCGCACCCAGTAACTCGTCATTTAACATTAGGTATATCTCCAAATGCTATCTCTCCCCCCTCCCCCCACCCCACAACAGGCCCGGGTGTGTGCTGTTCCCCTTCCTGTGTCCATGTGTTCTCATTGTTCAATTCCTGGCCATATCATCACCATGAAAAGCAGGCAGCTGAGGAATGTGGGATTTGAGTGCACAGGAAAGCTAAAGGGACACTTCAACCCCTATTAATGGCTTTATTGCTCTATTTAAAGACTAGAGCTATTGCTCTGGCCAACATGGTTCTTTTTTGTTTTTTAAACTTTAGTAATACAGTCGATTCTCATGTGGTAGTTATGTTCTGTAAAGTCACTGCAAACATTGAATTAGTGAATACTGGATCATTGCCCCTGGGGGAAATAGGGTTAGGTTCCTGCAGGTCTCTGGTCACATTTCATCAACTGATCAATACATAACCTCATTGTATGTCTCTGTTTTAGGACATATTATTTAATATGTATTGATTCAATTACATTAATATTATATATTAATAATCCTGTACAAGAATATATGTCAACAGTATTGTGCCAGAAGCACTGTAACTCATGCCTGAACGAAGTTTCCCTAACACACATATTTTCTCTGAAAGGGAAAATCCTTCTTGCACTTAGGAACACTAGACGGCACTTGAGCACTATAATTGGGACCATTTTAAACAGTGAAATCATCAGTAAAAGGCACAAAAATGTGAAAGACGTGGCGCTGAAGAGACCACAGAAAAGACATGCACTTACTATAGGAGAACTGAGACAACAGAGCATTGCCATGCTAAGCTGCATATGGGAACATGGCTGTCATGTGACTCAAATTTTTTTGCCACTCTACACGTGGATTACGTCCTCAGATGACCACAAAAGTGCCACAACTATTGATTTGGAGCTTGCAGATAAATTTTAGTGAGTAGGCATATTTGCAAGTATGGAATCCCTGAATAATGAGGATCGACTATATATATTAATGCATTCTACATTTTAAAATGAAAAGTTAAAATATAGGACTCGCTCATCCCTACCTTTTTCACCCCCTCCTGGCATCTTTCCTTTCTGGAACTACTATCAGTTTTCTACATATTTATAAATATGTGGACTTACAGAAATATATATAATTTTTTAATAAATGGATCTCATGATATATACTATTGTGTGGTTTGCTTTTTTCTCATGTGTTAGAGATCTTTCCACGTCAATATACACAGAATTATTTCCTTTTAGTATTCTATACTGTTTATGCACCATAATTTTTTTTTTTTTTTTTTTTTTTTTAGACGGAGTCTTGCTCTGTCGCCAAGGCTGGAGTGCAGTGGCACAATCTCGGCTCACTGCAAGCTCCGCCTCCCAGGTTCATGCCATTCTCCTGTCTCAGCCTCCGGAGTAGCTGGGACTACAGGCGCCCGTCACCACGCCCGGCTAATTTTTTGTATTTTTAGTAGAGACGGGGTTTCACCATGTTAGCCAGGATGGTCTTGATCTCCTGACCTTGTGATCCGCCCGCCTCGGCCTCCCAAAGTGCTGGGATTACAGGCTTGAGCCACCGCGCCTGGCCTATGCACCATAATTTAACCATTCCTGTATTGATAGATATTTAGTAATAGTGCTATTATAAGTAATAGTGCGGTGAACATCTTTGTACCTGTTTCTTTTTCCCTATATGCAGGTTTTTCTGTGGGTTGCATATGTAAAAATGAAATTGCTAAGCTGAAAGGTGTATGCACTTGAAGTTTCCTTAGAAAGGCAGTTGTGTCAGGTCCTCTGGGAAGCTGACACTGAGACAGAGTTAGGACTGCAAATAGTTCACTGAGTACCTGTGAAAGATAGGCAGTCAGAAGCTGAAGGAAGGGAAAGAGCTCAGACTGATTTACATCTAACAGTTACAGCCTATTCAGTGGGGCACTCTGGAGTGAAGATTGCCTATTAGAAGGATAGTACTACCAGTTGGTTAGAAATAGCCAGGCCCTGGTACTCCCATGTATTCAGTTATTGACCTGTGACTGCCAGGGAAGAAAGTGGCCTGATCTTGAAAGACGAGGGAGTTAAGTCCTAAAGGCACATCAGAACTGAACTGCAAGGTATCTTCAAGGGAGATCTTGAGCAGTGTACTTCCATGGTTGCTACTGCAGTGTAGGACTGTGTAGCATAGCAAATAACACAGATTATAGAGCCAAATTCCCAAATCCAACATCTCTGTGTAAGAAAGATGTTACTCTACATCTGTGTGCCTCAGGTTCTTTATCCGTACATCTGTAAAATGGAGAAATAACAGTACCTCCCTCATAGGGTTGTGAACGATTAAATGAGCTGCTGTATACAAAGGACTTAGGATACTGGGATATGTTAACACTGTATAAGAGTTAACTGATGCTGCTGCTGCAACATCAACATCAACCCAAAAGGTGCACCAGTTTTTCTTCCAACCCTCTCAACAATGTGTAAAAGTATATTCATTTCTCCGTATCTTTTCCAGTGCTGGATAGTATAAATCTTTTTAGCTTTTGAAAATTTGATGGCCCCAAAAATGGTATTTTGTCTTAATTTGCATTTCTTTATTAAGTTGAACATCTTTTCATGTTACTGGCCACATATTTAATCTTTTGAGGTTTTAAATTTTTTCTTATTAATGTTTGGTACCTAGTCATGTATTCCAGATATTGTTATATAGTTGTGAATATTTTCTCCCAGTCTCACGTTGTTTTTCAAATTTATTTTTCATTATTATTTATGGTTTCTTTTGACAAAGATGTTTAAAATTTTGTGGATCAGTTTTTTTCTTTATGGGTTCAGGGTTTTCTTTCTTACATTGAAAAGACTTTCCTACTCCACGTTTATAGTTCTCTTTTTTATGTTTAGCTTTGTAAAGCCTCTTGAATTTATTTTTGTTCATAATTTGAAATAAGTATCTAGCTTTATGTTTTCCTCACTATAACCGGTTGCCCCCGTGTTCTTCATTAACTAGCCCTTTTTCTCCCCTGATATTTCTTGATGCTATCTCTGCTGTATTCTAAATTCCTATATATATACTGGGTGGGAGGATATTAACATTTTTAAAGGTTTTAATATGTGTTGCCAAATTGCGCTGAGGAAATACATATAGAAATTTATGTTTTTACTGGAGAGTATTTTGTTGAGCTCCCCAACCTGTGTTTCTTGCTGTTGTTTTTAGTTTTTGCCACGTTAATAGTCAAAATATAGAAGTTTTCTTGGTTTGCTTTAAAAAAACAAACAAACCAGGTTCTCATTCTGTAGCCCAGGCTGAAGTGCTGTGGCATGATCATGGCTCACTATAACCTTAATCTCCTGGGCTCAAGTGACCTTCTTGCCTCAGCCTTCTGAGTAACCTCCGTCTTACATGGTGGTATGCGCCACCATGCCTAGCTAATTAAAAATCCTTTTATAGAAATAGGGTCTTGCTATGTTGCCCAGGCTGGTGGTTTTCATTTCTTTGGTTACTGGAAAGACTGAATTTTTAAAAATGTATATACTTTTGATGTTCTGTATGCCATCTTATATGAATTGCTTATTCATATTTTTCTCCATTTTTCAATTTTGATTTTAGGTTTCTTGTTGATTTGAAAGGTATCACATATAAAGACTATTACCCCTTCATGTGTATTGCACAGAGGTTATTGTTTACCTTTAAATTTATGGTATTTTTCTTTATAGTCTGACTTTGTATGTATACCTAGAAAAGTTTTCCCTATTCCTAAGACCACAAAGTCAACTAGAATATTTTCCTTTTTATGATTTTAATTTTTATATTAATTTGCCATCTTATTTTGCTGCATGGTAATAAGTGGGAATCTTAATTCTTTTATAAATGTTAAGCCAGTTACCTAAAACAGTTTACTGAATAATCCATTCTTTCCTCTGATTTGTAATGCCATCTTATATATCCTAGCTCTCTTGGGGTGTTTGATTCCGTATTGTTGATTGATGTATCTATTCCTGCACCATTACTACACACTCTTCATTATCGTGGCTGTTGTATCCATGCCATGGTTGGAGAGCTCACCTTGGAAAGTAAGCACTCTGTGGAAGTATCATTTCAAAACTGACTTTAATTTTGGAAATTAAAAGGAAAACCCTTCTTAAGCTAGAGTAAGTGGAGTGAATTGACTTGGATCCTGCCTGGGTTCCTCTGTCAACATTCTGTTTTGTGGTCTTTAAATAACATACTTGATTAATTCCATTGGACATGAGGTAATGGCTGCTCTTAAGCTATTCTAAAGCTAGAGACAGAACTGTACAAAAGAATTGTCAGCACCAAGTACTTTAATTTAAAATATTAAACTAAAAAAAATAGTTCCAATGTTTTAGAGATACCTTTCAGGTTAAATACAATTGGTTAGGTCTGATCATTTCTATGAATAGAAGGAAGTATTGAAGGTAAACCTGTTTCTAGAGCAGAGATTCTCAACTAGGGACAGTTTTGGCCACTCCATCTCCCAGGGACATTTGACAATGTCTCAAGACATGTTGATTATCACAGCTGTTAGAGGGAGAGAGTGCTACTGACTTCTAGTGAGTAAAGGCCAGGGATACTGCTACACATCCTACAGTGCCCAAGACAACCCCAGCAACAAGTAATTATTTGGTCCAAAATGTTAGTAGTGGGCCAGGTGTGGTGGCTTATGTCTTTAATCCCAGCTACTTGGGAGGCTGAGGCAGGAGGATCACTTGAGGCCAGGGGTTTGAAATCATCATAGGGGGACCCCATCTCCTTAAAAAAATTTTTTTAAGTAGATGGATGTGGTGGTACATGCCTGTGTCAGGATTGTCTAAGTCTTAGCTACTTGGGAGGATGAGGTAGGAGGATCACTTGAGCCCAGAAGTTTGAGACTACAGTGAGCTATGATCCAGCCTGGGTGACAAAGTGAGACTCTGTCTCTTAAGAAAAAAAAAAAAAAAAAAGTGAATGCTGCTGAGGTTGAGAAACCTACTGTAGAGAAAACTCAAACTGAGAGTTCATTTTTTAGTGCAGTCCAGTCTGACAACTGCTGTGTTTAATATATGCACAAGTAATTTACTATTGAAGTAAGAGAAGACCTTTCCAAAAGTATGGTACAAAACCTAGAAGCTATAAAAGACATGATTATTAAATTTGACTCTATGGCTGGGCGCGATGGCTCATACCTGCAATCCCGGCACTTTGGGAGGCCAAGACAGGTGAGTCACTTGAGGTCAGGAATTCAAGACCAGCCTGGCAACATGTTGAAACCCCATCTCTAATTAAAAATACAAAAATTAGCCGAGCATGGTGGTGCACACTTGTAATCCCAGCTATTCAGGAGGCCAAGGCAGGAGGATCACTTGAACCTGGGAGGTAGAAGTTGCAGTGAGCCAAGATGGTGCCTGCACTCCAGCCTGGGCGACAGAGCAAGACTCCATCTCCAAAAAAAAAAGGACTCTACAGAAAAATAAAATTTCTACATACAAAAAAAATCTACCATAAACAAAAGAAAAATAACAAACTAGGCTAAAATATCAATAGGTCAAACCACAGACAAATGGCTAATTTCCTTAATATTTAAAGAGTTCTTGTACTTCATTAAGGGAAGTACCAACAACAGCTCCATGCCCCTTCCCCCATACCTCACCCTACACATCTCTTCATCTATATCCTTTGTAGTATCCTTTATATTAATAATAAATCAATAAGCATAAGTGATTCACTGAGTTGTGTGACTTGTTCCAGCAAGTTAATTAAACCCAAAAAGGGGATTGTGGGAACCCCAACTTGAAGCCAGTCAGAAGTTTTGGAGGCCCCGGCTTGTGACTGACTGGTGTCTGGGATGGGGTGGGTGGCAGTCTTGGGGACTGAGCCATCAACCCATGGGATCTGATACTATCTCCAGGTAGACAGTGTCAGAATTGAATTGGAGGACACCTGGCTGGTGTCCACTGCTTGGTGTGTGGGGGAGAAACCCCACGCATTTGGTCACAAAAGCCTTCTGTGTTGCTGTGGTGTGACAGAAAAAAACATGGTTTGAGAGTTTTTTTCCTATATATATGTGGAATAATTTGGCAATATCTGTGAACATTTTAAATGCATATACTCTTTAACCCAGAAATTTTATTTCTAGGAATTTATTCTACGGATATAGTTTCATGTGTGAAATGAATTTCGTAACGATAAATTAGGCTGTCCATTGTTATTGTTTGAAATAACAAAAGACTGGAAATAATCCATTAAAGGGAAATATTGGAGAGTTGCCTCAATAGACAACTGTACAAATACAGTATATCTATATGCTAGAATACTATGAAGCCCTTTAGACAGGATGAGGCAGCCCTGTATATGCTAATATGTAAGATTCTCTATTATATGTTATTAAGTAAAATTGCCAGGCACAGACAGTATCAGGTATTGGCAAGAATATGTAGAGCAAGTGGGACCCTTATACACTGCTGGGAGAAAAGTGAATTCGGACATAACCCCTTTGGAAAACAATTTGGTATTATCTAATAAAATTTAAAGATGTGTATGAACCTTATAACCTACCAGTTTTACTTATTAACAGATTCTAGAGGAATTCTTGCTCATTTCCCCAGGTGACAGAAATGTTCATAGTGCCATTTATAAGAAAACAAAACAGCAACAAACTTCTAGAAATCTGTGTCCAGAGTAGAATAAATAAATGTTGAGAACACTATACAGCCATGAAAAATAAATAAATTATAACAATCTGAATCTTAAACAGTCATGTTGAGCAAGAGAAACAAACTGTGGAAACATACATGTAATAAGATTGGATTCCATTTATATGAAGTTTAATATAATTCATTAAACTGTATGAAACATTAAACATGTTGTTTAGGGGGAAAAAAAATTGTAAAACTACAAGCAAGGAATTAATAAGCACAAAATCAAGGAGAGTGGTTACCTCAGGAGAGAAAACGAGATTAGAGAGGGCACATGGGGGATTCAAAAAGTAATAGTAATATTCTCTCATCTTCTTTTTTTTTTTTTTTTTTTTTGAGACGGAGTCTCACTCTGTTGCCCAGGCTGGAGTACAGTGGCTTGATCTCTGCTCACTGTAACCTCCACCTCCCAGGTTCAAGCGATTCTCTTGCCTCAGACTCCCAAGTAGCTGGTACCACAGGCACCCGCCACCACGCCCAGCTAATTTTTTTTTTTTTGTATTTTTAGTAGCGATGGGGTTTTGTCATGTTGGTCTGGCATGTCTCCAACTCCTGGCCTCAAGTGATCCACCCACCTCCACCTCCCAACGTGCTGGGATTACAGGCATGAGCCACCGCACACCCAGCCTATTCTTCCTTCTTAAACTGGCATGTGGATGCATGGGGGTTCATGATATGATAGTTTTGTTTAACCTTATGCAATTTTAGAAATATTTTATATTTACTAATTATTAAAAATAAGTTTTGGAAAGTAGGTATTGAACATTATATATGTTACTGTGACTGCATGGGTCATTTAAAAAATAATACACAGACACACACTCATGCTCTTGTATATGCGTACATTATCCCTCCTGTAAAGATACACAAGAAGTGGTGCTTGCAGCCAGGCACGGGGGCTCATGCCTGTAATACCAGCACTTTGGGATGCCAAGGCGGGCAAATCACTTGAGGTCAGGAGTTCGAGACCAGCCTGGCCAACATGGTGAAACCCTTTCTCTACTAAAAATACAAACATTAGCTGGGTATTGTGGCGGGCACCTGTAATCCCAGCTACTCAGGAGGCTGAGGCAGGAGAATCACTTGAACCCAGGAGGTGGAGGTTGCAGTGATCTGATATCATGCCACTGCACTCCAGCCTGGGCAACAGAGGGAGACTCCGTCTCAAAAAAAAAGAAGTGGTTATTGCTTCAAGGAAAAGAAACGGAGTAGTTGGAGGCCCATTGTTGAAAGGAAATGTACTTATCACTTTATGCTATACTCTTTTTGTCTTTGAATTTTTGTAGCAAATGTATATAGTACATATTCAAATTTTAGTTTTAAAAATGTGTGTATAGAGAGAAAGGAGAGTCATTTATCATTTGCGAGAGACAGCTGGGGAAATTCCAGTATCATTTCTAACCTTGATGACTTTGCAGGTTTTGCCAAACCATATAAGAAATAAAAAGAAGACACTTTTTTTTTTTTGTTTCATTTTGAGCCAAAGTGTCCCTCTGTTGCCCAGGCTAGAGTGCAGTGGTGGGATCTTAGCTCACTGCAGTCTCGATCCCCAGGGCTTAGGTCATCTTTGTGCCTTAGCCTCCCTAGTAACTGGGACTACAGGCACATGCCACCACACTTGGCTGATTTTTAAATTTTCTGCAAAGACAGGGTCTCACTCTGTTGCCCAGGCTAGTCTCGAACACCTGGGCTCAGGCGATCCTCCTTCCTTGGCCTCCCAAAGTGCTGGACATACAGGCATGAGCCACCACACCCAGCCAGGAAGACAAATTTTTGTTGAGAAGGTATTTCACCTCTCATGCCAATTTTTCCTTGAAAGTTAGATTCCATGGAATATAATTTATCAAATATCAGTGATACTCTACTCTTAGCCCTTATCCAAAGCCTTACCAACCTTACCTCTCTCTTTATATTGTTTACTAAGGAGTCTCTGGAATTTTGTTCATGTTTTTTAACATCTTTTTGAGGAAAAATAACTTTCTTAATTCTCTTCATAAGTTCTCTTCAATTCTTAGTAATCAGTACTTATATTAGAGCAATGCTGAACAATTTAAATGCACAAGTATCTCACCAAAACCTTTATTCAGGCCCTACCTGTGATAGGAAACAAAAGTCAGTGTCTGTACCCACTATCTTGACTATTTAGAAAGAGAATCTACTAATTGGACACCTTTCTTTTTCCTTAAGACTGTTCACAGATTTTTTTTTCACATTTTCATTTTAGAGTAATAATTTGGGTCTTATTACTAAATTAAAATTATTTAAACATGTCAAAGGCATTTATCTCCATAAAGTGTTTAATCCATTCTAGTTTGTAAAGATAGGGGTTTTTTTTTTTCTTTACATTTATTATGTCTGGTATAGATGATTAAAACTTTGTAAGCGTAACCTGTATTTAGCTGAGTCAGGAATTCTCTTAATAGTGTAAGTCTCTAGCCCACTGAAAAGTCTTGCCTTCTCTCCATTTGTTTTTGAGGGTCAACAAGTCTGGTCAGCTTCTGTGCAACATCATACATCAGTGTATTACCAACGGCCACTGCAAGGATTGATGCTGTTTCCACTGGGTAGCATGGCATCCGCCTGGTCACCTTAGTCAACACACTCCTTCTGCTTCTGTGTGTGTGAAGGAGTCAACACACTCCTTCTGTGTGTGTTAGTCAACACACACCTTAGTCAACACACTGCTTCTGGGTACTGCTACATCCACACCACTGTTTCCTCTAGGTTAAGTGTTGATATACTGTTATCTCCCAATGACAGGACGCTGAAATGAACTACATTATGCTCTACTGAAATAGTTTCATTTTATGTTACACCCTGACATTTACAGTACCACAACAGGATTGCCACTTCCTCCAGTATCTTGCAAACTTTTAAAGGAACTAGCTATTTTTCCTACTACCCTTGCATCCTCCTTGTGCTTAGATACAAATCCACCGGAGGCAAATACAAGTGACACCATGCAGTACTCAGAATCACTCCTTCTTTATGATGGATGGTAAAGACTTCATTACTAGCTTAACTTTGCTTCCTAGACTTTTTCTCTCATGAAAGTAAATTCTTTCCAGAACAATCATCAGTCTTTAATGCAAATAAGTTGCTTGAAAAAGATTTATCCTTGCAGCTCAAGTCCCAAAAATTCTATCCCATATCAGGTTTTGTAATGGAAAGTGGATCAGTAGGTGTTGCTCACATAGCAAGCTGATACTTGTAGTCATATCAACCTTTAGCCATCACTTTAGGGTGGAAAAGAAATGACTTTTCATTATGCCTCTCTTATATGCCTGTGTTTTTCACTAACTTTAGAGGAAGAGTAGTTAGGCAGCCTTACTGACTTGAATAGTACAAAGCATGCCAAAACTGTGAAGCTGTTTGGTGATATGTCCTCCACACTGTGGTCCCAAAAGACCAGTAAACCTAAAGGGACTAATATGGGCCGGCAGGGGGCGAGGCAGGGTAGAACCTTGGGGTATATTCCTGCTTTCAGAGAGGTGGCAAAAGTAAGCCTGGATACCCTGTGCTAGACTTTGTAGCTTTGCCCGGAAGCCCTCTCTATTTGGGGACTAGGCTTATTTAGTTCTCTTTCTAAAACGTTTTGACAAATATAACTTATATTCTAGGACATCTGCCACTGACGCCTGAGTTCAGACATTAATTGTCAATTCTGTAGTCTTTTTTTCCTTCAAGTTTCTCTTGTCGCTTCCTTTTCTCCCTCCTTTCTTTCTTTCTTTTTTTTTTTTTTTTTTTTTTTTGAGACAGTTTCGCTCTTGTCGCCCAGGCTGGAGTGCAATGGCGCGATCTCAGCTCAACGCAACCTCCGCCTCCCAGGTCAAGCAATTCTCCTGCCTCAGGCTCCTGAGTAGCTGGGATTACAGGCATGCACTACCACACCCGGTTAATTTTATATATATATATATTTTTTTTTGGTAGAGACGGGGTTTCTCCATGTTGGTCAGGCTGGTCTCAAGCTCCCGACCTTAGGTGATCCGCCTGCCTCGGCCTCCCAAAGTGCTGGGATTACAGGCATGAGCCACTGTGCCCGGCCTTCTCCCTCCTTTCAAATTAGACAAACAAAAATATTTTAGTGTCTCTCTGATTTCTCTATGTTTACATTTCACTGTCCCAGGAACCAGCCTAGTCCGTTAGGAACCAACATACTCCCCAAGACACATCTCAAATGACAGTTTGCTGGCCATGTTAAAAATGCATTTCTGATTCTATTTAGGGATACCTTTAGTCCATGAAATAAATGAGAACATTATCAGGATTCATAATTATTATCTGGATATGTCCCTAAAATATAGCATGTTTTGCTGACTTACTGAAATACATATTTGTTTCTAGTTTTTTCTATTTCCCTTCCTCTCAAATAGTTAATTAAATAGTATCAGTGACCTAGGAAAGTCACTGTTCAAACAATTCCTTCCTTAAAATGAAGAATTATCGACTATTCTCTAACTTAGTATTTTAGAGAGAGAGAGAGAGTATAATGTGAAAAAATGTGGTGTCTTTATTCATTTTTTGTTGCTATAACAATACCTAAGACTGGGTACTTTATAAAGAGCAGAAATTATTTCTCACAGTTCTGGAGGCTGGGAAGTCCAAGATCAAAGTGCCAGCAGCTTAGGTGTCTGGTGAAGGACCAATCTCTGCTTTCAAGATGGGTCCTTGATGCTGCATCCTCCTGAGGGAGGAACACTGTTCTAACATGGCGGAAGAGAGTGAATTCATTCTCACAAGCTCTTTTTATGGCAGCATGAATCTGCTTATAAGAGTGGAGTCCTCATGACCTGAACACCTTCCATTAGGCTCCACCTCCCAACACAGTTGCATTGCCGATTGTTTCCAACACATGAATTTTGGGTTGCACATTGAATCACAGCATGTGAGTTCTCAAATAACAGACACAAAAGTTACATAGAAGAGATTGATAGTTCATTCACTTAATATTTATTGCAGACATTATATGTCAGGAACTCTGCTAGGCATTAGATATATATTGGAAAATAAGATAGATACTGGCCATATAGAGAACTTATCTAGCAGTTAACAGACAACAAAAAAATAAAAATAAATATAATTGTCATAGTGCTATAAAGGGAGAAATGTAGTTTTAACAGGAACCTATTAACAGGAAGAATTTACGAGGGAAGTCCTCCCTAGGAAAATGACATGTAAACTGGAAATGAAAGGAAGTGCAGGAGTTAGCAAGAACATGAGCAGGGAATAGTTCTGCCAGCAAAAAGAATAATGTGCAAAAGGCCCTGAAGTGGAAAAGAGTTTGGTGCTTTTAGGAGCTGAAGAAAACCAATGAGGCTAACTTGTGTAGAGCCAAGTGGGGGGAGTGAGATTAGATCTGTCTGAAAAAAAAGGCATAGTTCAGGTAATACAGGACCTGGTAGGCCATTGTAGAGATTTTGTTCTTTATCCTAACAGTGATGGAAGCCATTAAAATGTTTAAGGTAATGTGACAAAAATCAGATTGCATGTTAGAAACAGTTGTTCTAGGCCGGGTGTGGTGGCTCACACCCATAATCCCAGCACTTTGGGAGGCCAAGGCGGGTAGATCACAAGGTCAGGCGTTTAGGACCAGCCTAGCCAACATGGTGAAACCCCATCTCTACTAAAAATACAAAAATTAGCCGGGCGTGATGGCGTGCTCCTGTAATCCCAGCTACTTGGGGGGCTGAGGCAGGAGAATCACTTGAATCCAGGAGGCGGAGGTTGCAGTGAGCCGAGATCGCGCCACTGCTCTCTAGCCTGGGTGACAGAGCGAGACTCCGTCTCAAAAAAAAAAAAAAAAAAGAAAGAAACAATTGCTTTGCAGTATGAAGAAGAAAGGATTGGAAGGGATAAGAAATGAGTGCTGAGAATTTACTTTGACTTGGGTTGGGATGTTGGACATGTAGACAGAGAGGACAGGATAGACTTTTGTTTAGGAGGTAAATTCCACTTGACTTAGTGATTTCAGAGTGGGAACCTATGGGGGAAAGAAGGGGAAGGAGTTAAGAATAACTGACCTGTGCAACTGGATGAATAGTGGTGCCATTGAGAAGGACACTGGGAGGTTTAAATGGAGGATAAGTTCGTTTTCGTATTTGTTGAGCTTGAGATGCCTATGAGGCATCCAAGTGGAAATATTAAGTAAGCAATAAGCAGGAATCTGGAGCTTAAGAGAGATGTCTTAGCTAGAGATCAATTTGTGAGTCATTGTCTTTTAGGTGATAATTGAATCAGTGAACCCAGCTGAGATTGCCTAGGAAGAATATGGAGTGAGAAGAAAAGGGCAGCTTGGGAACAAACTTGACAACTCTTTGGTGACGTTCTGTATAATTTTTATTCTGAACAGACTTTGGTTTTATAAGAATTGTACTTTGAAATAACCTTGGTTGTTTTAACTGAGACTTTCTGTTGTGATGTAGTAACCCTCTCTCTCTCGCCAGATATATTGTCATCTTTTTATTTTTTGTATATAATCTATTATTTATTCAAACAGTGAATAGACTTGGCCATTCATTGATCATCCAGAGGTAATATAAGTGATGTTTTCTAAGCATCTGGGTTAAACAGTTTTGTCTAGATACAGTAGTAAGAACCATTCTTACTATATTCTTGTCCTATAAATGGTTGAGGTGACAGAATGTTTAGCTGTCTGTTCAGATGTAATAAGGAAGGTTGAATTCTCCTTGGCAGCCTTTTTTCATGAGTTGTTGGGCATCTCTCAGAGACAGCTCTAGAGATAATAAACGTTTATTATTCTGGTGTCCTGACTGATGTCATCTCTTATTGCCTAAGCCTCAGTCTGGGATTAAGATGGTGGGTGTATTAGTCCATTCTCACACTGCTATAAAGAAATACCTGAGACTGGGTAATTTATAAAGAAAAGAGGTTTAATGATTCACAGTTCAGCATGGCTGGGAAGGTCTCAGGAAACTTATAATCATGGCAGAAGGTGAAGGGGAAGCAAGGCACCTTCTTCACAAGGTGGCAGGAAGGAGAATGAACGCAGGAGGAACTACCAAACACTTATAAAACCATCAGATCTTGTGAGAACTCACTATCACGAGAACAGCATGGGGGAAATCACCCCCATGATTCAGTTTCCTCTACCTGGTCTCTCTTTCAACATGTGGGGATTATGGGGATTATAATTCAAGATGAGATTTTGGGAGGGGACACAGCCAAACCATATCAATGGGGTTTTCCCCCTTTGCCACTAAGTAGCCACAGAAGGCAGGATAAGAAATTGACAAATTGGCCAGGTATGGTGGCTCATGCCTGTAACCCCAACACTTTGGGAGGCTGAGGCAGGTGGATCACTTGAGCTCAGGAGTTCGAGACCAGGCTGGGCAATATGGTGAAAATGTGTCTCTACCAAAAATACAAAAATCAGCAACGCGTGGTGGCACATGTCTGTGGTCCCAGCTACTCAGGAGGCTGAGACAGTAGGATCGCTTGATCCCAGGAGGCTGGGGTTGCAGTGAGCCGAGATTGCGCCACTGCACTCCAGCCTGGGTGACAGAGTGAGACTCTGTCTCAAAAAAAAATTGAAAAATTGGACTCAAAATATAAAACATTTGTCCTTCAAGAGCCATTGCTAAGAAAATTTAAAAGCAAGGCTATGGGGGAAATATTGGTAAAACACATGTCAGAAGATGGACTTGTATTCAGAATATTTGGAATATATAAAGAACTCTTTAATCATTGGACAACTTGACTTTTTTAATTGATAAAGATTTTAACAGGCCAGAGATGGCAAGTAAATACATGAACATATGTTCTATATCATTAAACATTAGGGAAATAAAACCACAGTAAGAGACCTCTACATGCCTACCTCTACATTTTTAGAATGGCTAAAACTAGAAAGATTGAAAATACAAAGTGTTGATGAGTATGGTGAACAACTAGATTTTTAGATATTGCTGCTGGGAATGTAAAATAGTACAGCTGGCCGGGCACGGTGGCTCACACCTGTAATCCCAGCACTTTGGGAGGCCGAAGCAGTCCAGTCAGTTGAACTCAGGAGTTCAAGACTAGTCTGGCCAACATGGTGATACTCCATCTCTACTAAAAATACAAAAGTTAGCTGGGCTTTATGGCGCATGCCTGTAATCCCAGCAACTCCAGAGGCTGAGGCAGGAAAATCACTTGAAACCAGCAGGCGGAGGTTGCAGTGAGCCGAGATCGCATCATTGCACTCTAGCCTGGGCAACAGGAGCAAAACTCTGTCTCAAAAAAAGAAAAAAAAAAAAGAAAAGTACAGCTACTTTAGCAAACAGTTGGGTAGTTTCTTATAAATTTAAACATACACTTACCATATGACTAAGCTTTTCACTCCTAGGTATTAACACAGGAAAAATGAAAACGGGTCTTTACAAAGACCTGTATGCAAATGTTTATAGTAGCCTTATTCATGATTGCATATGATTTCATTTATATAAAATTCTACAAGAGGCAAAACTACACTGTTAGAATGTAGATCTACCTTGGGAGCTTGGGGGAGGAGGCTAACTGCAAAGGAGTCTGGGAACTTTTTATGGTGATGCACACATTCTATATCATGGTTGAAATGGCTACATATATTTGTCAGAACTCATTGAATTGTACATTTTAAAATGTGAATTTTATTGTATCTAAACTCGACCTCAGTAAACCTAATGTCAGCATTTGTGAAGGGTTATCAGAAGCCTTTTAGGATATCACTTGTAAAATGGGACAGTAGACCAAAAGACAATGAAGCTTTTTGCTCAAAATTCCATGAGTAGTGGTGCCTGTGGATAGAATGCTTATGTTCAGATTCTTAATCCCACACGACTGCACAATTCCCTTGGCATTAACTCACACCCTCCTATGTATTGTGCTTTTTAACTTTCTGTGGATGTGTGTCTGGCTGTGTGTATGGAAGTTCTGGAAACACAGGGGTCATGTCTTCATGTGTCCTTCATACATCCTACAGTGTATTGCACAGATCTTGTGCTCAGTATTTGCGGAATGAATGAAAGCTTGGTATAGCACGCTTGTGCCCACTAGACTTGGACAGAAAAGTCAGGCATAGCTCATGGTGTGGTGCTAGGCTTCTCAAGATCATGAGAAACCTTCTCTAAAGTATGGTTTTTCTAGACCACCATCTCTTTGCTTAGGAGATCATGGCTACCACAAATGTAAGCTAATTAATGAGGGATTGATTTTATATATTTCTGCAAAAGCTTAGGTAGTGTTTTCAGAAGTTGAAAATTGGGGAGATATCACCTTACATTTTTAATCTTATGCTGAATTTAACTACAATGAGAAAACAAGCTCCTCTTAAAGATTAAATGGAAGAAGAGATGTCAGAACTAGAACTTTTGTCATTCTCCAAAGCTCTCCACTCTTAAATCTATCCACTTTATAATTGAGGCATCACACTGATGGCACAGAGAAACACTTGTCTCAGTGTTAAACTTGCTTTCCTCATATTTGTGAGGCTCTAAACTTTTACAGTTCTGACTCATTTAAAAACAAGTGGATCTACATAAATTGGACATGAATTCATGATTTTTCTTCTAAGTCTAAAAAAGCAAGAGACTCAGAGGTACTATGAGACAACAATAAATTTAAGAGAATACTAAAATAAAAAATATATAAAAAAGAGAAAGATAGAATCCCAAACTATGTTTCTCTTATTTCTTTTTTTTCTTTTCTTATATTTAATTTATTTATTTTAGAGAGAGGGTCTCTGTCACCCAGGATGGAGTACAGTAACATGTTCATAGCTCACTGCAGCCTCAAACTTCTGAGCTCAAGCAATCCTCCCACCTCAGCCTCTTGAGTAGCTTGAACCACAGGTGCACATCACGATGCCCGGCTGATTTTTTTAGTTTTTGTAGAGATAAAGTCCCAGTGTGTTGCCCAGGCTCAAACTCTTGGCCTTAAGTGATCCTCCTGCCTCTGTCTCCCAAAGGGCTGGGATTACAGATGTGAGCTGAGCCATAGCACCTGGCCTATTTCCTTTTTTAAAAGTATATCGACATAGCAACACATTATTGATAATATTTAACATCTATCAAGTTCTTACTCTGTGCCAGGCATTTGTTCTGAGTGCTCTGTATACATTCTCTCTCTTAATACACACAATACTGGGAGGTCATTCTGCATTTACTGAGGAAGCTGAGGTACACAGAGGTTAATTAACTTGCCCAAAATCTCACAGCCAGTAAGTGGTAGACCTGGATTTCGGTCTTTTTTCTTTTGAGATGAAGTCTTTCTCTGTCGCCCAGGCTGGGGTGCCATGACGCGATCTCGGCTCACTGCAACCTCTGCCTCCCAGGTTCAAGCGATTCTTCTGCCTCAGCCTTCTGAGTAGCTGGGATTACAGGCACATGCCACCATTCCCAGCTAATTTTTTTTATTTATAGTAGAGGTGGGGTTTCACCATGTTGGCCAGGCTGGTCTCGAACTCCTGACCTCAGGTGATCCACCCGCCTCAGCCTCCCAAAGTGCTGGGATTACAGGCGTGAGCCACCGCGCCTTTTTTGAGAGGCCAGATTTGAGTCTTAATCCAGAACCTGAACTCGAACTGCTGATATGCTATCTACCTGTGAAGACAACACATACATGACTAAATGGTTTAGAATTTGATTTAATGTCAGAGAATTACTGTACTCATGTAAATTGTTAAGGAAGTACAATTTAGTAGAGAAATGATTTAAAGTTGTTTAATACCGGAATATCAACTAGTTGAAAAAGAGCAGTTACTTTAACAGACCTGGAGATCATAAATGGATCCTTTGCTCTTGTGACTTTATAAATTCCTGAGAAGGTAGTAGTGCACATTTTCTGGTCGATGCAAATAGGTAAGACAAATGTGAGTGTTCATTTTGATGTCTGAGAGTAGACTATAAATAGCCAAGTTTCCTTGGAGATAGGATAAGAGCCTAAAGTTGATGTAGGGAATCCTTTTGTTCTTCAGACAAAGATATTGGGATGTTTCTTTAAGGAGAATAAACCGAGAGCAGGGTGTTCCTTGAACGTTTATGAGAAATAGTGGCTAGTGTAGGAAGAGGTTACATTTTATAAGGAACAAAACCCAGGGGAGCCTCTCCTGTGAACTGACAAGAGGAACCCAAAGATGACATCTCCCTCTATATATATGTTTTTTTACCTCCCATGAAAGTCCTTAGATGCACTATCACTGTGCTTACAAAATTGTGATTAAGTCTGTTCTGATAGAAGTCTGAATGTTCCTGGAGGTATTTTTAGGAATACTGTTCATTTTCTTTACTCAATGAATGGTGTTCAGGGAAGTTAGCATCATGTGCTAGGAAGTTTTGAAGTGGGTAATTCAAAACCTGGGTTTTAGTCTCAGCGCTGCTAATTAACTTTGTATCCTTGGATTAATCATCTAATCTCTCTGGGCTTCAGTATTTTCTAAACCCTAATTTGGGGAGATTAGAACAGATGATCTCTGAGATCCCTGCCAGCTCTAAATTCTCTAATTTTATGACTGCTTTTGGCCAGGAGCTTTACTTGAGAGCTGCTATTGTCTGCTCATTGCTTGCTTGTTTCTTGATCATTGTCCACAGGCAGTCCTTTTCTGTGAGGCTATGGGGTCATTAATGTTTAGTCTTTTTGTTAAAATACTTTTACAGATAATTCCACAGTACTTTTCTGGCCACAAGAATTAACCTACCAAATTTAACTTTCATTCTCTTTACCAGTCTCACCTTAATCCAGCTCAGTTCTGTGTACAAACCATGGAGGTTATTCATTCAGGTGAAATAAATGGGTTACTTCTGCCAGATTAATCTGGGAAGAAACAGTAAGTATCCTTGAATGGAATTCTTCCATGGGAGTTTCTCTTGATACCCTAATTGAAATGGAATAGAAAATGCAGACATTGTAATTTAAATTCCATTTTAACCTTCTACCTGACTCACTTTGGTTTATGCTAATTTCTTTGGCATACTCTTAATTTCTTTTAGATCCAGAGCATGTGCTTAAATTCATACATGATTGAAAGATTTCATAGTGTGTAATGTAAATGCAATTAGCACACTTAAATTTAATGTGTAATATCGTATAAACATTTTAGAATTTTAAAATTTAAAGCAAACATTCTTTTTTTTTCCAAAGACAGAATTGTATGGATTTATCTACACTTAGATAAGACAGAGTAAAAATACAAAGGTTCTCACCCCCTCTCCCCACGTCACCTCCAGTTCTCTTCAACCAGAGTAGGCTACTCTTGGCAGTATGACAAATATCCTTCCACATATTTTCTATACATTATATGGATAGTTTAAACATTGTGGTAAGCTTTTCTTTAATGAATTCTTCATGCACTATATGTTAAGAGCTTCAATAATTGGCAGAGTCATAGTGCCATAGTGAGGACAGATTCTGGTAGCATGTTGTACTTGTCAATAAAGCAGATTTTAAACTAGAGATTTGCTGCTAGTTAGTATTTAATGTCTTTATGGGATTAAACCTAAGGTCACTTTAGGGAGCAAGAGCTAATAAGCTGTAATGTGAGGGCAGTGTTGGGTATGATTTAGTCAACTGTAAAATAAGGCCTCCAAACTACAGTCATGCTTACAAACAGGTGGTAATAGTTGTCTTTTAAATCGGGATAGAGGGAACAGCCAACAGGATGCAAGGAAAAAGAAAATCAAACTTAAAGGCTAATGATCATTTTTTACTTGTTATATAACAAACATTTTGTTATTTCATTATAATAGCAAAGCTTTCTCAATCTCCAGGCTTCCGGCATTGGTATTACAATAAAATCCATCCCCAGAGCTTCTATTTCAGCAAGCCTGAACTTGCCTTGTGTGTGGTCATCAATCTGAATAATATACTAAAAAGTTGAACAGGGAAGTAATGTCCTGACTACTTTTTATGACCAATAGCCTTAGCACCCTTTTTATGTTGGAATGCAAGTTTCATGAGTACACTACTGTGTTAAATTGGTGTGTCTTGTACTGTCCTGTGTATGTTTTAACAAAAAAAAAATATATCTAATTTCTTTTCCTGAAAACTATTATTCAGTGCTTACAGTTCTGATTGCCTTCCAGGTGTTATCTCATTATCTTGTTTAATTCTCACACAGACCTAAATGGTGGTTGTACTATTTTTTTGCTGAAGCAGGCTTGGAAAGATTAACTGACTTGCCCAAATTAGTGACAAAACTGAAATTCAAATTGTGACCTGTTGTTGAGTTTAATTTCTGGAATGGCAAAGTAAGGACCTCCAAAAATCTGCTCCTCTATAAAAGCAACAAGTACACTGGCAAAATTATTAGGTCAACCTTTTCAGAACTCTGGAAATTAAAGCTTGCAACAATTGAAGGAGCATTCGAGAAAATTGCCTGTATTTGGGTAAGAAAAGCAAACTTTGTGGCAGTTTCAATTGTGCTAATTCCATCTACCTGTCCCCAGTACCCTTGAAAACCAGTAGCCTCACAGCTATAGTAGCTGTGAAAACTAGCAGCTTAGCAACCAATTGAGAGGGCAGGGGGTTTGGTACTTTTTAAAGCCCCATCCCCAGAGAATTGTCACTATTTGATCGGTCTGGCAGCTCACTGAAAATTTCAATTTTTAGGGCTTATCTTTGTTTGATCAGATTCAGAGTTTGCTCTGTTCTATTCCTAGGGCATTTGTTAAAAACAGTCAGCAGTTGTTCAGCATCACAGGTTCCTGAGGTATTGGGGTAACAAAAGACTGACAGGCAAACATAAAGGAAAATTTGAGGAATAGAATGTCCATAGGAGTCTTTGAAAAGCTCCAACTTATTTCTGGGAACCTGAAGGGCCACACACATGTTTGGGACTGTCCACATACCCAGGCAACAACTGGGAAGGCCCTACTCTCTCACCTCTACCTGATTTAGGACTCAATGCAAGCAGGAAGTGAGGGCCAAGGCAGAGTTGTAAATTGTCTGCTGCAGCATTGATGATGTGCCACAGCACAGAGAGAGACCCCCTCAGCAAAGGCTGAGAGTCTTATTGGTTCAAAGAATGTAAAGAAACCTTATTCTAACCATTAGCTGACTACTAAACTAATCTAATAGATGAGGCCACACGCAACAAAGGATACAGACTTTACAGAATGATTCCAGGAAGGTTAGTAAACAGTAACAACAACAAATCCTGGGGAAGGAAGGAATTTGATTTCCATAGTTGTCACATTATATTATTCAAATGTCCAGTTTTCAACTAAAAATTACAAGACACACACAGAAACAGGAAAGTGTGGCCTATACACAGGAAAAATAAAAGCGTTCAATAGAAACTGCTCCTGATGAAGCCCAGACATTGGACTTACTAGACAGAGTTTAAATCAGCTGTTGTAATTATAAATATGTTCCCCAAAATAACAAAGAATTAAAGGAAAGTTTGAAAACAGTGGCTTACCACATAGAGAATATCTAATAAAGAGATAGAAATTATTTTCAGAAATAAAATAGAAATTCAGGAGTTGAAAAGTTAAATAGCTAAAACAAATCAGAAGTAGAAAGAATCATCAAACTTAAAGACACATCAATTGAGATTATTGCATATGAGGAACAGAAAGAAGAAATAATGAAAAGTGAAGAGAACATAAGAAATGTGGGACATTATCAGGTATATCAACATACACATAACGGGAATTCCTGAAGAAGAGAGAAAAAGGAGCGGAAAGAATGTCTAGAAAAACAATGGCTAAAAACTCCCCAAATTTGATGAAAAACTATACATTGAAAAATCTAAGAGATTCTAAGTAGGATAGACTCAAAGTAATATACATTCAGAAACATCATAGTTGAAAGACAAAGACATAAGAGAATCTTGAAGGGAGCAGGAAAACAGTGAATCCTCATATGCAAGGGATCTTCAATACTATTAACAGCTGACTTCTCATCAAAAACTATTAGGCCAGGGAACAGCGGGACATGTTCAAAGTGCTGTATCACTCTCGGCTGGATGTGTTATGGTGGCTCACGCCTGTAATCCCAGCACTTTGGGAGGCCAAGGCAGGCAGATCACTTGAGGTCAGGAGTTTGAGACCAGCCTGGTCAACATGGTGAAGCATGTTGTTTAGTAGAGAAACATCTCTACTAAAAATACAAAAAAATTAGCTGGACGTGGTGGCACATGCCTGTAATCCCAGCTACTCAGGAGGCTGAGGTAGGAGGATCGCTTGAAACCTGGTAGGCAGAGGTTGCAGTGAGCCAAGATCGTGCCACTGCCTTCTGCCTGGACAACAGAATGAGACTCTGTCTCTAAAAAGAAAGAAAAAAAAAAAAAATCACTGTCAATCAGTAATTCTATATCCAGCAAAGCTATCCATCAAAACTGAAGGAGAAATGTAGACATTTCAAGATAAACAGAAATGGAGACAATTCATCACAAGTAGACATGTTCTATAGGAAATACTAAAGTGTGTCCACAGGCTGAAATAAAAGGATACTAGTCAATATTTTGGATCCACATAAAGAAATAAAGAGCACTGGTAAAGGTAACTATGTAGGTAAATGTAAAAGTCAGTACAAATATATTTTTGCTTATAACTTTTTTATTTTAAATCAATAATTATAAAAGTGTGTTAGGCTTATAGTGTATACATATAATTTGCATAATAATAGTTCAAAGACAAGGGAGAGAATGGAGCTATATTGGAGTAAAGTTTCCGTATGCTACTGAATTTAAGTTGGTATTTAAATGATTGTTGGATTTCTTTTGAGGTAATATTCACCATTTTAAAGTGTACAACTTATGAAGTCCTTAAAATGGCCTAAAAAATAAAATGTACAACATAGTGGTTTTTCATACATTCACATATATGGATTTTCTTATAGTATTGTGCAACTATCACCAATGTCTAATTCCAGAATATTTGTAACATTCCAAGAAAAAGAAACCCTGTACTTCCCAATTTCTTTTTCCCCCATCCTCTGGCAACCACTAGTCTATTTTCTGCCTCTTTGGATTTGCCTATTCTGGACATTTCACATAAACGGAATCATACAATATGTGGTCTTTTGTGTCTGGCTGCTTTCACAAAGCATTGTGTTTTCAAGGTTTATCCATGTTGTAACATGTATTAGTAGTTCTTTTTTTTAATTGCTGAAAAATTCATTGTATGGCTATTTTGTTTTTTATTCATCAGTTGATGGACATTTGTATTGCTTCTACTTTTTGGCTATTATGAATAATACTGCTATGAACATTCATATATAAGTTTTTGTGTAAAGATATGTAGTCTCTTCCAACCCCAAGTTGGTGCACTGCAGGACAATTCAATTCTGACACTAATCACCTGGAGTTAGTGCAGACCTCACAAATTAAGGACTCAGTTCTCCACAAATTCAGATGCTGCCCCCAATGCAGATGCTATCCACAAGGTCAGGGGGTCCCCAGGCTACCTCTGCTTCTCACTGGCTACAACTTTAGGGGTTCCCATGATCTCTTCAGGTTCAGTAAGGAGATACAGTGCTTTGATAGGAGCCCAGAGGACAAGCACTCAACTCAGGATGGGAGTGTAAGAGCTTGTCAAGGAAGATAGCCCAGGAGCAACTTCTAAGCTGCAACTGGAATTTCTAGTCATAGGTACTAGCCAGGAAAAGAGGTTTGATAGAGTATTGTAGGCAGAGGGAACAGCATATATGAGGGCCTGGGGTGTGTATAATATAAGGAGATATATGAATTAGGAATTAATCTAAGAATTAGAGCATCAAGTATGAAAAGAAATGAAAGACTAGAAGCAGTATAATCCAGACCTTTACAGCCCATTTTAAAGAGTTTGGATTTAGGACAGAGAGTCACTATAGAAGAGCCAGATCCAAGAAAGATCCCTAAAGAACACAAAATTTTAACAAATGGGAAAGAAAAAAGTGTGTATGAAAGGAGGAGAAACTAAAGAGGCAGGAGGAAACCCAGTAGATATGGAGGGAGTTACCAAAACCAAAGGAAATGTGTTTGAAGAAGCTATATCAAATGCTGCTAAAATGTTTTTAGTCCAGGACTTTAAATGTTAAGCATCCATTAGAGTTGGTGTTATGGAGTGAGTGAGCTTCACAAGAGCTCTATCAAAATGGTAGTTGGGGCAAAAGCCAACCTTCAGTAGGTTGAAGAGTGAATGAGACTCTGGGAAGTGAAGGCAGCAGAGGAGGAGGAAATCTGGCCATGGCTGGGGGCACGGGAGGTTAGACAAAGCAAGACAGAAACAGAAAGCATGATGCCCCTGGAGGACGTGTTGGCATATGGGATAGTTTTGTTTTATGGTAGGGGAGACTTAAACACATTCAAACATTTTTGAGATCCAGAAGAGGATAGATATGAAAAGAGAAAATAATGTATTGGGCAAGATCCCAAAGAAGGGGAGGATGGGATCCAAAACACAAGGAGAAAGGATTGTGAGAATGAAAGAATGAATGTGTTCAGATACATTTGTAAGTTTGATGGTAGACAGTTGAGGATTTGCTGTCTGATGGCCTCTACTTTTTTCTGAGAAATAATAGAGACTGATACCTACTGAATATGAAGGAAGTGGTAGATTTTTTAAAGGAGAGTGCAGGAGTCTTGGAACAGCCTCAGCAAAGAACAGTGAAGCACGGAATTAGTGAGACCTAATTAGTTTCTAGACAGAGATGACGGCCCTGAGATTAAAATTTAGAAATTTACAGCAGCACCCGTCTGCTCTGATGTGATTTTCTCCATCAGCATTCCACAGCCTGAAGGTTAGTACAAGAAGGAAGAAATTTCTATTGAGTCAGGGCTATCATTTTTGCCAGGTGGGTGCATGAAAAGATAAAAGGTGGTAACATAATGGATCAAGGACTCTAGGCTGGGTAGGGAAAGACATGAAGGCAAGAGGAAAGTGAGAGACTGGGAGAAACTGTAAGGATGGGTGACTGTAAACTCCCGGGAGGGTAAGAACAGGTGAAAGTCACAGGAAGGCATACTACAGTGGAGAGTAGGGCTCAGCCCCAGCCTATTATGTTACTCAGGTTTTCAGACACTGTCCATGTGTGGCTCATTAAGTTTCTTTGATTTACCTGTTCACTCTTTTTTTTTGGCCAGTTTGCTATTTATAAGCACCTATATCCTAAAATACAATTTAGAAATCATAGCAGATAAAAATCATCACCACTAGCTATGTTTCTAGAGGAAAAAATTAGGTGTGTGACGTTTTTAAGTTACCCGTAGGCTGTTGTTTTGTTTTTGTGCTTCTACTCATTCAGAGGGCGAGCTGCCAGCGTCTGACTTACCCAGGGAGGTGCACAGGGCTGTGTACACTGGGGTCTTTCCCCTTCCTGCTCCCCATCTTCACGTGCAATCCAATTCTAAATTTCTTCAGCCAGCCCATTGCTAAAACATGAAACTCCGTAATTTCAGTTCAATTGGGATACTACCCCTCGCTCAAATACAAATGCTCTTGGGAAAGGCAGTATGTTAAGCTTTTATCAATCATTAAGACATTTGTGGTAGAGTATTTTTTGGCCTGTGTAACCAGTGAAACAGCTTGCCAAGAACAGATTTTATTTCCCCAAGGAGGAAGTAGAGCAAGAGATCCACATCTGTGGTAGGGATTGGGCACTCCAAATCATAGTACCTAGAGCTGACAGGGAGAGCCCCGTGAGAGGAGGAGAGCATTGTCCGGAGGAGGAAAACGTAACAGGGAGATGGAAGAAGATAATAGCTAATGTTAACTTCGCTATTTTTGCTCAAATCCAACCCTGTATGGGAAAACGCTCTCTCTGGCCAGGTTGGCAAGCACTCCACATGATTTGCTCTGACAGACTGGTGGCCGTGCGCCTTTCTGCCTTACAGCCCCTGTGTTACAGATTTTCTGTGACACTGCTTTTACATGTAGTGATGACATACCTTATAATCATCCTCACTGTGGCAACAGACATGCTCAGACTGGCTGTATTAAATCGTTTTAACAGTGTCTGGATTTACAGATGATGAGCGTCGAAGCTTCTTAAGATGCCCCCACTTAATGGAGTAAGACTCAGGATGACTTTCCTTTTGTGTGTTATGCTGCACAGGTGAGATGCTGAGAGGCATGTGGGATGCTGTAGTTTCTAGTTCCATTTCCTTTTTCCTATTGTGTACAAGTCTTTTATTTGGCTGGGTTAGTTACCTAGGAAACAGCTGCAGGGTACAGATGGATTGGCTGTTTGGGGAATGGAATTACAGGCCCCTTCAAGAGGCAAAAAGACCTGTTGGATAAAACAAAAATTCGTGAATGGCTGAGCTTGTATTTAATAAGTGTGCAGAAACCACATTAAGATAGCTCTACAGTAGAGAACTTATTTAATGCAGTGCGATTTTAAATTTAGCTTGTTTTTAATACATTTAAACTCACTTAATGCTTATGAATTCCACTACTGCAGGCCATTTTGGGGTTTCCAGTGGAGTGGAAGGTGCAGTTCCCTCCTCTGAAAAGCTCATGTCCTGTTTGGGGATAAAAAGAAGCTACCTTAAAGTAAGTGCATGGTTGTATGATACAGACTAAATGTGTTAAGGGAATTTAGAAGAAGTAAAAGATCTTGACTATTAATGTGGGTGATGAGTCTGAAGCTCAAGGAGGTAATTCCTTGAGGTAAAATATTAAATTTGAAGGCCTGGTGAAAGTTCGGGTACTAACAGACCTGAATTTATAAGATTTAATAGTAACAGCACAGTTAGCCTTGCAAATTCCCCCAGTCAGCTTACAGAAAATATATGACTGTGTTATAAATGTTGTCAACTTAGAGTCTCACTCAAGAAAATGAACTTTAACAATGTTGACTGACCACTGTTTGCATTAGCCCTTGCATATTTAAGGAAAGTCTATTTTTACTGAATGTGTGAGCATATTAGTTGTTGAATCTCTGACTGCTACTATGCTGAGCACGAGAGAGACTCAGCAAAATATTTGTGTATTGGCTGGGTGCGGTGGCTCACGCCTGTAATCCCAGCAGTTTGGGAGGCCGAGACGGGCGGATCACGAGGTCAGGAGATCGAGACGATCTTGGCTAACACGGTGAAACCCCGTCTCTACTAAAAATACAAAAAAATTAGCCGGGCGTAGTCGTGGGCGCCTGTCGTCCCAGCAGCTCGGGAGGCTGAGGCAGGAGAATGGCGTGAACCCGGGAGGCGGAGCTTGCCGTGATATCGCGCCACTGCACTCCAGCCTGGGTGACAGAGCGAGACTCCATCTCAAAAAAAAAAAAAAAAAGTGTATTGATTTTCTTATATACAGTATGCCTTCTGTTTGTCGATTAGCATTAGCTTTTTTTCTTCTAGAATAGAGCTGCTATTTGGTTTTGATTTATTGTGATAAGGAATTTGATAAATACAGGACTATAGCTATTCTTTTAAAGCTAAACCGTGGTCAGATTATTTGCAGTTTTATAGAAGGTGTTGAAATTTTCGTGCTTGTTCTGTTTGTAGTCACTTGGTGTGGTGTGCTAGACAGAGGAGGAGGAAAGCAATTCCACTCAGAATCTACAGGCACAGGAGGTTAAGTTAAATTTCATTTCTAACGCTGAGAGAGTAAGAAAGTCAACATAAGGATACTCAAATATTTAGAAGGAAAGTTCAGTTATGATGTACTGAACCTACAATTTTTAATGTTTACCAGCAAAAAAAATCAAATGTAAATCTAAGTTCACTAGGTATGTAGTTACCTTTGTAACTGTACAGACTTTGTATGTTAAATTGAGAAGAAAGTTGCTAATATAATAATTCATAATATTGCATTTTGTCAGAGGGTCTTTCATTGCCAGCAGTTACATCTTTTATAAATGGAACAGTGACTAGAAAAGGATAATTTGTTAACGGTCTTTTGCTGAATGATCAGGAGGAGTTTCCTGTTAAGAGTTCTCGAGCACTGCTGTGAATGCCTTCTTTATTTCCAAAATTACAAGAAAATGCCTTATCATAAGACACTCCCTCAAGTTTTTTTTTTTTTGTTTTCAAGGAGACTTTTTAGTGTTTTTGTTTAAGAACAGTCATGCAATTCCCTGGTGCCTACTCACCTCTACCAAATCCTCTCTTCTGGTTTCAAGCAATTACCGTGAAACTTAAAAGGTTAGCAATAAATAGTGTGACAATTTTTTTTTTTTACTGATTTACTTCTCTTTGGCCTATGAAGTCAATCAGCTCCAAGTAGAAGGTGGTGTGTGGCATAGTGTGTGGCATTTTTGTGAAGATTTGTGTACTTTCTGTCCGGTCTGCCTTCCTCCTGCCTGTGATAACCCCATAAGTATAATGTTGCTTGCACCTGGGCAGGGATCACCAGATGGGTATAGTTATTAGATGACTTGGGAGAAAAAGTACAGCTTGTTTATTTTCTTCTCTGCTTAACAGTTAGCATTTGGGGGAGGACTCAAACTCAACTTTGAGAGAACTGATTTCTTGTTTCATTTTATTTCAACAAGTTGCTTTATTTCTAAAAATACATCAATGGCCAAACTCAAGTTGCAGAAAAGCACCCTCCTTCCAGCAGCCCCACCTAGCCACACGTGCACGTGCACACACAAGTCCAGCCCTGCTCTGTCTTCCCACCAGGGCAGCTTCCCAAAATGCCACTAGGAATTTCACCAGTTCCCTTCACAGAAGACATTTGTTCGTGGCAAGTGCTATGATTTCGAGGTCAATGTCTTTTTTATTTTTGTGTTCATATTGAGAAAATAATGCTGGCCAGGCACAGTGGCTCACACCTGTAATCTCAGCACACTGGAAGGCCAAGGCGGGAGGATCGCTTGAGACCAGGAGTTCTAGACCAGCCTGGGAAACATAGACCCCATCTCTATAAATAAAAGAATGTAGACCAAAAAAATCCCCCCAAAATGCAAAAATCTGTTATGTTTCTAATAGCTCCAGAAATTTCCATTCCTATATTTTTGGTAACTTTTCCCATTTGCCATTGCTCTTGGAAGGGGAAACAAGTAGTTTTTATTGAGAAGTACCATTGAAAACATTCTTCTTATTGGGGAAGAAGATCAAATAATTGCTCTGTCACCTTTCTAATCTAAGTTTTTATAAATTACCCCAAATTTGATTGAGGGAGGGCCCTTGGGTTTGACATGAGAACATCCTTATGGAAAAATAATGCTTGATGTTTTACCAAAATCACTTTTATTTGAATGGGGAGAGACACTTTAAGAATTACCTTCATAATTTGCCTTTGTGATTTTCTGTGAAGCATGCCAGCCATGGTTTGGCAGTGTGAACACTTGTAAACTCTACAAAAATTGGTGAATATACCAAGTTTGGGACAGAGGGCCCTCCTAGTTTTTCCAACATTTTCTTGAGTTTAATGGAAAACTACTTATACTGTAATATTCTTAGACCTTATACCTTTCATAAACATATTGCTTCTGGCATTTAATCTATTATTTAATTTTATTTCTATATTACAATTAGGCATATTTCAGGTTTGTCTTCAATTTCCTGAAAAGTGATTTTCTTTTCAGCCAAAATGAAGTCATATACAATGAGTCTTGGATCTAGGAATCAAAAAATACCAGTTCTTTCTGCCAGCATGCAGGCTCAGTGAGGGCAGGAACCTCATCCTGTCTGCTGTTATTTCCCTGGAGCCTAGAAAAATACCTGACACAATTACTCAGAAAAGTATTTATTTAATGAATGCCTGAGTGAACTGCCTGTTATGACTTTTCTGAGGTCATTTGTTATTTTTTTAGGTTCACTTTGTATGTTAAACTAAGTATTACTACGTTATGAACTACAGCAGATGCTGAAGAGTAGGACTTAGGATGTGCTTGAATGACCCACGAAGAGATAAATGAGATTTAAGAACTAAAGGGGTGGTGGTGAGGAATATTCCCTGGACAGGCCAAACCCACTAAAGTATTCCCACCATTTGCATCTCCCCAGGAGCACTCACTGTGGGCCTCGTGCGACAGTGTCAAACAATCCATGGACGAGACCGGACGTGCATCCCTCCCCGGCTTCCCCCGGAGTGGGTCACCACACTGTTTTTTATCATCATGGGAATCATTTCATTGACTGTCACATGTGGTTTGCTGGTGGCTTCCCACTGGCGAAGAGAAGCTACAAAATATGCTCGATGGATAGCATTCACTGGAAGTAAGTAACCTGTGCTTACTAAATTTGTCTAGAAGGCACCCACCCACACTGGTATTTTTATGAAGATAATCAAGAATCAGTAATAAGGACTTCATAATCATCAAAGAGCACCACTTGTGTATGGCCGTGAGATAGACTCTACACAGTCCCATCATTTCTTCAAAACTCTTTCTGCAAGACCAGGACATCCACAACTTTAATCACTTTGTATGAAATGCTATTTTAATGAATTTTATTTTTGCTCAGATTGTGACATAAGTGTTCCAGGTTTGTGACTCAGAGTTACCAGTAGCCTGAGTCTTTTCCTCTTCTTGAAGCTATTGGTATCATCTATCAAAATAAAGATAAGTATAGAACAAATACATAAAAATATAAATTAGATGAAGGTGGAAATATTTTTTAATATTGATTTTGAGTTTCTGCTGTATGTTGTAACCATTGAAAAATCAACACATTTTGTTATTTAATAATTGTTTATCAATATTTCTTACTCCATTAAGCTCTGCCCAAGGGTATAAGCTTATATATTACACATTCTCTTGTACTTTGCAAAATTGGTTTAATTTCACAACACATCAGAGATTTATCTCAAGTTAAACAGAAGAAACAAAAATGCACAAAGAAAAGACATTTCTGCAATTCTGCTTTCGTGCTTCTTTTTCTCCAAAGCAATTTTGCACCCCAGGGGTTATTTAACAATATCTGAAAACATTTTTGGTAGTCACAACTAGGGGGATGCTGGTGGGTAGAGGCAGGGAGGCTGCTAAACGTCCTACAAATACATAGGACAGCCCCCCACAACAAAGAATTATCTGGTTCCAAGTAGCAGTAGAGCCACTGTTTAGAAATCCTGCTCTAAAGAAACAGGAGAACAATACCTATGCAAATGAGACTTTTAATTCAGTGCCTTAAAATAATCTCAGGTTTGCATACATTTTTAAAAATAAATATAACAGCTGACTTTCTCTTGATATTTTCATTTAGAACGCATATAATTGGGATAAGGGATAATCCCTTGTATCCCTATTAATGTTAAAACTCAGTTTATCCTAAAGGGCTGCAGGAGAGTGATATTCCTTCATGAGCCTCTGTTTCTTCCTGTATTCTCTGAAATTGATACTCTTTAATGTGTATGTTTCTGACTCTGTTTATCTATATTGCCCTTAATTTTTAAATTTAGATCAAGTTGCCTTTTATATAAAAAAGGTTCTCCATCCTTGTTAAGCAGAGTGAAACAAGTTGGTGACCTTTCCCCTGTCCAACAGACCTCCTGAGACAATTCTTTTCTGGAGAGAGGGTCCAGAAGCAATCGTAGAAACAGTGCGGCTAAAGTTAAGGATATTGATGAGAAATTTAAAGAGAATCTGCTTCTTTATCTTTTACTCACAGATTCACTAATCCAGATAGAAATCACTCTTCAAGGAGTGAAATAATATCAAAGAAGGATTTAGTTTCTGGATTTAGTTGAAATTTGGGAATGCATATGCCTTGAATACCAAAAACCTAAAATATGATTTAGCAAGGTAGTGTGAGTCGAAACGTTATATGCTCTCATGAGCTATAGATTCTTATGACCCAATAAAGGGAAAGAACTAGGATTATCTGTTTTCCATTCCCCTTAAGCAGAGAATATTTAAGTATGTGTAGTTGCCCCCAAATGCAATGTATTTTTTTCTTTATTTTTTAAATAATTTAACTTTTTGAAATAATATGTGCATATGATGCATAATTCAAAATCTCTGAAAGGGTAACCATGTGAAATCATATTTGGCCCTGTCACCCAGCCATCCCATTAACCCCTTTCCTGGAGGCAACCATTTTTACCAGTTTCTGGGGTTTCCTACTAGAGGTATTCAGTGCACAGAAACATATCTATTATGTGTGTGTTCCATACATACATATTTATGTAAAATTTTTTCTACTGTTCTGTATCTTGGTTTTTAAACGTAATATATCTTTGAGCTAATTTCATTTAAGCAAGCATAGAGCTCCCCCATATCCCGTGACAGCCCCACCGAGGACCTCCTGGGGCTCCCTAGTCAAACAGGTTAATGAGTCTAATGGCTCAAGGCTTCTGAGAACCTCCCTGGTGCATGAGGACCTTGAGGGTGAGGATAAGGGCTGCCTTGCTTTTAGCTTCCTTAAATACATTGTTTTTGGTACCAGAACGAGTGGCTGGGGTGACAGTTCTGAGAGGGATTGGGCGCCCCCTAGTGTTTCCACTCCACCCCTGAAAAATGTACTTTATTATGTGTATTTCTATTCCCGTTAAGCTATAGTTTTCATAATAATGTAAGGGTGATATCTTCTGATGGCCGTGCACAGTGGGGAAATATGTCTCAGAGAAGAGCCCCCACATGATGGGGGTTCCCTATGGGGGCAAGAGAAACCAAGATGAGTCGTCCTGTTCTTCAAGTTTGGCCCTTGTTCTTTCCTTTGCCACCCTGATTTCCACCCTCACCTACCAGTGCACCTGATTTCTGACTCTCGCCACCAAGAAATCTGTGCCATGGAGGATATGAAATTGTGTCTTTACAAACTTATTTAGGATCCAAAGCTCAGCCTTCAAAGTTTGATATTATCAGCATTAATAATATTTTAAGATCTAAAGTAACTTAATAGTTCACAATAGCTTAAAAGAAAAACTCATCCACCTGCATTAAATCTGCTCCCAGGAAGTATAGAGAACCTGCTTCCTTGGATTTAAAACTAAGGTTAAACAGGACTTCATTGTTCCCTTAAAATTTAAGCCTTTTCTAACAAATTTGGAAAATATTTAACTCTTGAAAATGTTAAACTCTTTGGTTGCAGAATGATTACTCCATTATAAAGGATAGATCTTTTTTAGAGTAGAAAATAGGAAATGATAGGAACAAAGTTGGCATGTCAACATAATGAACAAATTTAACATCTGCATATTCCTAAAGTACTTTTCTAAATTACTTGTTTCTTGAGATTAGTCAACATTAAGAAAAAAATTGTTTTACAACAATAATTTTGCCCCATTGTTTTTTAAATTAGATTGTGTATAGTTACCTAAATTGTGGTTTCATTTTACTCACCAGACCATATTAAGCTGTGGAACCATTAGAAATTGGTGACAGACAACACTGATAAGTGGGCATTGGCAGCACTAATAGTTATTTGTTGCTGACTATGCAACAAAAAAGCTAAAAGCTATAAAACATAATGCCTGAATTTTTCATTTGTTCTATAGTAGCTATCTAAAAAAATCCAAGTTTGCTTATGTAATATTATTTGGTGTGGTCATTTGCCCAAAATGAAATAAGCTGTAAGTTTGTATAATATAAAATAATCTACCTAAATCGTACAAGTAAGAGTGCTGTTGTTTCTTAAGCTGATGTATTACTTAAGCAAATGTTTTTTCTCATTGTATTGCTGGAGTTATTCCTTCTGGAAGGGGTTCCTAATTGACTTTTTTAAAACTCTGAAAGTTTTGTTGATTGGTTAACACACAAAAAAATGTAGAGACGAGTGTCAGCTGAAATGTTTATCCAGGACTCTGTTAGTATTGCTGGGGGATAGTTTTCACCTGGAGGTGAAAACGCATTCAGTTAATAATGGAAGGTCCAACTCTTCATGTACAGTGCCTAGTAATCTGTCCTCACATTACACTGAAGAAGTATTTCTGCCTCCAGAGAAAGTTGAAGGACAATGAACACTTGAGCAATATGCTTTCAAAAAGCAAAAATATTTTCTTGGAAAAGCTAGCCTATCTGTAAATAGTTTGTGTTCACTAAGAAGACCATTTCTTTGGTAGCACAAGGGAGCAGGCCATTTGCTGAAACACTGGACTGTGGAATCACTTTTACCCGGACATTGGGTTTTCTGATATCCTTTTAAAAACATTTTAACAAATAATATACTCCTTTGTGTTTACATGCAAAACTCAAAGAAGGTTACCTATCCTCCCTGACTTTAACCTACCTCTCTGGGTATTCAGAAACCAGACAGAGATTTTATTTTTTGGAATATTATCCATGATAAGAGATAACCACTGTGACACTTTACTAATCCCAGAGATCTGAGGTTATTTCTACTAGCTGGTTTTATTTTATTTTTATTTATTTATTTTTGTATTGAGACAGAGTCTCAGTCTGTTGCCCAGGCTGGAGTGCAGTGGCACAATCTTGGCTCACTACAACCTCCACCACCCAGGTTCAAGTGATTCTCCTGCCTCAGCCTCCTGAGTAGCTGGGATTACAGGCTTGCACCTCTACGCCTGACTAATTTTTGTATTATTAGTAGAGACAGGGTTTCACCATGTTGGCCAGGCTGGTCTCAAACTCATGACCTCAGGTTATCCGCCCGCCTCGGCCCCCCAAAGTGCTGGGATTACAGACATGAGCCACCATGCCCAGCCTCTACTAGCTGATTTTAAATCAGAGTAAGATAAGTGATGCTTATTTATATGTACCTTTTCTCCAATTCCTTCTCACTAACACTGAGAGGAACAGAGAATTGTCAGAATAGTAACTATTGTGATAATGGTATGCAGCACTCATTCAGCACTTACTGTTACCTGGCACTGTGTCAGGGACTAGACATTATTTTATTTATCCTTCTAGTATTTCCCCCATTTTCAGAAGGGAACCAGAGGCTTAAGATTACACAGCTAGTAGGCAATAGAGCTGGAATTGAGCCCCTATCTGACTCTAGCTAGTGCCCTTAATTACTATTGTAAATGGCTAGGAATCGTATTTGTGAGGATTTGGTAGGTTTGGAAAAGGACTTTCTTAATCCTGATATTCAGAATTGTCCTAAAACTTACATAAAAGCCTAACCTAGCTTTTACTGTATTGTTAGGCTTCAGGGATACTATGTGACCTGAAATATATACACATTTTTAACAAGTGGTCCATGTTTTAACAGGTTTGGCCAGCCCTTCTTACAAGCTTCCTTTGTGCCAAATTTTCATTGTTTTTTGAAATCACCAAACCATGTTACTAATGTTGTGTTTTGGTTTGTTTTACAGTGATCCTTTTCTGTATGGCTGCCCTAATATTTCCAATAGGATTTTACATCAATGAAGTCGGAGGTCAACCTTATAAATTACCCAACAACACAGTAGTTGGGTCATCATATGTACTTTTTGTCTTATCAATTTTCTTTACAATAGTAGGACTTCTATTTGCTGGCAAAGTTTGTTTACCAGGCTGATGAATGTCTAAATTGCTTGACTCTTATTATTTTTTATTTTATTTTATTTTTTTATTTTTGGAGGGTGGAGAGGACAAAGGCGAGGCATCTGAGCAGGCCTCTCATGGGAAGATGCTCAGATGAAACTGATGCTGAGAAGGAAAAAAAAATGCTTTGGTTTGTTCTCACTATGCACTTTGGATTTAAAAAAAAAAAAAAAAAGGAGAGCCTTTTCCATAACCAAATACAGACAATATTGACTAAATCTCCTGAGCATATTCAGGCAGTCAGGTCTGCACTGTGATAGCAACCTAGAGAAGGAGAATGCTTTATACCGAAAAGCATGTGGCCCTTTGTGACTCTGTTATTCCGTTTTTAATGTCTAATGATTCATTAGAGGAAAAAAAAAAGTCTAAGTATTTATGTGTCATGGTGGACCAGAGGGATGCAAGAGAAGTTCATGTGGGGCTGGCCTCACCTCCTAAGAAATTAGTGTTCACAACTTCCTTGTAATAGTATGAGCCTTTGGCACCAGAATGGATTGCCGTTGCATTACTGCACCAAGAAGCCAATAGATCAAAACTTGTTTGCTAAAATGTATGTAAAAATTCTGAAATTCCCTCTCTCTGTGTACAAAAAAAAAAAAAAATCAAACACTAAGACACATGTTTTGGGTGGGTGGGTGGGGGAAATCTTCCTTATATTTATATAAATATATATAATATATATATTTTGCTGATGCAGTATACAGTGTGTATATATGTGTGTGTGTGTGTGTGTGTATGTGTGTGTAAATTTATATACACACACATGCAAACAGTTCCTGGAAGAGAATTCTGAATGCTTTGCTAGCAAAACACTGTGGTGTGCAAACCTAGAACCCAATAGAAAAAAAAGCCATTTATCTGAAGGCTGCATAGTGGAGAGAGTCTTCAGTTTACCTCATTCTTTGTAGCAGCCCTTGATTTTAACAGGTTTTTGTAATAGGTACAGATAATCCCATACCTTTCTAGGTGCGATTTTAAGTTAAGCTAAAAATTATTTGTAGGGTTAATTTATTTGTATATGATAGTAGAAGGTAAGATCATGTCAAACCTTATAATTTGGGGAATCTGACACTATTTAAATTATTGGCAACTGTTGTCTGTTGTACAGAGATTCTTTTTCTACTGGCTCAGTCTGTTACATTAATAATGCATTTTATATGTTCAGGCACACTTTACATAAATACAAAGTTCGCTAGTAAATATCTGGCTATTTTGGCTATTTACAACACTAATTTCATTATTTTTATCTGTAAGCATTATTAATACATCTTTACCAAAACCTGAGCAATACAATATTTTCTTTATATGTTATATGCCTTTGTTTGCTAAAAGCTAATATTTTTGCATTTACTTTAAAGGGCTGTACTAAACCCACAGCTTTAAGTTCTTCCCTAAAAGAAGCATTGCAGCTAACCCTTGAACTCACAGTTTTAAAATACAGTATTTCTCTTCTCCACATCTCCATGCCTTCGCATCAATGCTTGTTTTTCCTGGTGAACACTATAGATAATCTCCTGTTTGAAATGTGGGACAGGGTGTTTCATGGCAGTGGAGCTAAGTTTCTCCTCTTTATAGTGAACTGGTGACCCAAATGTCCCTGTCATTTATAGTGAACTGATGACCCAAATGACTCCCTGTCAGTAGAGTCCCATGTGGCCCATGCTTCACACAAGCAGAAATGAACGCACTGTTTTTAAGGCTAGATTATCAGTTCTAGAATGATTACTTCAAAGATGGGAGCTACCTCCTCAGATATTCACACTATGAAATGGAGGTGCTTGATGTGTTTCACACTGGCTTGTTTGACAGTCTTCTATCTTACTGTTAATTCAGCAGTATTTTATTGTGAAAGAAAACCCCAGTGTTTGAGCTCACTCAGGAATTGGGGAGAGAGATGGACCACCACTGTGGTGCATTTCTTAAGTGTTCTGGGAGAATGTCATACTTTTCCTTCCCAGAGTAAAAGAAACCTTTGGGAGATCCTGAGGGAGACTGTTTCTCCCCAAGTATGATGATGTCTAGTCAAGTCTAAGAATACCACTGGACATGTTCTATGGACATTTGGGATTGCAGTTGCTATTCTGATTTGATTGGTCCTCAGTCAAATGGATCACTTTGAAGGAAAGCTTTGGTTGTCACCGTTATATACCACTGAGATAAAGTGTTAGCAAAGTATGGTTCAAATTAACTTATGACATGACCAAGAGCTTTTCTCTTCCAAAAGATGAATTGTATTGTAAATAGTTTCTCAAAATATTTTTAACTGGATCATGAGCATGGGGAGAGAAAGTTTCTCAGCTGCTAAGAATTTCCCCACTGTTTACTTCTTTCACTTATGGTGGTATTGCATTTAAGATTACAAAATTTAAGGTTTTATTTGTATCTATTACCCAAACCATTAAATTGTCTTTAATTTCATTGTTGTCTTGGAGGTCCAGTGCATACAGGGCTGATGGGGGAAAACTCCCTCTAGCCAGTCAGCACTCTAACCCAGGATTAAACCATCCCATCAAGTAGTATGTGAAGTCAAGTCTTCGTACTCTTGCAGACCAGACATTGAAATGGATTCATTCATATAGATTTCTATAAATCCTATAAGTGAAAAGATAGACAACTGTCCGCAGTTGCTTTTAAAAAAGGTCACTATAATAAGTACTATATAGTACAGTATTAATTTATAGCAGGAAATCGTATCTTGTAAACTGTATATAAAACACTGTTTTATGGTGCAATCATTTGTCAAACTTTTGTCTGTTTCATTGTTTTTAGAGTGTGTGCATTCTTCTCATACCTAAGAATATCACTGTAAAATCTGCTGAAAACTATTTTTAGGTTTTATTTGCACAAGACTGAATTAGTTTGACATTTTTGGAAGCTCCTATTGAACATACCCAAACATCTGTAAACATGAAAAATCTTCAATTTATTAAAAGCAAACATTTCAGTATGATTCTTTCCAAAGGTAATCCATGTTCTATGTTGTTAATGTGTGTATGTAATTTTTCTGACTCTTCCACCTCTTATAAACCTATTTTCTGTTTCATTTGTTTTGTTTTTGAAGGATGGCTCTTTTTTCTTTTTAATGTTCTAGATGACCAAAACACTATTGGTTTTTACCCTTTTGCCTAAAGCTTTGATATCCCCACTTGATGTTCTGTGAATTCACTGTTTAATCTATTAAGTGAAATAATAAATAGTCCTGGTGACAAACAATCTGTTGATTTAGAGGAAAGGCCCTGAAAAATACAGTATTGGAAACTAACTTTGCATATGCTGTTAGCTATTATTTTGCATCATGGGCTTCATGGGAAGAACATGTTGCATTTATTTTGTCTTTATTAAAAGACTACTAGCCACAAGTTACTCTGATTATAGTAACTGTTTTATCAACCCACTTCATCTTTAAAAAATTAAATTTACATTCACAATTCAAAACAGTAAGCTGTCTTTCAGAAAATTTTTGAAGGATAAAAACATGAAGGAAAAAAGTGGCCCGTGTAGGTAGGATTCCCTACACAGGACTTTTAGTTGTATCACCTCAAGAGATTTTGAAGTTTGTGATCAAGGTCTGTATATTATCCCAAACTTTATTAAGAATTGTTTTCTAATTGGTTATAACATTTTTCAATTAATAGTTTCAAAACAAATTGTTAATACAACTGTATAAAATGAACATAATTTTCCTCACTTGTATTTTTGTTATTGAGCAAGTTTATCAAAATAAATTGTCTACTAAAGAAACTAAAAAGGCTTCTATTACTTTGAAATAAGCTTCATTTAAAAAATTGATTTCTTATGGAGGTTTCACATATTCACAAGTGCCACTTCCATGCCTCTTGGGTTGGTTTTTTGTTGTTGGCATTGGGGGGTGAGGGCGGTCTTTCCCTATCTTCTTCCACTCCCACTCTTTGCTCACCGCTAGAGAAGAGATGCCATTAATATTCCAGGACGTGGATTAGGCCATGATTACCCAAGAGTCACTCAGCAATAAAAGACCACATACATGTGGCTTTCCCTTCTGCGTCATGCTTCCATGAGCTAGGAGAGAGAAACCAAGCCAAAGCCCTCAAGCCAACTATCTTTCTATTCTTTCTTCCTTGCACATAGACCCAAGTCCATCTTTGCTTCAGTCTTCTGTTTCTACTTTACTCCAGGCCAAAAGATCTTAGCTTTTAAAATCTTAAAGTATGGGCTGGAGGAGCAAATACAGAGGCCTTTAGGCCCTGTCACAGCTTAACTATAGCTCTCTCTGGGGGTGTCAAGATTAGCCCAACCGAATAATAATAATAAAATATTTACAGTTTGCTGCTGATTCTTCCTTGTGTGGCCTTTTGAGGAGCCTCCTGGGGAATTGGAGGATTAAGACATGGTAAGATTTAGATGTTCTTGGGTTCTAAGATTAAGGGGTTTCCTTGGAGGTGAGACTTGAAGTACTATGTCTGGGAAAGTTCCAGGCAAACTAGGATAAGTTGGTCACCCTACCCTATCTTCACATCATCTAAATCTTCTCCTGATTTGTAACACAGATTAGAGGTTTTTGGGGGGTTATTTTCTATAAACATTAATGAATAGGTCAATTGGAAATTGTAATGGTAGATTTATGCTGAGCTGCTATGGTGGAGGGGACACTTTTTCTATTTGGTAATACCTTAGGAAAAGGTAACACAGTGGCTTTGAAAACAACATGGGTTCAAAAATACTTTATTTTGACTTATTCTTCTATCATCTCTATTCTAGCCACTATGAGAAGATTATAGGAAAAACACCAAGACTAGAGGACTCTGGGTTCCTTTTATGCAAAGTCAACTCTTCTGGGTCACAGTTACCCAGCAACAAAAATAAAGGTAGTTATTTATAAATGGTATTAAAGATAGAAAGCACAATGTATATTTTTTAAGAGTTTTGGTTCTTTTCCCAGGAGAAGAAAACACTGTGGGTTGGTATTTTCAAGCACATTCAAGGGTTTTACAAATCAGCCCCAGTTCCAGTCACACACAATCTAAGACCACCCAAGATAACATTTCAAGAAGAGATTTTTCACAAGACTATAAAATTTCAGTGCTGGATGAAATGTCAAAGAGCATGTCCAGTGTTTTCACTTTCCAGGTGAGGAAATCGAGGCCTCAGACTTTTCCAAAGTCACTCAACTAGATATCAGCAGAGCACTCGTCTTTGACATGTGGGCCTTGGACTTAAGACCAACATTCATATTCTCTAGCCATTGAACCAGTCTTCCTTCAACTGGTCTCCATTCACTCTGATCCATCCAAATCAATTCTGCCAAGATACTCATAACACAAAAGAAAGCATATTATTTCCATGTTCACATTTCTGTCATTCCCATTGTCTACAGAATGAAATCCAAACTCCTTTAGCATAGCTTTGACAAGCTTTCGTGATCTGGCTTCAAGCTCTCTGTTCAGTCATTTCCCACCTCTCTCTCTCGTCACTTCTTACTGACAACCAGCCTGTTCTCCATTCTAGATTCACTACAACCTGCTCCCTGCCCCGGTTGTGTCTGTACCACCTCCTCTCAGTTTTAAAGTCCTCCCATATTTGAAATATATCTAATCTTTTGTGCTTTGTGTCTCTTTTTCTTATGCTTCTGTAACAGAACTTGCTAAACAGGCATAGACTGCCTGGATTAAATCTCAATTCCACCATTCCAGTTGTGTGACCCTTAGTAAATCATGTAACTTACGTGAGCCTTGGTTTTTTCATCTGTAGAATGGGACTAATAATATTACCCACTTAATGGGGCTATTGTTGGTTTAAAGGAGATAAAGTTCCAAGCACATAGTAAGCATTCAAATGTTAGTTGCTGATATTGTCATTAGTAAGTGCTTTTGTATAACTATATAAACTCTTGAATGCAAAGAGTATGGCTTCCTCATTGTGTACTCACTAGAAACCTGGCACAGTGCTTTACACACTGAATTATGAAAATTAAAGTTGGGGCTAGGTGATAAAGAAAAATTATGAAACCATATTTCCTGGAGATTTGAAAGACAGAGTCATCAATCTGCCAGGTTTGTTTCAGTGAACTTCCTCCTGAAGGCAGAGGCTTGCCTAAATCAGCCTTTATAAGGATGGTTACTTTATTAATAAGTATTTGGCTATATAATATATCAGTTCCATTGATCTCCTTAGAATTTCCCCATGGACTCCAGATCCTTTACTACTGAACTCACAGGGCTGTAACACTGTTACTGTACAGAGAGGACCAGGACGATGCCAGCACCCCGTTTATCCTGAGTGAACTCTCCGGAGGCCTCTTCAAGCTTGTGGGTTCTCTGCTGTCTTGAAGCCATCCATCCATTTGATAGGTTTTGCAAAGACTTGGTCCTGCCAAGATGGTTTTAATCATTTCTGCTAAAAGGAATGGACTCGAGGATTTGATCTCATTTTAGATGCAGTTGTCCTCACTTGGCCATTTTACAGCACTTTAGTAAATATGGCCAGTGTATTTGGTCACTATTAAATCAATCCCCATTCATTATCTGTCAGGGCAACTCAGTGAACTAAATACTATGTTCTGACCTCTGGCACTCTTTCTCATGTTGTTTAAATATTTAATATTGTCTAAGGCAATTCAAGTATTTTCTTAAATAAAAAATATGAAAACTCACTCTTTTCCATTCCTTTGTTTTCTATGACAAATGCAAAGAAGTTGAAGAACCAAAATCCTTTCCATTTTCCATAATAAATTGCTCTTTAAAAACTGACATATCTAAGAAGGCTTTTGACTACCTCATCTTCTAAATGTTTTACTAAGATAGGTAGTAAGCAGCAAAATGAACTTATTTGGTGCAGTCCCACCCTTACATGCACCACTCCAATACTTTACCTAATTTCTGCCTTCAGGGTTATCAGTAACTTTTTCCTGCCTTATGTGCTATTGTGGAGAAAGAAATTATGACCTTGAGCCGGGACACAAATTTTCTTTTTACAATAACATGTATCTGTAGATTTTTTTAAAAAACACAAAAATAATATAGGAAACAAAAAGTTCCCTCCTCCACAATCCACCTTCCAGAGATAACCATTGTTAACAGTTTATTGGGTATTTTAACAGACATTTTACTGATCAGTTTAACAAAAGCAAGATATTATCTATACCTGCCACTGCTTTTTTTTTTTGAGACAGGGTCTTGCTCTGTCACCCAGACTGGAGTAAGTGCAATGGCACAATCCTCAGCCTCAAATTCCTGGGCTCAAGCGATTCACCCACCTCAGCCTCCCAAGTAGCTGGGACTACAGGTGCATGCCACCACGGCCTGCTAATTAAAAAAAAAATTTTTTTTTATAGAGATGGGGGTCTCAGTATGTTGACCAGGGTCGTCTCCCAGTCTCCTCCTGCCTTGGCCTCCCAAAGTGCTGGGAGCCACCATGCATGCCCTGTGGCTTTCTTTTTTGACTTAATTTGTGATGTAGATTTTTCTGTGTCAGTAAATATAGAGCTTCCTCATTTTAAATGCATAGTATTCCATTTGATACATATCAAATATGTGTCTTCCCATTTTGATGTACATGAGGTTGCTTCCAGATTTTTGTTATTGCAGATAATGCTGCTGTGAACTTAGGCCTTGGATAACAAAAACTTCTCAAATGTCATAATAACCTGACATTCTAACTGAAGCGTATCAACTATTAAAGGAATTCCTATTTTCAAAAGCACTGTGGTTAAATAATAGTGGCATTCTCTACGTTTAGAGAAGGAAACTAACAGTAAATTCATGTGTTATGTGCTTTCCCATATGTCATCTTAATCCTCTACCTGTGAAGTACAGGGTGGTGTTTTATAGACTACAAAACCAAGGATCAAAAGGCTGAACACCTTACTCCAGGTTCTGTAACTAGCAACTGGTGAATCTGGGTTTCACAGCCAGGCTCCCTGACTTCAGATCTAGGACTCCTGCTGTCCTGCATTGCCAGTGTGGCTGATCTAAAGGGAATAAAAATAACTTGTCCCGCTTGCATGATTCCTTGGCTCAAACATGAGCAGCTAAATCTATGGTTTGCTTCTTCTGGATGTGGAATGCAAACAACCATAAAAGGTGGTCCCTATTTAGAAACACTTTCCACTTTGTTGAGAGAAAAAAAAAAAAAAGTAAGAAAAACCTCCCACTTATTAAGTTGTTTGTGTCAAATCTTCCATCATTCCCCTCTCATTGTTGAGCTTTCTCTTTGTAATCATTGTTCACTGGTTTTTGGGTTTGGTTTGGTTTTTGGCTGCTCACTGCAGCCTCGACCTCCTGGGCCACCATCTTCCCACCTCAGCTTCCCAAGTAGCTGGGACCACAGGCACGCACCACCATTTCTGGCTAATTTTAAAATTTTTTGTAGAGATGGGGTCTCACTTTGTTGCCCAGACTGGTCCTGAACTCCTGGCCTCAAGCAGTCCTCCAGCCTCGACCTCCAAAGTGCTGGGATTACAGGCATGAGCCACCATGCCCCAGCCTGTTGGTATTTTATAGTGCCGACTTCCTTGATGGATGAAGCTAGATGAGGGCATTGATTTTACTGGGGCCCTTTCAGGATTCCAGCACCCAGGGAAATTTTCCCAAACCAGCTGCTCCTCACCCCTACTCCCAAAGCACTTAAAACTCAACTGGATCCCTTCTACTGGACTGGTAGGAATTTACTGGTTATTGGAGTACTCTAAGTTGTGCAGAGGTTCGTGGTTCAAACATTTGGAAGTCCCTCACCCCACCCCACCCCCCGCCACCACCCACTAGTTGATCATCTGTCTACATGTTACTGCTGAGACATCAGTTGTCCCAGGCTAAATGAGGCAGTAGTTTTACTGTGTTCGTCTCACACTTGGGGAATGACAAACTTTGGTGAGCTAGGAACTCCTGTGTCTGGACTCTTCCCTGAATGCACCAAGGACCCACTTTCTCTTAGATATTGCCATCTTACCAAAGTATTGCCACCAAACATGGAACAAGTTTCTACTCCCTCTGATTTTTAGATCTCTGATTTTTTTTTTAATCTGTCTGGGAGAATATCATCTCCCCTTTGGCTTTCCTGAGAGGCATGTTTGCCTAATACCATGGTCCCTTTGGTTTCAAAAAAAAAGGCTCTTTCTTTTTGGAAAATCGTTCCTTTCCTACCTTCGGGCCATGTGGTTTCATGGGGCCAATTTCACGTTCTGGCTTCAGAGCTCGACAGAAGCCAGACTTGGACAGAGTCATGGTGACAGATTCAGAAATTAGCATGGCATGTGACTAGCCTGGGACTTTGCTGGAATAGAGTTGCTAAGTTGTAAGGAAAAGTTTGGTACTGCTGGCAGCCACACCTGAAGAGCCTCCTGATCAAGCCATCCTAGAAGAAAGGAAGCTGAGAAAGGAAGACAGTTCTGTTAACATCACTTTAGCTTTTGGATCAAGTCATCCCTGAAGCCAGAACTATCTCTGGATTCTTGTGTTATTTAAGCAAATAAATTCTTTTTTTTCCTTAAACCAGTTTGAGTTGGGTTTCTATCTCTTTTAACTGAAATAAGCTTTACACTCCCACTTTCCTCATGACATTAAACACATTCCTCACCTCCCCTGCTTTGGCATGTCACTTTAATCTTTTCGTTAGCTTAGGCTTTTACAAAAGACAGAAAAAACAGTTACTTCAGGCTACTGCTTCTCAACACAACCCAAAGCACCTGCTCCTGGTTTGAAATGGGGGAAAGAAAGAAAACAAAACAAATTAATATCTGAAATATATATCCCACCATATTCCTGGATGGGACCACGCTAGAGCTCCTAAATAAAAGACCAGAGATGAGCTGACCCTGATCCATTTCCAAGAGCCTAAGGTAGGAGAAATGTCTGTTGTGCTCTGATGCTTTCCATGGATGCCATCATGATCTGCATCCCGAAGGGAGCCAAGAAAGATGGTACCCACACAGCTTTCCTCTTGATGAGTCATACAGTCTGAAAGCCTTACTCTGCTTTATCCACCTGGCAGAGATCTATTGAGAATGTGTGTTGTGTAGGCTCAAGTACAAGAAAGCAGGAACAAAGAGTTTCCAGTGTTGGACTTTACTTCTATGCACAGTGTTGAAAACCCATGTATGCAGGAAGCAAAGAAAGGTGTGAGGGTGGTAGACGACCTGCTTGGGGCTCCCGTGCCTAAAAAAAAAAAAATGTTGTCAAAATTAGCCAGCCCCTTCCACCCAAAATTTCCATCAAGATGGGCACAAGGACCCTCATCTCTTGTTCACCGAGTAGCCATTGGTTGCTCACAGCCACTTATGACCTTCTTACCTCTTTCTGATCTTCCTCATTTTCTGCCTTATTGGTGCTGGCCACATAACAAATGCTGTGGTCTTATACATGGTGCTCTCAACCCCAGTGACCAGTGGTTGATAAGGAGTTTCTATTTTGAGCACGTTGGTTGTTTCTGACCTGGCCTATAGGCATGGCTGCTGGGGTCAACATCTGAAGGGTGTTCCCTACCATATGATGACTACCACAAGTGGCATATGTTCTTTATTTTTGAGACAGGGTCTTGCTCTGTAGCCCAGGCTGGAGTGCAGTGGTGCGATCATAGCTCGCTGTAGCCTTGAACTCTTGGGCTCAAGCGATCCTCCCACCTCAGCCTTCCAAGTAGCTGGGACTACAAGCACAAGCCACTGTACCTGACTAATTTTTATTTTATTTTATTTTTGTAGAGACAGAGTCTCACTGTGTTGCCCAAGCTGATCTCAAATTCCTGGCCTCAAGCAGTCCTCCCGCCTCAGCCTCCCAAAGTGCTGGGATTACAGACATGAGCCACCACCCAACCTCATGTTCTAACTGATAAAACTTACAAGTTTATAAAACTTATAAAATTCTCAGAAAGTGAAAACTGATTTGAGAAATGACCTGGATATGAAAAACTAAGTACAGATCCTTTAGCGACTTACAAGTTGGTTGACTTTGGTGACATCACTTTGTCTCTCTTGACCACTATAAAAGAAGGGTTTGGAGAGATTCCCAGCTATGGGCCAAGGACTAGTTACATCATAATCACCTGGGGCCATTGTTAAAAAGTCACATTCCCACACCTTTTCACAGTTCTGAATCAATCTCCTGAATGGGAATGTTTTCCTAGCAAACAATCCAGGTGATTCTCATGGGCATCCGGGCTTAGGAACCACTGTGGCAGATGATCTCTTCTGATGCGAAGAGGTCACTGAGCTTGGCTGTGTTAGCCAGGTTTAGGTGGGGCTGGACCGGGTAGGGATAGGGGACTGTCTGACCTCTCCCAGGGACTGTGTTCAGGGAACCCAAGGGAATCTGAGAAGGAAGAGAAAGTTACCACCTTTGACACATGTGGCAGAGTTCTCTGGAACCTCTCCTCTGTTCCTACCACAGGAAGGCCACAGGCACGCACCAGGGCTGTACTGGCCTAAACCATAGTTCTGTGCTGACTGAGAGGTTCTGAAATTAGAAAAGAGGTCTAAATCCTGCTTCCAGGTTTTTGTGAGGTGGAGAAAAGCAGAGTGACCTGGGAGAAGTGGTTATCAACAACACAGCTGGTGACTTCTTCCCTGGGGTGAGGAAGGTTTTCCCTTTCCCTGCCCCGAGCTGCAGTGGTGCAGTCTGTTACCTTGGAGACCAGCTAACACATTCCCGCAGGGCAAGCTTCGCTGCTGAGTTGCTTGGAGGAGCTTGGAGAAACCAGAAGTGAGATCCAGGAGAAGTAAGGCCCTGGAGTGCCAGGAGCCCTTCTCCCAAAGATGGAGAAATAAATGAAGAAATACAGGTGAGGGTGAGCATCACAAGGGTTGACAGGGGTGGTGAGAGGGTGTCGGGGAGGCCAGATACTAAGCTCTGGACTGAGTGAGAAGATCGAGGGAGCTTGGGGTGTGAAGTGTCCACTCCCTACATGCCGAGCATTGGGCTAAATGCTGGGGTGCCAGTAGACAAGGAAGTCATGGAGCCGGTCTAGGAGACAGGCCATGACAACTCCATATGACCAAGTGAAGGGGCAGCGACAGGAGGACTTCCACAGGAGGAGTGGTTTCCTCCCTGGGGACAGCAAATGGGATTCAGGAAAGACTCCTATTATTATTATTATTATTTTCACCCAATAATCAAGGTTCCCTCTCTCCCTTGGACCAAAATGCCATCTGCCATGGCCTGGTTGTTCTTTTCCTCTCCTGCAATCACCTCCCAGGGTAATTCAGCTCACCTTTGCCTAAACTCTGGACCTGCTCTGAGTGCATTTATTCAACAAATGTTTTTTGAGCAGCTACTGTGTTCTAAACTCTATTTTATGCAAAAATGTCCTAGCTGTGAACATTACTAAGTCCCGGCCCAAATGGATCTACTTCTAGTATGTTTATGTAGGAGGGGTGCGCGGGGGTTCAGACAGTAAATAACTAAATATATAGAAAATTTAAAACAAGTAGATAAGCAAATATATAGAATGTATTTACTGTTAAGTAAATAAGTGAATATATATAGTGAAACATGCTGTGGGGAAAGACAAAGCCAGGTGGAGGAGGTGCTGTTTGAGTTAAGGTACTCACAGAAGACCTCTCTAATAAGATTTCATTTGAGCAAAGGCCTGAGGGAAAGGGCTGCGTCCTGTTCATGTCTATCTCCCCAGCACCCGTTCTCTCTGGCACGCAGTGAGTGCTCTATAAATGTTCATGAAACACATGATTGTTTTTGTGTCATATGCTGAAGTGCTTGAAGATGCAGCCCATATTTTATGGTATTCTACATTTGTATAGTACTTCATATTTCACAAAGCAGTTCTACTTTCTCAATTTCATTTGATCCTCTTGATAACAGCATTGAAGTAGGCAGGTCAGTTACTGTTATCCCCATTCCATTCTAAAGATGAAGAAACCAAAGGTTCAGCACTTTTTTGTTTGTTCGTTTGTTTGAGACAGAGTCTCACTCCAACACCCAGGCTGGAGTGCAGCGATGCGATCACAGCTCACCGCAGCCTCAAACTCCTGGGCTCAAGTGACCTGCCCACCCCATCCTCCCTAGTAGCTGGGACTACAGGTGCGCACTGCCATGCCCAGCTAATTTTTGTATTTTTTTTTTTTTTATATAGAGACGGGGTCTCGTTATGTTGGCTAGGCTACTCTCAAACTCCTGGCTCAAGCAATCTCCCTGCCTCAGCCTCCCAATGTGCTGGGATTGCAGGCATGAGCCATTGCACCCGGCCCCGTGCTTTTTCTGGAGCACTATTTTGTTTTGTTTATTTTATGCAGTTCAACCCCTTCTCCATCAGCCTGCACCAGTCACCCCAGAATCTAGCCATGCAGTCCTCTGAATTCATTAAGAGCTGTTAATCACTGGCTGGAAAGAGGGAAGTGAGACACTATGGGGCGGCCAGTGTTCATGAGGCATTTCTATTTCAACAGTCTCTGCCATTAGAGTCTCCCAGGAAAGCTTGCTGAAGTAAAGCCAGTTTTTTTTTTTTTTTTAAAGCATTGCCACATTATCCTGGTGCTTCCCAGAAAACAAAGCATCCTCTGAATAAAAGATTAAAGACTTGAAAGAGAAAAGCAAGTTGCCAAACCATTATTAGGCTGTTTAATTTAATGATTTCACAAGAACACACACTCTAAGTTGCAACTTTATTCAGAGTCTCTCACTTGCTGTGTCTTAGCTGGTATTTTTTTGGTTGCAAATAACAGAAAGCTAAAGGAGCTAGCTGAAGCAAAAAAAAAAGGTAGAGAATTCTAAGAAACAGGGTATCTCATGGAACCCAAGAACAGAAAGGTCTCACACGTGCCTGGGATATATAATTAGAAATTCAAGAACCAAGGCAGGTTGGGCGTGGTGGCTCAACACCTGTAATCCCAGCACTTTGGGAGGCCAAGGCAAGTGGATCACCTGAGGTCAAGAGTTTGAGACCGGCCTGGCCAACATGGTGAAACCCCGTCTCTACAAAAAATACAAAAATTAGCTGGGCATGGTGGTGGGCGCCTCTTAATCCCAGCTATGTGGGAGGCTAAGGCAGGAGAATCACTTGAACCTGGGAGGTGGAGATTGCAGTGAGCCAAGATCATGCCACTGCACTCCAGCCTGGGTGACAAGAGCAAGACTCCGTCTCAAAAAAAAAAAAAAAAAACCAAGGGAGTCTTTCAACCTCCTGCCCCTTCACCTTCCCTTCTCAAAATATTTATCGAGTGTCTGCCAGTCCCTGCTCTTACATAACTTACAGTGTAAGGGGACAGACACACAAATTTTAAAAAATCCCTCTAATGAATGTATCGTTCCAAATTAAGATACCTGCCCTAAAAGAGCATGGTTCTATGAAAGTCTGTATAAAACAAAGGAAACTGAAATATAATGGGATGCTGGAGATTTCCTGAAGGAAGTGATATTCAAGCTGAAATGTCAAGATGATTAGGGTAGGGGAGAAGAAGAACGTTCCAGAGCAAAGACAGCAGCACATGAAAAGTCCCTGTGGTTAAAGGAACTATAGAGAATTCCAGAAACTGGAAAGGGAGGCCCTTGTGGAACACAGAGGAGAGCAGTGGTGAAGTGGGAAATCTAGAGGGGTAGGTGGGAGCAGCCAGACCTTGAGAGTCCTCAGATGCCATCTGAAGGATCTCAGTCTTCATCCTAGAAATAGAGAAGGCTTTGATCAGTTTTAAGCAGGAGGGAGAAAAGGGGGTGTAACATTGGATTTGGGTGTGGATTTTTGTTTATTTTTTAGAAACAGAATCTCCCTCTATTGCCCAGGATTGAGTGCAGTGGCATGATCATAGCTCACTGCAGCCTTGAACTCCTGGGCTCAAGCGATCCTCCTGCCTCAGCCTCCCAAGTAGATGGGACTACAGGCACATACCACCACACCTGGCTAATTTATCTTTATTATGTTTATAGAGATGGGGTCTCGCTGGTTTGCCAAGGCTGGTCTTGAACTCCTGGCCTCAAGTGACCTCCTGCCTCAGCCTGCCTCCCAAAGTGCTGGGATTATAGGTGTGAGCTACCATGCCTGGCCCCTTGATTACTTTCTATTATCCTTTTAGTTCTTTCCACACTTTCCACAATTTGTAATTATTTTATTTAGTTTTTTAATATCAGTCTCCCCCTCTAGAATATAAGCGCTGGGAGGACAAGGACAAAGTCTATCTTAGTGGTTTACAACTAGGGACAATTCTGCTGTCCATGAGACATTAAGCAATGTCTAGAGACATTTCTGGTTGTCACATTGGGAAAAAGTGAGGAGGGATGCTACTGATATCTAATAGGTAGAGGCCAGGATGCTGCTAAACATCCTGCAATGCATAGGACGGCCCCCACAGCAAAGAATGATCCGGTCCAAGAGTCAAAGTGTTGAAGTTGAGAAAGCTTTATCTTGTTCACCATTGTATCCTCAGCACCAAGCACAATGCCTGATACCTGGCAGGTGTTCAATAAGTATTTACTGAATGAATTAATTAAAGAAGAGTTGGCTGAGCACAGTGGCTCACTCTTATAATCCCATGACTTAGGGAGGCTGAGGAGGATCTCTTGAGGCCAGGAGTTCGAGGCTGCCATAAGTTATGTTAGCACCACATTACTTCAGCTTTGGTGACAGAGCAAGACCTTGTCAATAAAATTTTAAAAATGGCCGGGCGTGGTGACTCACATCTCTAATCCCAGCCTAGGTGGGAGGATCACTTGAGCCCTAGAGTTCGAGACCATCCAAAGCAACATAGTGAGACCCCGTCTCTACAGTAAACAGAAAGATTAGCTGGGCATAGTGGCTTGTGCCTGTAGTCCCAGCTACTTGGGAGATTGAGGTGGGAGGATTGCTTGAGCCTGGGAGGTCAAGGCTACAGTGAGCCATGATTGGGCCACTGTACTCCAGCCTGGGCAACTAAGTGAGACCCTATCTCAAAAAAAAATTAAACATGTAGAAAAAGAAGCATTGTGCTGAATATAGATACCCCCCAAAACTATTGTCTGTATGCCACATTTATCCTGTTTTCTGGTATTCTTTTCTTCTTTAGGAAAATAAGCATTGGGTGTTTTGCAATGGCTACACAAACTAGTCATGTCTTCCATGGTCAAGAAAATATGTTTCTGGAAAACCATTGGTAAGCATAGTTCTCTGATTTTTTTTTTTTTTTTTTTTGAGGCAGATTCTCGCACTGTCTCCCAGGCTGGAGTGCAGTGGCACAATCTAGGCTCACTGCAAGCTCTGCCCTCCGGGTTCATGCCATTCCCCTGCCTCAGCCTCCCGAGTAGCTGGGACTACAGGTGCCCACCATCATACCCAGCTGATTTTGTGTATTTTTAGTAGAGACAGGGTTTCACCGTGTTAACCAGGATGGTCTCGATCCCCTGACCTCATGATCCGCCCGTCTCGGCCTCCCAAAGTGCTGGGATTACAAGCGTGAGCCACCGTGCCTGGGCTAGTTCTCTGATTTTGCAAACGAAAACAGCAACAGCATTTTGCTCATGGGAGCTGAGGGTGAGACTGGGTAAATGGTCATTGAATCTTCTTATAGCCACCTGAGGGCTTTAGTTATCTAAATAATAAAATATCTCATGGAACTGGAGTCCACATTTTATCAGGACTCTGCAGGAATCCTTCTCAGTTACTGCACAGAAAAATGTTTCTAGAATCCTTGTAGGGACTAGGGCAAAGAGAGGAGGCACTGGGGGTATCAAACCTATGCCCAGTGCTGGGGCATTGATCAAATTACTTTATGTTTTGTAGCATTAGGAGAAACACTGGCAGAGATTCAAAGAAGCCACTAAAGCAGAAGAATATGAATGGACTTGGGCAAAATTCGGACAATGGATTATTGGTTACACATGTTAACCAGACACAGGACTTACTGGTAAAGACCATGGCACTTTAACTGGGTCGTGATACTACAAATCATTCAGAGAATGCACAGTGTGTTAAATTCTGGGGATTTCTTCCTTCTCATAGGATTCTAGGACTGAAAAAGGAGTAATTAAGCATTTATCTCTAATCCTCTGCCTTCAGAAATGACTGAAGAATCTCTATACTGTTTATATAGAAATTGTTTAGCCTATTTGGCCATGTCACTAAATATTCAGGAGCATGTGAAGACTCTGATCATGTTATCAAGGCCTGAAGTCTTAAGCATTTGATTCTAAAATTCCCCTTCCTGAGATTTGCTTTGCTTTTGAGATTCCCTGAAATCGAGATTCAGAAATCCATTTCAGGAAGTGCTGTTGGACAAATGGGGTATGATAGGAGAATAAACCTCTGACCAGACTACGATTTTAGGCTGACCTTCAATGTGCCTTCCCAAGAGGGTGAGTGGATTGTCTAGAACTCAGAATTCATTCTACCAGGGACACAGTGGCAATCAGTGGTTGCCATGTTCAAGCAAGGCTAGTGCACAACCATGTACCTAACCCACACTAGAGTTTAAATATGATACCTTTGAAATGATAGTCAAAAACAATACAGGTATAATGCTGGCAATTAAACAATCAGAAAAATACTCATGATTTACTTAGGTTCTGGCACTTACAGGAAAGCAAGCTTAATTAAAGGAGACGAGGAAAGGTTGATAGAGTTTTGAGATTCTGAAGAAGTCTTGTAATGGGTTCAGATGTTGATGACATGCATCTTTCCTCTAATTTTATATGAAAATGCATGACTTCCCAGGTGTAGACAGGATCATTCTTATATTTATCAGCCACAGCTGGGGCCTCCTTTGCCTTGCAGATGAACCTGAAGGAAAGAGGGAAAGGATTGCTCCAACACGAAGATCTTACCATTCTCTATGCAAATGAACTAGTAGAGTTACATAATTAGCATGGCCTAAAGTCAAAATCCATAATGTGTTTAATAGTGTATCTTCAAGTATGAATAATACAAAATCTGTGTCCTAAAACATGACATCATTTGAAAAGCAACACAGATGGAAGAAAGGTGAATTATTAAGTCCACCATGCTCACCAGGCACGGTCGTTCACATCTGTAATCTCAGCACTTTGGGAGGCCTAGATGAGAGGATCGCTTGAGTCCCGAAGTTTGAGGCCAGCCTGGGCAACATGGTGAAACCCTGTTTCCACAAAAAAAAAAAAAAAAAAAAAAAAAAATACACAAATTAGTGAGGTGTGGTGGCACGTGCCTATAGTCCCAGCTAATTGGGAGGTCTAGGAAGGAGGATCACTTGAGCCTGGGAAGCTGAGGCTGCAGTAAGCTGAGATTGTGGCACTGCACTCCAGCATGGGCAATAAAATGAGACCCTGTCTCAAAAGAAAAAAAAAAAAGTACCATGCTCGGTGTTTCCAACCAGGGGGAGGGTTGAGTCTGAAAGGTGAGAAGAGTGACATCTAGTGTCCATGTGATAGAGAGCTGTATTTCCCTAGATATGCGACAGGGACCTATGATTTTAGGTGCCTTTCAAGGGCAGGACATTTGTTAGCACAGAATCACATAATGAGAAAGTAATCTTGCCCGTCAGTCCTCTCACTCCTTCATGGAGGTGGTCACAGTTTGGTGCTAGTTTAGAGGGACAACATAGTGCCATGGTTAGAAGCATGACTTGAGCTTTACAGCCTGGGTTTGAATTCCACATCTGCCACTTTCTAGCTGGATGACCTTGGACTGATTACCTAAATTATCTGTACCTCAGTTCCCTGGTCAGCAAGATGGGGTTATCATAATGGAACCCACTTTGTAAAATTAAATGAGTTAACGTACGGAAAGTGCTTAACATGTAATAAGTGCTATCTAAGTATTTGCAGTAATTATGAGAGTGTTTTTCACACTTCTTCAACACTTGCTAATTTCCCTTTGAGACAGACAGCCCAGCAGGCCTCAGGCACAGAACTTAAGTCAAGGTCGCTTGAGCCCAGAACTTCGAAGCTGCAGTGAGCTATGATCACACCGCTGCACTCCAGCCTGGGTGACAGAGTGAGGCCCTGTCTCTAACACGGACAAACCAGGGGGCTGGGTACAGCAGCCCATGCCTGTAATCCCAGCACTTTGGGAGGCCAAGGCTGGTGGATCACTTGAGGTCAGGAGTTTGAGACCAGCCTGGCCAAAATGCCAAAACCCTGTCTCTACTAAAAATACAAAAATTAGCCAAGCGTGGTGGTGCATGCCTGTAATCCCAGCTACTCGGGAGGCAGAGGCAGGAGAATCACTTGAACCTGGGAGGCAGAGGTTGCAGTGAGCCAAGATCATTCCACTGCACTCTAGCCTTGGTGACAAGAGCGAAACTCCGTCTCAAAAAAAAAAAAAGATAGGGTCAGTCTGAGTTGGCGCCCGTTGGGTATCTGTGTGAAGGGAACCTCTTCCTTCCCTCTCTTTCCACTTCACGGTTTGACTCTGGCTTTTGTCTTGCAGAGGCTGCAGGGGAGTGAGACCCAGTCTTCAGATTGGGAGGACTCTGAAGACTGGCTTTCGGCTCACAGTTTAAAATGTCAGAAACTCACCTTGGCTGACCTGATAAGCCAGGGCACAGAAGTGCTGTAAGTCTGAAGCTGTTCCCCGCACCCCCCACAGCTGCAGTGACACATGCAACCCCCTGGGCCCGAGAGATCCCCTCATAAGGCTTTGCTTCTTCAGGGAGGAGGGCACCAATGTCGTGCAGAAAATATGTTTCTCCACCCAGATCATCCGCCATTTTGAGTCAAAGCTTTCTGAGTAAGTATGTTTCTCACTGTCCTCCCAACACCACAGAACTCAAGAATTATGTCATTTCAGTCCGGGCATGGTGGCTTATACCTGTAATCCCAGTACTTTGGGAGGCCGAGGCAGGTGGATCACTTGAGGTCAAGAGTTTGAAACCAGGCTGGCCAACATGGTGAAATCCTGTCTCTACTAAAAATATTTTTTTAAAAAATTAGCCAGTCCTGGTGGTGCATGCCTGTATCCCAGCTACCCTGTAGTCTGAGGCAGGAGAATCGCTTGAACTCGGGAGGTGGAGGTTCCAGTGAGCTAAGAACACACCATTGCACTCCAGCCTGGGCAACAAGAGCATAACTCTGTCTCAAAAAAAAAAAAAAGAAAGGAAAAAGAAAAAGAAAGAATTATGTCATTTCAGTAGCCTGGAAGTAACTTTGTTCAAACAGCAATCTCTGTGGGACCTTGGGCAATAGAGTGGGACCCTGTCTCAAAAAAAAAAAAAAAAAAAAGGAAAAACTACCACTCAGGGAGATGAGCATGTCTCTTCCCACTTCTAGCCCCAATTTCCCCTTTTCTCAAATAGAAAGGTTGGACCAGATCAGTGTCTCTCAGCCTTTTCAAATCCATAGTCTAGGGCCAGGCATGGTGGTCCATGCCTATAATCCTAGCGCTTTGAGAGACCAAGGTGGGAGGATCACTTGAGCCCAGAAGTTCGAGGCTGCAGTGAGCTATGATCACACCACTGCACTCTAGCCTGGGCAACAAAATAAGACCCTATCTCTAAAAAAATATAAAATGAAATCCATAGTCCCTTGGATGACACAGCTTCATCTGGTGTTTAATGGTTAAGAGTAATGACTTTCAATGTCAAATTGATTGCGTTCATAACTTTGCAAATATATGCCAAAAACATGCATGCATCCCCACTCCTAAACCAGATTTTGATAGCACATGTGTATTAGTCCATTTTCATGCTGCTGATAAAGACATACCCGAGACTGGGCAATTTACAGAAGAAAGAGGTTTAATGGACTCACAGTTCCACATGGCTGGGGAGGCCTCACATTCATGGCAGAAGATGAAGGAAGAGCAAAGGGACATCTTACAAGGCAGCCAGGAAAGAGAGAATGAGAATCAAGAGAAAGGGGTTTCCCCTTATAAAACCATCACTCTCAAGCCAGTTAACCAAAAGTCAATTGCTGAATGGCCATTCATGGAATGACCAGTTGCTCAAATTTCTCAAAACCATTTAACTGTAGAATTTATAGTAACTTTTATTAGGTTGGAAGCTTAAACAGGTTTTAAAGAATTCTGCAATGTCTTGGTTTATCAGTTTTAATTGTGAATCCAGTATTTTAAGGAATGTTCAAGTCTATTTAGCTAACTGGTCATTTGGCAAATTGATTTTCAGAGGACTGGCTTTCAGTAAATTGACTTTTAGCAAATTGACTTGGATAGAATCCTGTTGTTACCTTCATGTTGGAGATGGTGAAACTGGGGCTCAGAAAGGTTACCACACCTGTCCAAGGTCACACAGCTAGTAGATGGCAGAGCTGTATCTCAAACACAAACATATTTTATTATAAAGCTCATCTTCAGCTGGGCACAAGTGGCTCACACCTGTAATCACTTTGGGAGGTCAAGGCAGGAGGATCGCTTGAGTTCAGGAGTTCAAGACCAGCCTGGGAAAAATGATGAAACCCCAACTCTACAAAAAATATAAAAATTAGCCAGGTGTGGTGGTGTGCATCTATAGTTCCAGCTACTTAAAGGCTGAGGTGAGAGGATCACCTGAGCCAAGGGAGGTTGAAGCTGCAGTGAGCCATGATCGTACCACTGCACTCCAGCCTGGGCAACAGAGTGAGACCCTGTCTCAAATAAAAAGAAGAAGAAGATAAAAATAAAGCTCATCTTCTTAGCTCTATTCATAACTCATGTATCCCTTATGACTCTATCTACCACCCACTGCCCCATGATCTCATTTCCAAAGACCTTTTTTGTCCCTCTCTAGGCCCCCAAATCTCACCTGCCCCCAGTAAGAACAAGTCAATTAAATTAAAGTGACCTAGTCCTTACCTTGTGCATATGATATATGCTAGTCTTCAACCAGTCATTGCAAGCCAGGCATGCAATAAGGCAAGTTCAAGAAGGTCCCCCAGCTACTTTTCAGAAACTAGGTTTTTTGTTAATCAATCCAGTAGAAACGATTGCTTAACTGCCTCTGTTGTGCCTTTATGATCAGTTTCCAGGAGACTAGGAACAATTCCTTCTGAGAAGACACAGATTTGAGCAAGTGCAAGGGTGGTCTTCCAACTTTCTCGTAAGAACACCCTCCCCCACCCTCCACAGACCTGCCCTCACCGGGCAGAGTGAGCACAGAGTGAGTGAGCTATGTGGAGAAAGGAGACGAGGTTACATGAGCAGGTTGAAGTCTGGGAGGGCCTGATTCCACCCCTTGATCCACCAAACCGTTGTCATTTATCCTGTGCACTGTGTCACCAATAGAGCAGCACCTATACACTCGATCCCTTTCACAATCTCCTTATACCTAGTGCCCTGGCAAACAAGTATCTTCAGTTTTGTCTTTCCTCGATTGTGCCCAGGCTTGAGTGCAGTGGAACAATCATAACTCCATGCAGCCTTGAACTCCTGGGCTCAAGTGATCCTCCCACCTCAGCCTCCTGAGTAGCTGGGACTACAGGCATGCACCACCATACCCAGCAAATTTTTTTATTTTTTGTAGAGACAGGGTTTCACTAGGTTGCTTAAGCTGGTCTTGAACTCCTGGCCTCAAGTGATCCTCCCACGTCAGGCTCCTGAGTAGCCACGACTACAGGCGTGCACTACAGTGCACCTAAAAGGTTCACCACCTTCTTCCAAGAACCTATGCACATTAAAAAAAAAAACAATTATTCATACCTGCCTTTTGTGTATGTAAGTGGCTGTTGCTCAGTGATGACGCTGGCCTTGGGTGATGAGTCTTTCTGATGTCTTGACAGCACTATTGAAGTCTATCAAGAGAGAATTCAGTGGCTCACAGAAAACAGCAAGAAGGTAACGGGCATAGATTTCATTCTTTGCCCCCTTTCACTCATTCCATTTGTATTTGTTAGAACCCTTTCAGTTGCAAATGTAGACCTCCAATATAAATTGCTTAAGCTAAAAAAAGGCATTTACTAACCTAAGTAAATGAAAACCCCAGCCACAGCTGGATCCAGGTGCTCAGATGATGTCACCTCTATGCCTGTGGGCTCTGCTTTCCTGAGTTGGTTTTATTCTCAGGACATCTCTCTTCAGGCATAGGAAGGTGGTGATCAGCAGCTCCAGTAAAAAGGAACTTCACTTCCTGTTCCCTGCACAACTTCCAAATCCTGGGACTGACTCTCATTGACCAATTTACACCAATCATCATAGCCAAGGAGATGAAATATACTATCACTATTTGACTAGGCCTGGAACTAGTGCTGACTTCTGGGGCAAAAATAAAATAAAATAAAAGACAGGGGGGAAGGGGAAAGAGACTGGATTAGCCCCCCAGCCCTCATGGACTGAAAAAGAGAGACAGATGGTTGCATGTGGAAGGCCAGAGCACTGTTACCAGAAGGGGGAATGGGTGCTGGGCAGGTGAGAATGCAGATGTGCACTGGGCATTTGACTTTAGACCCGCAATGAGATTTAGAAGACTAAGGCTGATCATCTGGATATCACTTTTCTTAAAAGTTTGATTAAGGGCTGGGCATGGTGGCTCAGGCCTGTAATCCCAGCACATTGAGAGGCCTAGGTAGGTGGATCACCTGAGGTTGGGAGTTCAAGAGCAGCCTGGCCAACATGGTGAAACCTCATCTCTACTAAAAATACAAAAAATTACCTGGGCGTGGTCGTGCAAGCCTGCAATCCCAGCTATGCAGGAGGCTGAGGCAGGAAAATCACTTGAACTCAGGAGGTGGAGTTTGCAGTGAGCCGAGATCACGCCATTGCACTCTAGCCTGGGAGACACAGTGAGACTCCCTCTCAAAACAAACAAACGAAAAGAAAACCCACAAAAGTTTGATTAAGGGCTAGGCATAGTGGTGCACACCTGTAGTCCCAGCTACTTGAGAGGCTGAGGCAGAAGGATTTCTTGAGCCCAGGAGCCTCAAGGCTGCAGTGAGCTATGATTTTGCCACTGCACTCCAGCCTGGGCAACAGAGCAAGACTTGTCTTTTAAAAAAAAAAAAATTTTTTTAATTAAATGTTTTTCTCAGAACCCAAGGGTAGAAGAGTGACCATGGGCAAATGAACACTTTGATTTGCTTTCTTGTTTGTTTTAGCTTAATTGCCATCAACTGGCACTTTTCTGGCTTCCCGTTTGCTTCCACCTTAGGCACAATCTTCAGCTCTTGCCTTAAACCCTGGGAAAAGCAGATGCTAAAAGTCATGCTCCCTACTCCCAGTCCCCACCTCTACCCAGATGCAGATGCTAAAAGTCATGCTCCCTACTCCCAATCCCCACCTCTACCCAAGACTAGTGGGTAACAACATAGTGCTAAGCCTGCCTGTCCCGCCAATTCCAGGCTGTGGTCTTCACCTCAGATCCAGAACCTCCTTCACTTGCTTGGACGAGTTGAGTCAACAGATGCTTGTCTGCAGCTATAGCTGGACCCCTCTGGTTGCCCATGGTAACAGGCAGAGAGACCCCACGGGAATGAAATCCTCCCATACTCCATAGGCATCCACGTAGGGCATGCTGCTCTCACCCCCCGACCTCCACTACCCCATCCTCGCACCTTTGTCAAAGTGGGCGGGGATTGATAGCCCCTTCATCCTGCCACCCCTTTCTGACGGAGCTACAGAGAAACCATGGAAGAGCCCAGGGAAACGATCACCTGTAAATCAGCTTACCAGGTCCCTGGGTGTTGAGGCAGGCAGCCTGAGGTGATGGCCAGATAATCGCTGGTCCCTGTTCCTGTTCTGCTCTGTCACTAAGGCCCTAGAAAGTGGCCTCGCTTCTCTGGATCTGTGTCTGCAGAGGATAAAAGGAGAAGTTATAAACTAGTGGCATGCAGGCCAAATCTGGCCCACAGCCATTCTGTTTAGGCTCCCTAATTTTAACTATTTTTCAAATTAGTTGCCAAGATTTTTTAAATCCTGGTATTTCACTTTTATGTCTGCTATCAGACTTCTCTTGAAAAATGAGAATATCTGGTATTACCAGGCTCCAATTGCCTCTTATGTACTTGTCCAGTTATTTCTATGGAATAAATGTCTAGAACTTCAATGGCTAGGTTTAGGGAATGAATGTTTTCAATTCCAAAAGCTGTAAAGCCCTCATGGCAGCTTGTTTTTAATTTAAAAAAATAGAACTGGCTCTAGATTTCAACTTCTTGCCTCCAGATTGGCAATACCCTAGAATATTTGGGTCATGAATTCAACAAACATGTATTGAGTGATTATTGTATATCAGGCACTGTTCTAGGATTGAGACTACCAACATGACCAGTACTTGCTGAAGGAATGGTTCGCTGTCGGGGGAAAAAACATGACCAATACTAAGGTCCTGCCTTCATGGAGCTTACGTGCTGTAAAAAGAAACAAAGCTGAGTAAGGGAACAGAGGGTGGAACAGGACTATTTAAATGGAATGGTTGAGGCCGGGCGTGGTGGTGCACACCTGTAATCCCAGCACTTTGGGAGGCCGAGGCAGATGGATCACTTGAGGTCAGTAGTTTGAGACCAGCCTGGCCAAAATGCTGAAACCCCGTCTCTACTAAAAACACAAAAATTAGCCAGGCGTGGTGATGGGCGCCTGTAATCCCAGCTACTAGAGAGGCTGAAGCAGAAGAATTGCTTGAACCCAGGAGGCAGAGGTTGCAGTGAGCCGAGATCGTGCCACTGCACTCCAGTCTGGGAGACAGAGTGAGACTCCCTCTCAAAAATAAAATAAAAAATAAATAAATGGAATGGTTGAAGATACTCACTCTGAAGAGGAGGCATTTGAACAGGCACCTAAAGAAAGTGTGGGGGTAAGCCCTACCAATATCTTGGGGAGAATGTTCCAAGCAGAGGAGACAGCAAGTCCAAAAGTCTTGAGGCAGGAACGAGCTTGGTATGTTCCAGAAGCAGCACATGGGCCAGTGCAGCAAGCACAGAGTGAGCTATGTGGAGAAAGGAGATGAGCTTAGATGAGCAGGTTGAAGTCCGGGAGGGCCTGATTCCAAAGCTGAGGGCTTTAATAAAGCAGGGGAGTGACCTGATCCAACAAGTTTCAAAAGAATCACGCTGGCTGCTGCATAACTTGACTGCACAGGGGGTAAAAGTGGAAACAGGACAACCGCTCTGGGCGAGAACGATGGAGGCTTGGACTCAAGCTCTAGGGTCGACAGAATGAGATATGGTAGATTCAATGCATGGCTGGAAGGTAGGACCAGCAGAACTTGCTGATGGATTGGATAGGTCTGGGGCCAGAGTGCCTGGGCCAGTGTTGAATGGCATTTACTAAGATGGGGAAGGCTGAGGGAGAAACAGTCTTGAAGAAAACTGAGAGGTCTTGTTTTGGACATGTGAGGCCTGAGGGACTTAGCAGACATCCAGACAGAGAAGCGGAGCAGGATGTTGGGTGCACAGGTCTGAAGTTCCAAGAGAAATCTGTTTGAAGATGGACCTCAGATAATCATTTAGCATTCAGATGGTATTCAAAGTCATGACACTCAGATCACTTAGAGAGTGATCAAAGAACAGTGGTTCTCCACCAGGGGTGATTTTGCCCCACGGGAACATTTAGCAATGTCTGGAGACATTTTAGGTTGTCATTGCTGAAGGAGAGGGGTTGTTACCTACATCTAGTTTATCAGCAGCCAGGGATGCTGCTCACCATCCTGAAATGCACAGGACAGCTCCCTACAACAGATAATTATCCAGCCCAAATGTCAATAGTGCCAAATGCCAATAGTGCCAAATGTCAATAGTGCCAAAGTTGGCAAACCCTGGGGTAGATAAAGAAGAGAGTGGCCAGGCACGATGGCTCATGGCTGCAATCTCAGCACTTTGGGAGGCTGAGGCTGAAGGATCTCTTGAGGCCAGGAGTTCAAGACCAGCCTGGGCAATGCAGTAAGACCCTATCTCTACAAAAAATTTTAAAAAAAAATAGCCAGGTGTGGTGGCACACACCTATAGTCCCAGCTACTTAGGAGATTGAGGCAGGAGGATCACTTGAGCCCAGGAGTTCCAGGCTGCAGTGAGCTATGATTGTGCCACTGTGCACATGGAAGCTCTTGTTAAAATAAAGACTCTAATTAGGTAAGCCTGGAGTGGGACCTGAGACTCTGCATTTCTAACAAGCTGGGGGATGGTGATGCTGTCAGCCCATGACCCACACCTTCAGAAGCAAGTTCCTAGGGCACGCCAGTATTGTGACTTTGGAACAAGGAGGAGGGGCTCTCTAGGAAAGGAAATTAAGAAAATATGGCCAGTGAAGAGAGGGGAAAGTGGGAGAATATAGTGTCCTGGAAGACATGTGTACTAAGTGTTTTAATTTGTTAAATTCTTGACACAGTCAAACTGTGCTATATGCTACTCAGAGTTCGGGAAAGTCAAGAATTTGGATTTAACCCTTGGGCTTGGCAAGACAAAGGTCATTGATCACCTTGACATGTGTGGTTTCAGAGGAATAGGAAGGTGAGAACCTAACTTGAATGGGTCCCCGGGAGGTAAGGATGTGTGGCTAAGATGGAGAGCAGAAAAATTAAACAGCAGGAGGAAGAGGTAGCATACTGAGAGATCTATATCTTTTTTAAGATGGGCAATATTATAACCTGTTTGTATGGTGATGGAAATTGTACAATCAATAGGAATGGATGATCCAGGAGAAGGGATGATTACAGAAGCAGAGTTCCTATTTAGCAAGAGAAGATCCAGTAATGCAAGTCAAATGTTAGCCTAGACCATTGCTGGTTGGCCTTAGATGCATTTTAACTGGAAAAAGGTGAAGTATGTAGGGCTATGGGCTGGTAGGTCAGTAGACTCTGCATGGAAAGATTTTTTTTAATTCTCTCCAATTTGTTTTTGTTTTCTCAGCAAAATTGGAGGCAAAATCACTTGCTGGGAGAGTACAGAAAGGGAGTGCTGGAGGTGTGAGAGGAGATGTAAAATACTCTCTGAGAGCAGAAGAGTGAATTCAACAGGAAAATTAGATATCCAGTAAAGTAGGATTTAAGGAAAAACACCGAATGGAACCTACTGCCCCTAGAGAACTATCAATTTCATGTGAATGAAAGTTCCAATCCACAATGCAGCTATAACAAGATGAACATTTATGTGCAGAGTCAAACAGCATTGACAAGTAATACAGACAGTCCTTGACTTAGAATGGTTCAACTTAGGATTTTTCCACTTATGATGGGTTTATCAGGACGTGGCCCCATCATAAGTCAAGGAGTAATAACTGTAGAGTAATACCGTTTAGAAACATAATTAGAAATTTGGATGTGGTGGCACATGGTTGCTTGAGCCCAGGAGTTCGAGATCAACCTGGACAATATAGCAATATGCCATCTCAAAAAGAAGAAACAAGAAACATAATTAGCAACTCAGAGATACCATTGCAGCTGGCGAACCTAACACATCTGTCTTTGATTGATAGAGTAGGCAAAAAATAAATAAGGATATAGAGAAATTAAATCAGATAAGCTAATATAAATAGCCATCAAATTTTATATCTTCAAACAAAGGGTGCTTTTCTATAGTCTCCAGATTTTCTACAATGACCATGTATTACTTCATAAGATTAGACAATAAATATAAGGGGAAAAAACTTATAAAGAAGAGGCTGCCACAAAATAAGAGCAGATCATGCCCAGAGCTGAAGTCATGACATTGGGTTTTGCTTTTCCCTTATAAAATGAGGTTTCCATCTGCTGCTGCTTGTTAGGGGTGAGGAAAGTGTTTGCATCACTGCGTGGCACAGAGCAGCTCAGTGTAGGAGACACACAGACTTGCACTGGCTGTTTCCAAATGCCCTCTTTGGTTTTAGGCATTTGGCCTCATCAAAGGGGCCAGAGTCAGCATCCTCATAGATGTGTCAGCCATCAGCAGTGGCCCTCAGAAAGAAGAGTTCCAAAAGGACCTCATGGTAAGTCTGTCTGGCACAGAGAAACACCTGGAACCACCCACTACCCCCAGCCTTTCCTTCCTGAGCTTGCTGACGAGCTTGTTTATAGCAAATGCAAGATAGGGTGTCTTATAAAGAACAGTTCACACTTAATTAGCACCTGTGGTTAGAGAACTATGTTGAATTCTACAAAACCCAACCACAGAGTCATTTTCAGTTGTAGTGTGAACTTCCAGTATTCTCACCACGACAGTACCTGCCAACTAGTCTTTGACTCAAGAGCTCCCACGTTTCCCTGGAAGGAAGATGTGAAGTCTCCTGCATAGCATAGCACAGGGCTTCTGGCCTTTTCTGGATGGAAGAGCTATTCTGGTTTCTTTGGAGTTATGGTTCCCATTGGATACTCACCAGCTCTAGTTTGAGAGAAGTGAACAGGCTGGTGTTGCTCATTGCTCCATCCCCAACTCACATCCATAGCAGAGAAGCTAAGAACTAGAGTCAGATGGCTGGAGTCAAATCCCAGCCACCTCCACCAATTCCAGGCCATGTGACTGCGTTAACTAATCTCTCTGTGCCTTACTTACCTCCTCTGTAAAATGGGGATGATAACCCTAAGTGGCTACCTAGGGTTGCCATAAGGGTAAAAGGAGCTTGTGCAAGTGAAGTGCTTAGTGAGAAGTCTGGCCTAGAGAAAAAGCCTCTGCAGCGTGATGTGATGTGGACAGGCTATTTTCTTACGGGTACCATGGCAGCAATAGCCAGTTGTATTTTGTACAGGTCCTGCAGAGCCGTTATGAGGCTCAGTGTGGGGCTGTCCTCCAGACTTGTCCCCTGTTCCTGGTCTCAGTGGATGTCAGGGGACAGGTGTCAGAGCAGGCTCCCCCTTCATGACAAGTCCTCAGGACGGAGTTTCCAAAGATCCCCCAGGTGGAGTGGTCTACTATTAGCCAGGGCAGAGCTCATGGGGGTGGCATACAGGTGGAATTTCTAGCTGGCCAGGAAGAAGAGGGAGAAGTTATGGATACTCTCCAGCTCACATGCCTTAGAGAGAAACCTCTGTCCTCCCTCTCTGGGTGCCACAGGTAAGTGCCAAGGGTCCAGCAATAGCACATTCTGAGATGGCAGCCCAGATGCTCATCCCACCCACAGGAGGCCCGGCAGGCAGGAAGCAAATGTCGGCTTGGGGCTGGCTGCTAAGCCCAGCCTCGAGCAGCCCTATTCAGTACAGCTCACACCCAGCCCAGAGGGGCCAGCAAAGGCCAGAGAGGCAAAGCCAGGCTCCCGATTCCCCTGGCTGTGGGAGCCAGTGATGTCCTTTTGTCCAACAGAGCCTCATCGATGAGCAGCTGAGCCACAAGGAGAAGCTGTTTGTCCTGTCCTTTGGCACCAATGCCGGGTCCCTCTGGCCAGACCCCATGGAAGTCAGCGCCTCCACGTGAGTGGCTTTCCTACCTGACGGTGATGTTCACTTGTTCATTTTCCTCCCTAACCAGCAGAGTCTTTATTGAATAATTCAACTGCAAACCCCAGGACCCTACTAGATAAGTGAGTACAAAGAGACAACTCACAAAAGCAGAAACAATTTTTGGAAAGATGTCTACCCTCGTGAGCGGTTCATAAACTGACAGATAAGGTGACCACAAGACACTATTTTTATCCAGCAAAGTAGCAAAGATAGTTTTATTATTGTGAAAATAACACATGCATGTTTTTTAAAAATTCCAACAGTATGAAAGGATGATAAATAATAGCAAATGAGTCTCCCTCTTTTTTTTTTCAAGACAGGATCTCATTGTGTCTCCCAGCTTAGAGTGCAGTGGCACAATCATAGCTCATTGCAGCTTTGACATCCTGGGCTTAAGCAATCCTCCCACCTCAGCCTCCTGAGTAGTTGGGGCTACAGGCATGTGCCACCACACCCTGCTAAGTTTTTATTTATTTATTTAGACAGGGTCTCTGTTGCCTAGGCTGGAGTACAGTGGTATGATCTCGGCTCAATGCAACCTCCACCCCACGGGTTCAGGTGATTCTCATGCCTCAGCCTCCTGAGTAGCTGAGATTATAGGCATGCACTACCACGCCCAGCTAATTTTTGTATTTTTTGGTAGAGACAGGGTTTCACCATGTTGGCCAAGCTGGTCTCGAACTCCTGACCTCAAGTGATCCACCCACCTCAGCCTCCCAAAGTGTTGGGATTACAGGCACGAGCCACCACACCCAGTCAGTTTGTTTATTTTTGTAAAGATGGGATCTCGCTATGTTGTCCAGGCTGGTCCTGACCTTCTGGCCTCAAGTGCTCTTCCAGTCTTGGCCTCCCAAAGTGCTGGGACTACGGGTATGAGACACTGTGCCTGGCCCAAAACAGTTCCTTATATCCACTTCCACAAATAATCTTTGCACACACATGCATCTGTGTGTTTACCTTCTAATTTTCACATAAATAGGACCTACATAACACTGCTCTGTACCTTGGCTTTCTAGCTGGTCTTGAATTTCTTTCTCTGTCAGTGCATACAAATCTACCTCATTTGTTTTAATGGCTACATAGAATTCTACTGCAGGGATGTCTTTTAGCTGGGGGTTTCTAGCCTGGGGTTTTTTTGAGGGACAGGAGGGAGGTATGTAAGAATTTCTACTTATCCAGTGAGTAGAAATTTATTTTCCGTGAAGGGAATGTCCTCGATTGCCCACCATGTATTGGTTACCATACTAGGTACTTTGCATAGATGATTGTATTTAGTATATAATAGCCACCTCATGGAATAGGATTATTATCCTCATTTTGCTGATGAGGAAATGCAGACTCAGGTTAGGGAAGATGCCCAAAGTGGTAGAGCCACGATGGGATTCCAGATCCCAGGAAAAGGCACATGCTTTGGCCAGGGCCAGTTGCTCATGCCTGTAATCCCAGGACTTCGGGAGGCCAAGGTGGGAGGATCGCTTGAGCCCAGAAGTTTGAGACCAGCCTGGGCAACCCAGTGAGACCCCATCTCTACAAAAAATTTAAAAATTAGCCCAGTGTGATGGCATGTGCCTATAGTCCCAGCTACTCGGGAGGCTAAGGTGGGAGGTTTGATTGAACCTGAGAGGGAGGTCAAGGCTGCAGTGAGCTATGGTTGTGCTACTGTACTTCAGCCTGGGTGACAGAGAGAGACCCTGTCTCCAAAAGTAAAAAGTTAAAAAAAAAAGCATGTGCTTAGATTTCTAGGACGGAGGCCCCCTCACCAGCACTAGCTGTAAAGAGGGGCCCTTCCAGATAGAGAAATGCCCACTTCTGGCAGCTCTGGCTTTGAATCCCAACCCCAACAGTCACTACTGGGTGGTCTTGACAAGTCCCTTATAACTCTCTCATTTGCAGAACAAGGCCAATCCTACCCACTCTTCACAGGACTGTTATGAAGATGAAATGAAAACAAAGTACCTGGCTAGTGCCAGGTACTCAATGAACAAGAACGTTTTTTACTCTGATTTCCACTTTAGGTGGAGCAGTGACACCTGGGTTGTTATGGATGGCAGCCAAAAGTTCTGCATCTTCAGGAACTCCTGGAATTCTCTTGTCATAACCCTATGTCATATCTTTACCATGTGTACTATTGTTTATTTTATTTTTTATTTATTTGGTTTTTTTGTCTTTTTGTTTGTTTGTTTTTGAGATGGAGTCTTACTCTGTCACCCAGGCTGGAGTGCAGTGGTGTGATCTTGGCTCACCACAACATCTGCTTCCTGGGTTCAAGCAATCCTCCTGCCTCAGCCTCCCAAATAGCTGAGATTACAGGTGTGCTCCACAATGCCTGGCTAATTTTCTTTTTTTTTTTTTTTTTTTTTTTTTTTTTGTATTTTTAGTAGAGACAAGGTTTCACCATGTTGACCAGGCTGGTCTTGGACTCCTGACCTCAAGTGATCTGCCCTCCTTGGCCTCCCAAAGTGCTGGGATTACAGGCATGAGCCACTGTGCCCAGCCTACCATGTGTACTATTGTTGATTTTTCTTTACTTCAATTCTATTTATTATTGAAAGAAACTTTTTTGTTTGTTTGTTGTTTTTTGTTTTTTTGAGACAAGGTCTTGCTCTGTCACCCAGGCCGGAGTTCAGTGGTACAATCATAGCTTACTGCCATCTTAATCTCCTGAGCTCAAATGATCCTCCAGCCTCAGCCTCCCCAGTAGCAGGGACTACAAGGGTGTGCCCAGCTGATTTTTTTAATTTTTCCTTTTTTGTGGAGATGGGGTCTGGCTATGTTGACCAGACTGGTTTTGAATTCCTGGCCTCAAGTGGTCCTCCCGCCTCAGCCTCCCAAAGTGCTGGGATTGCCGGCATGAGCCACTGCTCCTGGCCTGAAGGAAACTTTCTATCAATACCATAACTGAGAAGCTCATATCACTTGCATGATTATACTTCTATAATCATGCAATTATATTTCTATAATTAGAAAGCAACCATATATCTTTCTTTAATGGCTTTGAGAAAAAAAAAAAAGAAAGCAGCCATATAAATAAATACGATGAGAGCAAAACAGTGGTTTTAAATTCCAGCTTAAATCTATTGGCTAGAGAAGGTGCTAGACCTGGGACTTATTCTCGCTGTTCAAAAGGGAGACTTGACAGTTATGATCATGAAAGATGAACTTATTAGCACCACACTGAGATTTTCTCTTTCAGATTTTTGATTTTTTGAAGTAGAAAGAACAGACCTCTTTCACTAGTGCTATGCAAAATTTTAGCCAAGAAAGAATCAAGTTATTTTTCTTCTCACCAGTTGTGTGTACCCCAACCCATGTGGGACATAGCCACACAGCCATAAAGCTTTCTCTTAGAGCCTTCTTAGGGTCGCGGAATTAACTCCATGCCTCCTGTTGAGGGCTGGCTCCCAAGAGAGTGGGTATGGGTAAGAAGGAACTCAGCCCCAGACCCTCACATAGCACAATTTCTAAAAGCTCAGATCTTAGAGTCAGACCTGGTTTGAAATCTCAGTTTTAACAGTTGCTTACAGTATCACCCTGGGCAAGTCCTAACTCAGTTTCCTCATCTACAAAATGGGAATAAAGGTACCACCTCAACAAGTTATCATTAGGTTTAAATGAGCTAATATTTGTCCTGGGCCTGGTACCTAATACTACAGGCCAGCTGCAGGGGCTCACACCTGTAATCCCAGCTGTCTGGGAGGCTAGGGAGGGGGACCTCTTGAGGCCAAGAGTTCAAGACCAACCTGGGCAACACAGTGAGACCCCTATCTCTCTATTTTTTTTTTTTTTTTTGAGATAGAGTCTCACTCTGTTGCCCAGGCTGGAGTGCAGTGGCAGTGGCACAATCTCAGCTCACTGCAACCTTCCGCCTCTGGAGTTCAAGCAGTTCTCCTGCTCAGCCTCCCAAGTAGCTGGGATTACAGGCATGTACCACCATACCTGGCTAATTTTTTTGTATTTTTAGTAGAGATGGGGTTCACCATTTTGGCCAGGCTGGTCTTGAATTCCTGACCTCAAGTGATCCACCCACCTCGGCCCCCAAAAGTGCTGGGATTACAGGCATGAACCACCATGCCCGGCCCTCTACAGAAAATATAAAAATTAGCCGGGCAGGATGCCACATACCTGCAGTCTCAGCTACGTGGGAGGCTGAGGCAGCAGGATCGCTTGGGCCCAGGAGTTCGAGGTTACAGTGAGCTATGATTGCACCACTGCACTTCAGCCTGGGTAACACAGCAAGCCCTTATCTCTAAAAAGAAATTAAAATGAAATTCAATACAAACAGTCTTATAATTAGGTTGCTGTTGTTGTCTCCTCCCAGCCTCCAGGAACTTAAGCTCTGGGTAAAGACGCTGCAGCCTGATGGAGGCAGCAACCTGCTACAAGCTCTGAAGAAGATCTTCACTCTCAAGGGACTGGATTCCCTGGTGGCCATCATGAGAAGCTGGTAGGTCTTCTTTCCTAAGCAGGTGACATACTACATGAAAAGGACTGAAAAACCAAACCACTTTTTGAGAAAAGATTGGCTTGTCACAGTGGCTCATGCCTGTAATCCCAGCACTTTGGGAGGCCGAGACAGGAGGATTGCTCGAAGCCAGGAGTTTGTGACCAGTCTGGGCAACACAGTGAGACCCTATCTCTTAAAAAAAAAAAAGACAAAAATTAGCTGGTCATGGTTGTGTGCACCTGTAGTCCCAGCTACTTGGGAGGCTGAGGCAGGAGGATTGATTAAGCCCAGGAGTTTAAGGCTGCAGTAAGCTATGATTGTTCCACTGCCCTGTAACCTGGGCAACAGAGTGAGACCCAGGGAAGGAAGGAAGGAAGGAAGGAAGGAAGGAAGGAAGGAAGGAAGGAAGGAAGGAAGGAAGGAAGGAAGGAAGGAAGGAAGGAAGGAAGGAAGGAAAGGAAAGGAAAGGAAGGGAGGAGGGGGTGGGGAGGGAGGGAGGGAGGGAGAGAGAGAGAGAGAGAGGAGAGAGAGAGAGAGATAAGAAAGAAGAAAGAGAAAAGATCATCAACCATGGCTCTTCACACATACATGAGGGAGGGATGGCAGTCACAGGCAGAAAGAAAGAGAGAAAGAAAGAAAGAAACAAGAAAAAAAGAAAGGAAGGAAAGAAAGGAGAGAGAAATAAAAAGGAAGAAAGAAAGAAACAAAGAATGAAAGAAGGAAAGAAAAGAGAAAGGAAAGAAGGAAGAGAAGGAAGGAAAGAGAAAGGAAAGAAGGAAAGATGGAAGAGAGAGAAAGAAAAAGAAAAGAAGAAGGAAGGAAAGAAGGAAGAGAGAAAAAAGAGAAAGGAAGGAAAGATGGAAGAGAGAGAAAGAAAAAAGAAAAGGAAGGAAAGAAGGAAGAGAGAAAAAAGAGGAAGGAAAGAAGGAAGAGAGAGAAAAACAAAGGAAAAAGGAAAGAGAGAGGAAGAGAGAGAGAGGAGAAGGAAGGAAAGAAGGAAGAGAGAGAAAGAAAAGAAAGAGAAGGAAAGAGAGAAAAGATCATCAACAATGACTCTTCACACACACACGAGGGAAGGACTACAGTCACAGGCCACCCACCCATCTGCAGAGGAGGCAGAGGGCAGACAGGCCTGCAGTCCACCTAGCCCTGCATGCCACATAGGTGACCTGTGACACAGGTGGCCAGTTAAGAATGGGTAGATGTTCCTTGGGAATTACCGTTTTGCTCTGGAATGTTCTCAAAGTGGTCTGACCTGGGATGCCCACTTCTCTTCTGCCTTCTCCACAGCCCAGATCAGCCTTCTGAAATCCTGTCTGACTACATCCAGCAGTCCACCATGGGAAGAGACCTCATCATCCACTTCATCACCTACAGATGCGATGATCAGATGCCCCCTGTGAGTGCCCGAGATTCTCTGAGGTGCCCCTTGGCTTTGGTGGTAGTGAGCTGGGCTGGCCTTTGAGGCCTCATGCTTGGACAGGCCCCCGAGCTGTGGACCAGAATGCACCTGTCCCTGTGCCTGGTTCTCCCTTTGGTAAAATGGGAAGCTTTGGATAATTGGGAGGTTCAGTCAAGGAGAAGGCTTACTGGAGTATTGGTGTTGCCCTAGTGAGGCCTGACCCTGGCCTCATCCCTGCAGGCTGTCCTGAAGAACCTTGCAGAAGCTGTTAGGGGCTACTACCACTGCTACAGCCCAAAGATGGAGGTAAGCCCTTCTGTCAACACATGGCCCCTCTTCTTCTCTCCTTGTCTGCCTCCAAGGTTGTACCCAGGAGATCTGGGCCAGGACCATACTATATACTTGTTTCTCCTTTTCTCCTTGTCCCCACCTGTATTCAATGAGGTTACACAGGTAAAATCAGGTTAGAATGAATATGTGGGAAGACCAGGGACAACCTGAAGTCACAAGAGATGCTTTGATCAGCCTGTATGATGCATTGATTGAATGCGTGGGAGCCCAGAGGCCTTTTAAAGCCCTGCCTGCAGAATCCTCAGTCTCACTCCAGTTGCCGTTAATATAGGCCCCAGCCTAGCTCTGCTCCCACCAAAGCACTAAGTCTGAATTGCCTCGATTTTCTCTCCTAGATCAACTCCTGCTACTGCAGGGAACCCACTGCAGAGCGAAATGAGCAATCCATTCTGTACCGATCCATCCATTACTGTCCTTGTCCCAGTTAATAACTAGACATCAGCCACCCTGTGTTCACAAGGGAGGCAACGATTAGCAAACATGTGTGTAGATCCATTTGGAAGATTAAGAATGCAATCATCTGGTTGCTCCCAGGCTGTGTCTTGCCTACCATTAATAACCATGAGTAAATGAGTGTTTGCATCTCACAAGTGAATTCAAAGGTCACAAGGTCCCTGCTTTTCATAGCAGGGAGCCAAGCTCAGGCAGCACTCTATCTTGATACCTCATCATCTAGACTCTCTCTGCAGGTGACTCAGACTACAGAGGTTAGAAAGGTAAAGTAAATGACTGAAACTGACTGGTTTAAGAAATATTTTATCTTAAAACCTGTGGCTTGACCAGGCATGGTGGCTCATGCCTGTAATCCTAGTGCTTTGGAAGGCCGAGACAGGAAGATCATTTGAGGCCACGAGTTTGAGACTAGCCTAGGCAATATAGTGACAGCCCATCTCTACAAAAAATTTAAAAATTAGTCTGGTGTGGTAGCACATGGCTATAGTCACAGCTACTCAGGAGGCTGACACAGGAGGATCACTTGAGCCCAGGAGTTTGAGGCTGCAGTGACCAATGATTGCACCACTGCACTCTAGCCTGAGTGACAGAGCAAGACCCTTTCTCTAAAAATAATAACAAAATAAATAAATTATTATTATTATTATAGCCATCCTAGTGCGTGTAAAGTGTTTCTTTACACTTTTACAGTTAGAAAACTCTTCAATTGTTTTAAAACACAGCAGGTCAGGATGGGTGCAGTGGCTCACACCTGTAATCCCAGCACTTTGGGAGGCCGAGGCGGGCAGATCACAAGGTCAGGAGATTGAGACCATCCTGGCTAACACGGTGAAACCCCGTCTCTACTAAAAATAACAAAAAATTAGCCGGGCGTGGTGGCGGGCGCCTGTAGTCCCAGCTACTGGGGAGGCTGAGGCAGGAGAATGGCGTGAACCCAGGAGGCGGAGCTTGCCGTGAGCCGATATTGTGCCACTGCACTCCAGCCTGGGTGACAGAGCGAGACTCCATCAAAACAAACAAACAAACAAAACACAACAGGCCAATTGCACAAACGGAGCACAGCATGTCTGCAGGCTCTGTCTGGCACATGGGTCCCAGTGTATAAGGCCTGGTGGAGAGAGTCTGACCCTCTGCCTGGGCATTGGCCTGGCTGCTTGCCCCTTCCTGGGTTGACCCCTGCAGGTAGTCAAGTGATTCCGGATGTCTGATTGCTCTTGCCACCCTCAGCACTACACCAGCCGGGACATGGATGAGCTCCTGGCAGAAATTCAGAAGGCCCAGAGCCTCCTCAGCCACGTGCAAGCCCTGCAGCACAGCAGCCCCTGTGAGGCGCTCACCTGCACCATGGAGGAGGTAGGTGGTGCGAGTGTCAATTCTGGGGCCTTCTCCCAGCAGCACTCAGCTGGCCTCGTTCCCCTTTCTCACCTGTTCATAGGGGGCACAGCTGCCAGTGCCTGTCACTTCCTAAAATCGAAACAAGGCAAGGCCCACCCTCCATTGCACCCCAGAGCTCTGAGTTGGGTGGGCTGGGTGGGCCCACCATGGTACCGGAAAGATTCTGGTGGATTTACTAACTGTAAAATTTATTTCAGAGAAAGACCAGCAGGCTCCTGCCACCCTCTCTATCCTGTCACTGTCCCCTCCCTTACCCCCAGTTTGGAGAATGATGAAAACCTCAACCACCCAGAATAGGCTGCCTTTAAGAGAGTCATTCTCACCTCAGCCATGGCTTACACCTGAAATCCCAGTGCTTTGGGAGGCCAAGGCCAGAGAATCGCTTGAGTCCAGGCATTCAAGACCAGCCTGAGCAACATGGCAAAACACCGTCTCTACAAAAGATTAAAAAATTAGCCAGGCACGATGGCATGTGCCTGTAGTTCCAGCTACTCAGGAGGCTGAGGTGGGAGGATGATTGAACCTGGGAGATTGAGGCTGCAGTGAGCCATGATGGCACTGCTGTGCTCCAGCCTGGGCAACAGAGCGAGGCCCTGTCTCAAAAAAGAATTTTAAAAATATACAAATACAATAATAACAATTAGTATTAGAATTATAATAGTTCTTGGCCAGGTGTGATGGCTCATGCCTGTAATCCCAACACTTTGTGAGGCTGAGGCAGGTGGATCGCTTGAGGTGAGGAGTTCAAGACCAGCCTGGCCAACATGGTGAAACCTCGTCTCTACTAAAAATACAAAACTTAGCGAGGCATGGTGGCAGGCACCTGTAATCCCAGCTACATGGGAGGCTGATTCAGGAGAATCTCTTGAACCCAGGAGGCAGAGGTTGCAGTGAGCCTAGATAGTCCCACTGCACTCCATCTTGGGTAACAGAACAAGACTCCCAAAAAAAAAAAAAAATTATAATAGTTCTCATTTATTAAGTCCTCATTATGAGATAGGCACAATGTTCAATTATTTAAATGCTTTATCTTAACACTCTGAGGTAAGTATGTTATTACTTTTTATAGATGAGGAAACCAAAGTTAAGAGGTTACATAACTTGCCTGAGATTGCAAAGATAGAAATAGATTGAGTTTGGATTGAACCCAGGTCTAAGGCCCAAAACCTTGCCAAGAGTTTCCCAAAATGAAGTGCATGTACTACTTGTAGTTTGCAAGATGATTTTAGGTGGTGCATGGATTAAATTATTTTTTAAATGGTATCTATTTAAAACTAGCTCATTATGGTCATCATAGATCTTCTTTCTAAAATTGTGAAAGGGATTGAATTTTTAAAATTAAAGAAAATTAATAACTAAAAAGCATTAATGTTACATATTGATTCTTAAAATATTAATAATAATACAGTAGCACTCAGATATAGCAAAATTCATGAAGGCAGTGCTCAAATCTCTGAAGTTTGGGACTTGCTGTTCTATTTTTACTTACACATTCGCTATGTAATTTAATCTCTCAGCGCCTCAGTTCTTTACTTTGTCAATGTGGCCACAGGGTGGCCAGGTGGGAGCTCACTAAGTGATTTGCTGCAGGAGTTTTTAGGGGTGACCTGTCACCTTGGAGTCCATGGTGCTGATCTTCATGGTAAGGTTAGGGAAGGAGCCAGGAGCATGGGCCACTGTGAGAGCGAGTTGCTGGGTACTCCTTCCTCTTCCCCTGGAAATTCCAGAAATCTGCAGAGAAGGGGAGGGGATGATGGAAGGGAAAGGCAAAACTGCCTTTAATCTACCAGGGAGTGTTTAAGAAGCTCCACTTGCATTGACTGGGTGGAGGGTGAAGACTGAGGACTTTTCAGCTCTAAAATATGATTATGTAATGAGGGCTTTCTCATTTAACTTAGATTTCCACAGAGATTACAAATGGGCCACTCATAAGCCTCTTGCCTAAACCCCCAAAGCATGACGCTCCTCTCACCATTGAGTTTCCAAACTTGGACAAGACTTCTGCAGAGTGGCTTAAGGTCAATGGTCTGAAAGGTAAATCTCCAAAGAGGGCAGAACCCAGGAAACAGGTGACTGACTAAAAGGCTTGAATCCGGCCGGGCACAGTGGCTCACACCTGCAATCCCAGCACTTTGGGAGGCCAAGAAGGAAGGATCAGTTGAGGCCAGGGATATGAGACCAACCTAGGCAACATAGCAAGACCCCATCTCTATAAAAAATAAAATTAGCTGGGTGTGGTGGCATGCACCTGCAGTCCCAGCTACTCAGGTAGGCTGAGGCAGGAGAATACCTTGAGCCCAGGAGTTTGAGGATGCAGTGAGTTATGATTGTGCCACTGCACTCTAGCCTGGGTGACAGAGCAAAACCCTGTCTCAAAAAAATAAAAGGCTTGAACCCTTTGGAGCTTCTCAGGCAGTGCCTCCAACCTCACACTTTTTTTTCAGCCAAGAAATTAAGTCTATATCAGGTCCTGGCACCCAATGCATTCTCTCCTGTGGAGGAATTTGTACCTATTCTCCAGAAAACAGTATCATCGACCATCCATGAGGTAATTCAGATTCATAATTCTCTCCAGTCCTCCACAGGAGAGCTCCCTTGTGGCTTTTCCTACCTTCATAAATGTTCTGGCAGTAAGAATCACCAGGGATTCAGGCTTCCCACCCAGGACCCTAGAATGCACATCAAATCCACTGTAGCTGTTGGTTTTCAAAGATCTGAAAATTGAACTTGGGAGATGAGGCAAGAGGGATAAATCAGGTACCACGGTCACCTCCTCCATGAAGGTTTTCTCCTCCCAACTCAGACAGGACAGACTTGCTTTCTTTATGTCCTCGCTGTACCTAATGCAGACTTCTGCAATTGCTCCCATAAAGGATTAATGCATGAATTTTTACATATTTAAATCCCCATCAAGTATGAAGTATAAAGAGGGCAAACTCTTCTCTAACTCTCTATCCTCCATGTTTAGTATAAGTAGGAAATCAATGCATGTTTACTGGATGGCTGAGAAGGTAGTTGGAAGAAAGGATGGCAAGAAGAAGGAAAAGAATGATGGATGGATGGATGGATGGATGGATGGATGGATAGGTAAATGGATGAATGGATGGATGAGTGGATGGATAGATAGATGGATGGATAGATGGATGGGTGGGGGGGTGGGTGGGTGGATGAATGGATGGATGGATGGATGAGTGGATGGATGGATGGATGGGTGGATGGATGGATGGATGGATGGATGGATGCATGGATGGATGGATGCATGGATGGGTGAATGGATAGAAATCTGAACAGGTGGAAGGGTAAAAGGGAAAATGGAAGGATAGATGACAAAATGGAATAAAGGACAAGTGAAAGAATGAAAGTAGAAATTAAAGTAAGGATGGATGGATGGAGGAGTGAAAGGATGGAGAAATGGAAGGAAGGAATAATAGGTGAATAGAAAGATGGCAGAAAGATGGAAGACTGAAAGGAAGAGAGAAGAGTAAGGGACATGTAGGTCTAGCAGTGCATGGATGAATGACTAGATGGATGGAGTGATAGATGGATATGTTCACTTGGTGGAGGATGAAAAAACAGGATGAACAAGTTGGATTTTCAAAGCATCTGTAAAGGCCTGTCTAGGTTCCCAAACCTAAGAAGCTATGGCCAGTATATTTTAAGGTCTCCAACTGTGCTCTCTATTACTAAAACCCTCCAACCATATCTTCATGACTCTGATGTTCAGAAAAGCCTCTCGGGAAAACAGCCTGAGAGGCTTGCTGTCAGGTATCGTCCATTCAGGGGATCACTCTCTCTAAGGCTCTCTACTTCCAGTTCCAGACAAGGCAATGACCTGGTGGTGGTGGTGGTATTGGGGTGTGTGTGTGGTGGAGATGTGGGAGGGAGTTCGATCCGACCTCAAATGTGTTCAGAGTCCACTTCACTCTCCTGCACCTGATTTGGAGAACCAGTGCCCAAATTAAACTACATGTACTTCTGTTCGCCTGCTCACCCTCCTGCCCATGCCTGAGTATAGAAGGCAATGATACAATTTGAATGGCACGACGGGACAGTGAAGAACATTCATGTGGACCCACCCTTCCTCTATAAGTACCAGGTCAGTGATGGGTTCAATCAGTCAGAAAATGGGGTGCAGAAAGTGGGGACGGGAGGAAGGTTCCCTGGGCTATGAAGTCACCAAGCCATTGACTCAACTCCCTCTTGTAAAGAGGGACTGTGTGCTCCACCTACAGGCCTCCTGAAGCTTTGGCCATCTCCTCCCCAAGCAGGGACCTCAATGCCTTTAAAAAAAAAAAAGGCTTCTAATCCTCTGGGGAAAGATCTGCTTCCTTCCCCATTTGATGCAATGAAATACCGTGTGACTCTTCCCTTCCTGTTCTTGTGGTGAATTTGTTCATGATTTAGTGGAATGATTATACTGCCTGGATTCCCAGGGACTTGACACACCATTCCCTGAAGCCCACCCAGGTACACGTACTTCCCCTCAGGCCCCTTGGTTGCTCAGCCTTTGAGCAGCCGCTCACTGTGGCCCACACTTCTGCAGCAACAGCTCAGCAGAGCTATGCGGATGTATGAGAGGCGGATTGAGTGGCTCTCCCTGGCCAGCAGAAGAATCTGGGGCACAGTCTGTGAAAAAAGGTACCTTTCTTAAGCAGGGTTCTTATCCTTCATGGGTCTGGTGTGTGACGTGACATTTATCCGCCTCATGAATTCCCTGTTGGTAGCATCAGAAGCCATCACTTAGATTAGGGATTAGGAATCTCTCAGCAGAACCCCCAGAGGAGGAAAAAGTCACCAACACCATCACTGATGTCAATAATGTCATCATTGTGTCACTGAGCATTTTTGCAATCCCAGCACTTGGGGAGGCCAAAGCGGGAGGATCGCTTGAGGCCAAAAGTTTGAGACCAGACTGGGCAACATAGTGAGACCCTGTCTCTACAAAAAATAAAATAATTAGCTGGGCATGGTGGTGTACACCTGTAGTCCCAGCCACTTAGGAGGCTGAGGCAGGGGCAGGCGGGTCGCTTGAGCCCAGGGGCTCAAGGCTGCAGTGGGCTATGATCGTGCCACTGTACTCAAGCGTGGGCAACAGAGCAAGTCCCTGTGTCTACCACAAAAAAAAAAAAAAAAAAAAAAAAATCACACCTCCTCCCTGGCCAGAGCAAATGGGTCATGGATGAATAGATCCTCCCACCCAGCCAGAGGTGTGATGTTCTGATTGGCCAGGGTCAAATGCCCATCCCTGGAGCTTGGAGTAGGCTCAGCTTCACACAACTCAAATTGACTGATAGAGGCAGAGGTGTTTCCCAAAGGAAAATCAGGATGCTGTTGCCAGATGAGGTAATGGATGCTGAGTTGGGAGAAACAATAGTTATCTATTATGGCCATTATTATGATTCCATACCTTGTTTGATGAATTAACATTTACAAAGTATTATATTTTGTAATACTATACATCTATTATTATTATTATTATTATTATTATTATTATTATTATTATTATTAGAGACAGAGTCTTGCTATGTTGCCCAGGCTGGTCTCAAACTCTTGGCCTCAAGCGATTCTGCTGCCTCAGCCTCCCATCATGTTAGGATTGCAGGCATGAGCCACCGCACCTGGCCACTATACATCTATTATGTAATTTTGTTCTTGAAGCAACCCTATGATGAGTCTTACAAGTAGTTTATGGTTAAACTACTTAAACAAAGATCAGAGAGGTTTTGTGACTTGCCTAAGGCCACACAGCTGGTAGGAAGCGGAACTTGAACCAAGGTCTTCTGACTGTAAATCCCATAGATTTTCTTTTGCTATCCATAGCTGTCTCAAAATGAGAATGGGGCAGAAGGTGGGAATATAAGTTTGAAGTTCTAAAATTAGAGAAAGAACAAATAAGGCTAGAGATCTTAAAACAGAAAGAGAGCAAACAAAAAGATAAAAATATTTTCCAAGAGGCCCAGATACACCTAATTCCTTATGTTACTTGCTCACCTGGTTTTCGTTTTCCCTACGAAGACCCCAACCTATGGCGGGCATAGTGGCTCATTCCTGTATTTCCAGTACTTTGAGAGGCCAAGGCAGGAGGATCACTTGAGGCCAGGAGTTCAAAACCAGCCTGAGCAACATGGGCAGACCTGGTCTCTACAAAAAAAAAAAAAAAATTTAAATTAGCCAGGCATGGTGATGTGTGCCTGTGGTCCCAGCAACTTGGGAAGCTGAGGCAGGAGGATCTCTTGAGCCCAGGAGGTTGAGGCTTCAGTGAGCCACGATCGCACCATTGCACTCCAGCCTGGGCAACAGAGAGAGACCGTCTAAATATATATATATTTGTTGTGTGTGTTTTGTTTTGTTTTGTTTTGTTTTGTTTTGTTTGAGACGGAATCTCGCTCTGTCACCCAGGCTAGAGTGCAGTGGCGCGATCTTGGCTCACTGCAAGCTCTGCCTCCCGGGTTCATGCCATTCTCCTGCCTCAGCCTCCCAAGTAGCTGGGACTACAGTCGCCCGCCACCACGCTCGGCTAATTTTTTTTATTTTTAGTAGAGACAGGGTTTCACCATGTTAGCCAGGATGGTCCCAATCTCCTGACCTTGTGATCCGCCCGCCTCGGCCTCCCAGAGTGCTGGGATTACAGGCGTGAGCCACCGCGCCCGGCCTTATATATTTGTTCTTGAAGCAACCTTATGATGAGTCTTACAAGTAGTTTATAGTTAAACTACTTAAACAAAGATCAGAGAGGATTTGTGACTTGCCTAAGGCAATATACATATATATTTTTTCATATTCTGACCTATAAAAATATTGAATGCTAATTCTTTAAAATAAATCTGTGAAAATCATTATATGAAGCGCCTACCACTTAAACCATCTCCACCATGAGGCTTTATTCCATTAAAGCACCTCCTGGGAGAGAAGGGGGGCTTCCATGACCCCCTTAATCTACCATTGTAAGCCCACATCCGTTGGCCTCAAACCACAGAGAAGATTTTGGCCAGCTATGAATTTGGCATGCAAAATTCCCCTGGAAAAAAACTTTAAATAGTAAAATGGAACAAAATAAACATTATCTCAGAGATTCGGTTCTCCTCTTAAAGCTCGTGTTTCCTTTTAGGGTGGTTGTACTGCTCGATATCTCTGCGACCAATTCCATGTACATTATTCATATCCAGCACTCCCTGCGGCTGCTGCTGGAGGAGCAGTTATCCAACAAGGACTGTTTCAACCTCATCGCGTATGTGTCTCCTGGCTCCTGGGGGCAAGGGTGGGTCGTGTGTGTTTGGATGCCGTCATTGGGCTGAGGCTTTGGACGTTGCTGGACGATAGATATTGACGTCATGGTCACCCGGCTTCCTAGGATAGCCATCGGTTTATCTGATTTGGATGATCTTGTTTGGGGCATTGAATAATTAAATAGTTGCAGGACTGTCCTACTGGGGCGAAGGTGGTAAGTGACCCCATAACACACTGCTTGATCAACCAGGATAAAGTAATTCAGCCCATTGGCCCATTTGGCTTCCAAGATGAAATAGGAAGAAGAGGAAAGGAAGGACCCCAGCCATGCCCTAGTGTCAGTCCTCAGCCTGTCTCCAGCAAGCCATACCTTTTCAAACATTTAGGATTCCAATTCTGAATTTAAATTAAAACTGTATATATAAATTTGGCCAGGTGCAGTGGCTCACGCCTGTAATCCCAGCACCTTGGGAGGCCGAGACAGGAGGATCGCTTGCATCCAGGAGTTTGAGACCAGCCTGGGCAACATAGTGAGACCCCATCTGTGTTTTAATAAATAAATAAAATTATATGTATACATTTAATTATGTGTATATATATATAAATGGTATGCAATTTTTAAAACTGTATAATTTAGAATTAAATACAACAAAGATCAGAGAGGTTTTGAAGATTTGAACTTACTTCAAAATTATATATAGTTTTAAAATTATATATAGTATATATAGTTTTAAAATGTTAATATAGTTTTAAAATTATATTTTATATATAATTAAATATAGTACATATCTAGCATTTTTAATTTAAAAACTATATATATAGTTTGTTTTTGGTTTTGTTTTTGTTTTGAGATGGAGTCTCGCTCTGTTGCCCTGACTGGAGTGCAGTGGCTTGATCTAAGTTCACTGCAGCCTCCTCCTCCCAGATTCAAGCAATTCTTCTGCCTCAGCCTCCCAAGTAGCTGGGTCTACAGGCACACACCACCACACCTGGCTAATCTTTGTATTTCTAGTAGAGATGGGGTTCACCATGTTGGCCAGGCTGATCTTGAACTCCTAACCTCAAGTAATCCGCCTGCCTCAGCCTCCTAAAGTGCTGGGATTACAGGCTTGAGCCACTGAGCTCAGCCATAAAAACTATATATATAGTTTTTTAAATTGCATACTATTTTAACTAATAAGGGAAGACAGAGAGAAAAGGAACCCACTTAAAGTGTAGGTTTTTATACAACCTCATACCAAATAGGGCATTTTCTAAACCTATTAAGTCAACAGTTAGTATTAGATATTATTCTGTACCAGAGCCCAGTCATTCCTTAATAAACTCTATATAAAAATATTTATGGTAACATTATAGATAAGGAATTTTATTTATTTATTTACCCATTCATTCATTCAGCAATGTTTCATTGACAATCTGCATGAACCAGTCCCTGTGCCAGGCACTGGGGAGATGGACATGAAGACACACAAAACTCATCCTCGAGGAACTCATGGCCTAACAGTGGGAGACAGGGATGTTAAGGAGTGCTGTTAAGCGTTTTCTATAGAAATGAGTAGATAGCTAGGTATGGGACTGCAAGGTATCAGTGGCAGGATCAGTCCATTCCACTTGGGTGGAGTAGGCTCAGGACATCTTCATGGAGCAAGTGCCCCTTTTGCTGAGTCTTGATGAATAAGTAGATGTTTGCCTAGCACCTGGGAATGATGGGGTCCTAGGGAGAAAGGGTGTTCCAGGTAGAGGCAACAGCATGAGCAGAGGTGTGACGTATGCTAGAACCTTAGGGACCATCAGGTAGTTCAGCATGGATATGGGGCTGAGAGGGAGAGATTGTGCATGACAGAAATACCAGGTGATGGAGGATTGATATAGGCCATGCTCACGAGTTTCCTGTGCTATAGGATATAAAGGCACTGGAGGATTGCAAGCAAGGTACAAATACAATCGGGTTTGCGTCTTCAAATGCTCAAGCAATGCTGTGAAGGAGGAACTGAAGGGATGTAATACTGGAGGGAAGAGACCAGTTTGACTATTGCAATTGCCTGCCCTAGTGTTGAGTGGGCTTGAGCCAAGGCAATGTGAATGGAAGAAAGAGTGCGTGGCCAGTAAGAATGCCATATTAAAGTCAAAAAATAACAGGTGCTGGCGAGGTAGCAGAGAAAAAGGAGCACTTACACACTTGGTGGGAGTGTAAATTAGTTCAACCATTGTGGAAAGCAGTGTGATGATTCCTCAAAGACCTAAAAACAGAACTACCATTCAAAGTAGCAATCCCATCCCTGGGTACATACCCAAAGGAATATAAGTCATTCTGTCATAAAGACAAATGCATGTATATGTGCATTGCAGCACTATTCACAATAGCAACAGATGGAATCAATGTAAATGCCCAGCAGTGGTAGACTGGATAAAGAAAATGTGGTATGCATATACCACGGAATACTATGCAGCCATAAAAAAGAATGAGATCATGTTCTTTGCAGGAACATGGATGGAGCTGGAGGCCATAATCCTTAGCAAACTAACACAGGAATAGAAAATCAAATACAGCATGTTCTCACTTATAAGTGGGAGCTAAATGATGAGAACACATGGACACATAAAGGGGAACAACACACACTGGAGCCTATTGGAGGGTGAGGGTGAGAGAAAGGAAATCAGGAAAAATAACTGATGGGTACTAGGCTTAATACCTGGGTGATGAAATAATCTATATAACAAACCCCCATGGCAGGAGTTTACCTATATAACAAACCTGCACACGTACCCCTGAGCCCAAAATAAAAGTTAATCAAGAAAGAGGTGCATGGAGGCTGGGTACAGTGGCTCACGCTTGTAATCCCAGCACTTTGAGAGGCCGAGGCGGGCGGATCACGAGGTCAGGAGATTGAGACCATCCTGGCTAACACGGTGAAACCCCATCTCTACTAAAAATACAAAAAATTAGCCAGGCGTGGTGGTGGGCACCTGTAGTCCCAGCTATTCGGGAGGCTGAGGTAGGAGAATGGCATGAACCTGGGAGGTGGAGCTTGCAGTGAGCCGAGATTGCGCCACTGCACTCCAGCCTGGGCGACACAGCGAGACTCCATCTCAAAAAAAAAAAAAAAAAGAAAGAAAGAAAGAAAGAAAGAGGTGCATGGAAGAGATTTTGGGGAGTTAGAATCTACAGAATGTCATCACTGGCTGTAGGGGGTGAAAGAATGGTGAAGAGAAGATGATGTCCCAAGAAGAACAGATCTCTGAAGGGAAAGATGGTTTTAAACATCCCGAGTCTGAGACACTCAAGAGTTTGGAGACATTAAGAGGAGGAGGAGCTCCAGTGAGGAGACCTAGCCAAGAAATAAGGGGTTTTGAGCCATCAGCATTTTGATTCTATGAATGAAATAAATGGTAGTGCAGGGATCGCACCTGTGGAGATGCGAAGAGGAGAGAGAAGACAATCAAAGGCAGCACTTGGAAGACACCAGCATTCGAAGGGTGGGCAGAAGAAGGGAACCACCAAAAGAACACAAGAAAGAAGAACCCAGAGAGGTGGGAGGAAAACAAGAGAGAAAGGTGTTGGGATGCTGTGTTAGTCCATTCCTGCACTGCTCTAAAGGAGTACCTGAAGGTCGGGCGCGGTGGCTCACCCCTGTAATCCCAGCACTTTGAGAGGATGAGGCATGTGGATCACTTGAGGCCAGGAGTTTGAGACCAGCCTGGCCGACGTGGTGAAACCCCGTCTCTACTAAAAATACAAAAATCAGTGGGTCTCAGCGGTGCAGGCCTGTAATCCCAGCTACTCAGGTGGCTGAGGCATAAGAATCACTTGACCCAGATTTATTATCCAACGATAATAGGGATATATTTCCACTGGTGGGGGAATGGAGGGCATTCTTTATCTCTACCAGGGAATGCCCCCAGGGTGGAAGTTTGACTGCAATAGGTTGAGGAGGTGAGGAAGTGGTGGTATACTGTGTTTCCAGGGAGCTTGTCCACAAGGGGAAAGAGAAAAGAGCGAAGTCACTCATAGAGTAGCTTCCCAGGGGAAGGAGGATGTTCTTGTTAAGTATAGAGAGTCTGAAACAGGTAGAGAGGCGCGGGGCAGAGGGAAGTGGAGAGAAGTTGGGAATGTGTGGATGTGAGGGAGGAACTGTGGGGCAAAGTCTCAGAAGAGATGGGTGATGAGGTCAAAGGCCAGGTGGAGGAATTAATCTCAAACTAGAGAGGGGACAACTTTTCCTTCATAAAGGGTATAAATCCTCTTCTCAAAGATCTTAAATTCTGTCTTACAGGACAAATGAGACAATGTGGGTTTTCTGGATTTGAGGATTTGTTTGTTTTTTGAGATGGGATCTCACTCCATTGCCCAGACTGGAGTGCAGTGGCACAATCATAGCTCACTACAGCCTCAGCCTCCTGGACTCAAGTGATCCTCCCACCTCAGCCTCCTAAGTAGCTAGGTTGACAGACATGTGCCACTATACCCAGCTAATTTTTTTTATTTTGTAGAAATGGGGTCTTGCTATACTGCCCAGGCTAGAGGTATATTTTTTTTCTTTGCCAAATCCTGTTGATTACATAGATGTGTATTTAAAAAAAAAAAACAAACTATAGTATGGATAGGGAGGGGAAATGTGCAGTGAGAGAAGCCATGCTAGGGGAGGTTAAAGAGGGGGCCACACGCCATAGCTCAATGCTTCAGAAAGGAAGCTGACCAAAGCTGGCTCACACTGTGTCTTGGCTGAAGTATGTTGGGACATATGACCCACAAGGAAATCTCATGGCTGGCCCAGGCCAGTGACATCCTCACATTTTAGGGGATCTCATCAGAATTTTGTCCCCACTAAAAGCCTGCAAAGCCCAAAGAGGTGGGCCACCAAGTGGACCTCCCCCAGCCTAAGAACGAACTCTCTTTGCTTCTTAAAGGTTTGGAAGCACAATTGAAAGCTGGAGGCCTGAGATGGTTCCCGTGAGTCACAACAATTTACAAAGTGCCTGGCGGTAGGTTATGGGCAGAGACTTCGTGGGGCTGTGTCTGAGGGAAGGTTTGCAGGCATTGTTTTCTCTGTCCCCCTCTCCACCAAGAAGTAGCTCTCTAGAGTCCCTGACCCCAAACAGCCATGGGCAGAAATCAGAAAACAGCTTCCTTCTGTCTGCTGCTCTCCCCACCTGGCCATCTTCACTTTATGAGAGTGATGACATCGACTCCATCACGTCTGAGATGGAAAAGGCTCTCAGCTACTCCCAAAAGGTATGCCCTGGGCATGGGCCAATGACCCTCAGCATGGCCATCTCTGCCTCCGCAGGTGGGCCCTGAACCTGCGGTGTCGGGGCAGCAGGAACGTTCTCAGCGCCCTGCGGAAGGCTGTGGAAGTAGACTTCAAGGACAAAGACAAACACCAATCGCAGGGAATCTACCTCTTCACTGGGGGCATCCCCGACCAGGACATGGTGGGTAGGCCACGTCCTGGGTGTCCATTATCCTTTGCGACCTCATCCGTCTTCCCCCAGGTGGATACCTTGCCAAGGTTTCTGCAGCATGATTTCTAAACCAGTGCTTCTCAAACTTTAATGTATAGACAAGCACCTAAGGATGCTGTTAAAATGCAGGCCCTGGAGACCAGCCTGGGCAATATAGTGAGACCACATTTCTGTAAAAATTTTTAAAATAACCTGCCATGGTGGCACATGCCTGTACTCCCAGCTACTCAGGAGGCTGGGGTGGGAGGATCTCTTGAGCCCAGGTGCTCGAGACCAGCCTGGACAACATAGCAACAAGACCCCATCTCTACAAAAATAAAATTTAAAAAATTAACCAGATGTAGCCAGGCACAGTGGCTCATGCATGTAATCCCAGCACTTTGGGAGGCTGAGGCAGGCAGATCACCTGAGGTCGGGAGTTTGAGGCCACCTTGACCAACATGGAGAAACTCCATCTCTACTAAAAATACAAAATTAGCTGGGCGTGGTGGCACATTCCTGTAATCCCAGCTACTCGGGAGGCTGAGGCAGGAGAATCGCTTGAACCTGGAGGGGGAGGTTGCGGTGAGCTGAGATCACACCATTGCACTCCAGCCTGGGCGACAAAAGCGAAACTCCATCTCAAAAAAAAAAAAAAAATTAACCAGGTGTGGTGACATGTGCCTGTAGTCACAGCTACTTAGGAGGCTGAGGCAGAAGGATTGCTTGAGCCCAGCAGGTCAAAGCTGCAGCAAGCTATGTTTATGACCCTGCACTCCAGCCTAGGCAACAGAGCGAGACCCTGTCTCTTTAAAATACATACATACATACATACATACCTACATAGTGCAGATCCTGGTTCAGTAGGTCTGGGGTGGAGCCTGGGAGTCTGCATTTCTGGCAGGCTTCCAGGGGATGTGGATGCTACTGGTCTAGAACATGCCTGGTATCAGGAGGCTCTCAGGTCCAGCTCCCCAACCACACTCTGTTAAAATATTGAGAGAAACTGCAACCCAGCCTCATCTCTTTCCATCCTTGTGCCAAGGACTGGACCAGGCACAGAGAAGGCCCTGGAGAAACATGGCCAGGCTGGGCTGCCCAGAGCCCCACAGCTTCAAGGCCCTCAGCTGCTGGCCCCTCCTACCTTCTCTTCCCCACCAGCCTACACTCAGTGCCTACATGGCTGAGGCCTGTGGCGGCTGCGACCTCCAGCTGAACGTGTGTCTCTTCTACGTGGGCGAGCCAAAGATGGACACCACACCCCCTGCCCGCTATGCCAGTCACACTGACACAGCCGCCGCCTACAAGGAGGTCACCCGGGCTGCAGGTGGCCGCTTCCACTGGTTTGGAGACACAGGTACATGACTGTTTCCTCATCCCTTCAGCTCATTCCAAACAGTTGTCTCAGCACCAGCATAGCTCCCTTAGACCACAGATGTATTCCAGAAAAGCAGCTTGTGAAAATCACATTTTAAAATGTAAAACTGTTCCTCTGAAGATAGATAGCAGTGATGGTTGAACAACAATGTGAATGCACTTAATGCCACTGAATTGTACAATTTTAAGTGATTGAAATAGTAAGTTTGATGTTATGTATATTTTACTGCAATTTTTTTAACTTAAAAGAAGTAGGCCAGGAACAGTGGCTCATACCCACAATCCCAGCAGTTTGAGAGGCCAACGTGGTCAGATCGCTTGAGATCAGGACTTTGAGAACAGCCTGGCCAACATGGTGAAACTCTATTAAAAATACAAAAAAATTAGCCGGGTGTGATGGCACATACCTGTAGTCCCAGCTACTCGGGAGGCTGAGGTACAAGAAAATCGCTTGAACCCAGGAAGCGGAGGTTGCAGTGAGCAGAGATCACACCACTACACTCCAGCCTGGGTGACAGAGCAAAACTCTGTCTCAAAAAAAAAAAAAAAAAAAGAAGAAGAAGAAGTAAAACTCTAAAAGTATATTATGAGTCAGGTGGTGGCTCACACCTGTAATCTCAGCACTTTGGAAAGTTGAGGCGAGCGGATTGCTTGAATCCAGTTCAAGACCATCCTGGGCAACATAGCAAGATTCTGCCTTTACAAAAAAATTAAAAATTAAAAAATATATAATTTAGAATGTCATAGAATGTCAGAGCTAGAAGGCACCCTGAACATCCCTTAGATTGTTTTTCAAAGGGTGGTGTGTTCACAGCACATGGTTGGCAAGATAGTTGTACATGGTACAAAAAGCAACATTTTTTTTAGAGACGGGGTCTCCCTCTGTCACCCAGGCTGGAGTGCAGTGGTGCCATCATACTTCACTGCAGCCTCAACCTCCTGGATTCAAGCAATCCTCCCACCCCAGCCTCCTGAGCAGCTGGGACTACAGGTGTCCACCACCACGCCCAGTTAATTTTTTAAATTTTTTTTTATAGAGAAGGGGTCTCACTATATTGCCCAGGCTGGTGTTGAACTCCCAACCTCAAGCAATCCTCCCTCCTCAGCCTCCCAAATGCTGGGATTACAGGAGTAAGCCACCATTCCCAGCCCTCAAGTCACCTCCAGGTGGCTTTCTAGTATCCAGATGATGGGGACGCTTGCCAGGATCCACACCCTGTCTCACCTTGCTCACGATGTGCTTTGTTTCCAGGCATTTATGAGAGCGATGACATCAACTCCATCATGTCTGAGATGGAAAAGGCTCTCAACTACTCCCAAAAGGTATGCCCTGGGCATGGGCCAATGACTGCACTGCCTTTTGTATTCATTTCCTGGGGCTACCATAACTGCCACAAACTGGGTGGCTTAAAATAACAACCATTGATTCTCTCACTTCCAGAGGCTGGAAGTCTGAAATCAAGGTGTCAGCAGGGCCAGGCTCCCTCTGAAGGCTTTGGGTAGAATCTTTCCTTGCCCCTCCCTGGCTTCTGGTGGCAATTGGTGTTTGTTTGTTTGTTTGTTTGTTTGTTTGTTTTTAATTGCACTGGTTGCTCTTTTAAAATGGCAAGGAAGACTTTACTTAAGACTATTGCAATAGGGGAGAGAGACTGAACTCAACTCTAAATAATAGCAAAGATAGCTGGAGATTTATAGCCAATGAGCAGTCAGTGGATGGAAAAATTACTAAGAGAACTGGATAGATAGGATAGATAAAAGGATTCTTGTTAAACAGGGCTCTTGCTAAAGGCAGACCAAAGGCTTAGATGTCAAAAATAGAACTGGGCACAGTGGATCCCACCTGTAATCCCAGCACTTTGGGAGGCCAAGGTGGGCTGATCGCTGGAGCCCAGGAGTTTGAGACCAGCCTCAGCAACACGGTGAAACCCTATCTCTGTTAAAGAATTTTTTTAAAATAATTTTTTTAAAAAAGGTATCTCAGATGGGAGATGAAGAACTTGCTTGGATATCAAGGATGGGACAGGTCTCACTAAACTGACTTAGCAAAATTCTTTGCCAAAACTGAGTTCGGCAGGCCAAGGTCAAGGCCTCATTGAGAAGATGGCTTAGAGGAGCCGGCTAAAGTTCGGTCAAGGAGGCAGTCCTTGTCACCAGCAATCTCTGGCATTCCTTGGCTTGAGGAGCATAACTCCAGTCTCTGCCTCTGTCTTTACATGGCTGTTTTCCCTCCAGGTGCATCCCTTCTCCTCTTACATGGACAACAATCAGATTAGATTAAGGACCTGCGCTACTCCAATATGCCTCACCGTAATTTGTATCTTAATTACATCTGCAAAGACCCTATTTCTATGTAAGGCCACATGCACAGGTCCTGAGGGTTCAGACTTCAACATATCCTTTTGGGGGACACACCTCATCCCATGTCAGCTTCCCTCTTCATGTCCTAATCCACTGAGACCCAAGGCTTCAGAAGAAATGAGTGTCTCCTAGAAGCCATTGGTTTTAGGTCTGTGTGCTGCACATTCTGGCCTCCTTTGAGTTCCTTAAACACGTCAAGGTTATTGCTAAACCCATTCCTAAGCTCAGGGCCTTTGCACCTGCTGTTTCCTCTGTCCTTCCCATCCCAGACCTTTCATGGCTTGCTCCTTATCATTAGTTAGGGTTTTGTTTTTTGTTTTTTGGGGGTTTTTTTGAGACAGAGTCTCACTCTGTCGCCCAGGCTGGAGTGCCATTGTGCAATCTCAGCTCACTGCAACCTCTGCCTCCTGAGTTCAAGCAATTCTCCTGTCTCAGCCTCCCAAGTAGCTGGGGCTACAGGCACCCGCCACCACGCCTGACTGATTTTTGTGTTTTTTAGTAGAGATGGGGTTTCACCATGTTGGCCAGGCTGGTCTCAAACTCCTGATCTCAGCTGATCTGCCTGCCTCAGCCTCCCAAAGTGCTGGGATCACAGGCGGGAGCCACCACACCTAGCCTATTAGTTAGTTTAGACACACTAAAATGTTACTTCCTCAGAGGAGTTGAGCAGGACAAGATACAATGAGAGAGGTAGCTAGGAGCCAGATCCCGTGAGGAGCAATGACTATCTAAGGAAGAATTCCCCGGACTTGCAAGTGATTGAACGGGCAGTGTGAAAGAGAAAACATACAAACTGACCCCCACGCTCCTCACTGGAGCACCCAGTAGACAGTGAGGCCATTGACCAAGATGTAGAAAACAGGAGGAAGAGCCCATGGAAGGACGGAGAGGTGCAGGGAAGGCGGGTCTGGGACAAGGGTGAGTTTGTGGAGCCTGTGAGATAACAAGTGAGGGTACCCTACAGGCAGGTGGGAAAAGACATGGCTGGAGATGGAGATTTAGGGCAGTTCAAGCCACAGTGACGGACAGAGGGCACTTAGCAAGGCTGTGGTCGAGGCAGTGGAGTGGAGGAGCCTGTGAAGGAGACTCCTGGACTCCACCACTTGCAGAAGGACTCACTTCCCAGACTGGATTGTGGACTCCTGGGAGGGCAGGGCCACGTCTCCATCTTCTATTCCTCTGTGGCCACTGGATCTGCAGATCTGTGGCTCCCCCTGCGTGCCTGTGCTGTCTTCCCCAAAAGGGACCCTTTTGGTGCTTTTAAAATATCTCTTCCCAGCTGGGCGTAGTGGCTCATGCCTGTAATCCCAGCATTTTGGGAGGCTGAGGCAGGCAGATCACAAGGTCAGGAGATCGAGACCATCCTGGCTAACATGGTGAAACCCCGTCTCTACTAAAAATACACACACACACACACACACGCACACACACACACACACACACACGCAAAATTAGCTGGGTGTGGTGGTGCGCACCTGTAATCCCAGCTATTTGGGAGGCTGAGGCAGGAGAATCCTTGAACCCGGGAGGCAGAGATTGCAGTGAGCCAAGATCATGCCACTGCACTCCAGCCTGGCAACAGAGTAAGACTCTGTCTCTAAATAAATAAATAAATAAATAAATAAATAAGTAAGTAAATAAATAAATATCCCTTACCCTCAGGTGCACATAGTCCCATTCCCTCATCAGATAAACTGATACATATGGTGTTAATGGGCAATGACCGCATAATTCACCTTTCCAGAGGATGCTTATTTACATTTGAATGGTGTCTTCTGGAGCTTTGATTGAGAATAATTGCTGGGGAACCAGTCAGGCTGTTGAGAAAATCGTAGGCAAAAGGCATTGAGTATTACACCATTAGTCTGCCAGCATCTGGAATCAGCCCTGGCATGCGGCAAGCTGACTGGCCCACAAGTGGAGGCCACAGTGTCTCATAATGGAAGGGTGCTGGCTTTGGAAACAGACCCACCTGGTTTGAATTGAAGTTTCTCTACACACTGATAAGGTGGTCTTAGATGAGAACCTTAAGCTCACAGAGCTGTAACTGTAATAGATCTGTGGCCAGATATGCATGGCAAGTCAATGCACAGAGACACTGGGTTGCAGCAGAGAAAAGAAGTTTAATTATAGGACTGCCAAACAAGGAGATGGGAGGGAACCTCAAATTTGGTGTTAAGGTTTTTAAGGGTTTTGCAGTGGGCTGAAGTATGGAGATCACTGACTAGTTGAGTGCAGGCTGGAGTCATGGGCAGGGGAGATGAAGAAGCTGTGTTCTCATGCTGTTCCTGTTCCTCTGGGGGTCTTCAAACTGTTGGCATCAGCTGCTTTGCTGGAATTCGGGTCTGAAAAACATCTTAAGCAATTCTTAAACAAAAGCCTTGTGATTCTGAAGTCAGAAATCCTATCTAGAGGAACAACGGGGATGCAAACAGCCAGGATCTGGTGCTATGTGACTTTAGGTTACAAAGAAGTGGGGCTATGTGCAGCCTGATCAGGGCTTCATGATAACTAGATTTTTGTCCAGAATTCTTGTTAACTCTGTGATGACAGCTTCAGAGCTTTGGTTTCCTCATCTGTAAAATGGGGAGACGACACACCTACCCTATCGGCATAGCTGATGTGACTTGTTGGCATGAGGGTTGGAGACCCCCAAGTATTCACTAGCCCAGAGCCTGTGCCTCCCAGGCCCCCATACCTGGTCTTACTGTTGTTCATAGGATTGGTCCATAGCACTTTCAGCCCCAGGTGGCTTTCTAGGGACAAAAAGAGGAGTCCAGGGGACATCAGAGGTTCCAGTGGATACAGTCCCTCCTGCTGTGTGTGTGTGTGTGTGTGTGTCCACAGTGGCTGGGGGTGCCACTGACCCTCCCAATCCCACTGCAGTGTGCCTTCCTCATGGCCTCCCTGAAGAACCATTCAGGAAAAGTACTGGGAAGTTCAGCCCTCCCGAAAGAAAAACCAAAGACACTTCAGCTAAGAAGTCAGCCCAAGAAGCTCTGCCCTCCCAGGCCCACCGTCCCCCTGGGGGCCAGAATGGTTTGACTCCCCTCCTAATAACACGCAGAAGATTTGGTTTCCTGTTTGTCTTCTGGTCTTTCCTGGGTCTTAAAATGGCTGGGGCCAGCAGGGATGGGGGTGGGTGCTTCAGTGGTGAGTGTCCTGTGGGTGCCTCTTGCCCAGGCCTCCAGGGGGAAAATCTCCCGCGGGGGGCCGGCTCCTCAGCTCTCGGGGTCCTCTGTCCTCCCCCAACCCACCCTTGGCTCTGTCAGCCTATCCCAGCCTTTTCCCTACCCTGGTACTGAGGATGCCACAGAATTGACACCCACCTGTTTCATCTGATGGCTTATCCTGGAGAGTCTCTCGGGGGCAAAGGAATTATGGTCTCTAAGGGCTCTTCCCGCTGCCACCCAAGACTTTGCAGAGGCTGATAGGAGCCTGAGGGTGGGCTGAGCCTGCTAGGGGCTTATCCTCATTCACAGCCTATCAATTCTGTCCTCCATAAAATACCCACCCACCTTGGCAATCAGAAGGGCTCTAGAGGACAGACCCCAGAGGCACCTGTGCTTGTGAGCAGACTGGGAGGGACACCTGTGAGTCCCTCAGCATTGCATGACTCAGACCCTGTGAGCACAGCCCATGTTCAGAATGTGGAAATCCATCCCAGACAGTAGGTAGCAGATTTCCAGCCAAAGGGCTGCCTTTCCAGGAGAGCCTGTGCAGCCGGGTTCTGCCCTCGTTCGGGGAACTCTGCCAGGTTTCAGGAGCCAGCTCAGGCACTTCGCCCCCTCCTCAGAGGCTGCCTCTTGAGCCTTCAGTGCTTCCTGAGTGCCTCCTGAAACCAGGCCGGGTGCTCCCCAGACAGTGACTGTTTAATGACCGCCACACTCCAGTCGTGGCTGAGAATGAAGGAACTCTTCCCTTAAAACTGAGGTGTCTGGGCCAGGTGCAGTGGCTCACACCTGTAATCCCAGCACTTTGGGAGGCCAAGGCAGGCGGATCATGAGGTCAAGAGATCAAGACCATCCTGGCCAACATGGTGAAACCCCCTCTCTATTAAAAATACAGAAATTAGCCGGGTGTGGTGGCGGGTGCCTGTAATCCCAGCTACTCGGGAAGCTGAGACAGGGAGAATTGCTTGAACCTGGGAGGCAGAGTTTGCAGTGAGTCGAGATCACGCCGCTGCACTCCAGCCTGGGTGACAGAGCCAGACTCCATCTCAAAAAAGAAAACAAACAAACAAAAAAAAACTGAGGTGCCTGATAAGGCACAGAAGTTACCTAAATTTCTGTTGTCATGCTGGAGGCCCAGACATCCCAGTCCATTAGGAAGAGGGGCAGGTGACTGATGAAAAAAATTCTGGCAAACCCCCATAGCTCTCTCACTAGCAGCTCTCTCACTCTCATCTCACACACACACACATGCATACATACACATATGCACATGCACACACATACATATACACTCCTACACACATGTACACACCCATACTTTTTCACCTCAAAACCCAGAGTCCCTTCTGAATCTGCTGCAGGAGAGGGGCCAAACCTGTCTGAGGAGTCCCCTCCCTTAGGCTCCTCCCTACAAAAGTTCCTGATTGACAAATTGAGGTCAGGGTAACTGGGATCCTGCGTGACACAGGGAACACTCCTCTGATGGGAAAGATTGCCTGTTTTCTAGAGCATTAAAGATGACCCTGACAGAGAGAAGAGCCCCCCGCTGAAATCTCTGAAATGGCGTCCACTCAGTAGCAGAGTTGGCATCTCACCAGGTAAGGCACCATCACGGTCAGGCAGGGTGGAGGGATGTCACGGTCACGGCTGAGGCATGGGTTAATAATGATAGTAACTAGAGCCACGTGTGGAAGCTCGTGCCTATAATCCCAGCACTTTTGGAGGCTGAGGTGGAAGGATCACTTGAGGTCAGGAGTTCAAGACAAGCCTTGACAACATAGCAAGACTCCATCTCTACCAAACAAAAAAGGAGCCAGATGTGGTGGTGCATGCCTGAAGTCCCCCAAGTACTCAGAGGCTGAGTTGGGAGGATTGCTTGAGCCCAGAAGTTCGAAGCTGCAGTGAGCTATCATTGCACCACTGCACTCTAACCTCAGTGACAGAGCAAGACCCTGTCTCTACTTTTTTTTTTTTTTTTTTTTGAGACAGAGTCTCGCTCTGTCACCCAGGCTGGAGTGCAGTCGTGTCATCTCAGCTCACTGCAACCTCCACCTCCTGGGTTCAAGCGATTCTTGTGCCTCAGCCTCCTGAATAGCTGGGACTACAGGTGTGTGCCACCACGCCTGGCTAACTTTTTGTATTTTTAGTAGAGACGGGGTTTCACCATGTTGCCCAGGCTGGTCTACAACTCCTGAGCTCAGGCAATTCATCTGCCTCGGCCTCCCAAAGTGCTGAGATTACAGGCGTGAGCCACCACGCCTGGCCACATCTCTTAAAATAATAATCATAATAGCAATAATGATAGTAACTAAAACGATCAATGATCCTGAGTCTTGATCATGTGCCAGCCCATCTGCTAAGATTGTCCCATTTAAAGCCTATAATGATCAATCCTTTGCATCTGTATTCTATCAGCTTCCTATTGTACTGACAAAGGAACTGAGGCTCAGGGGGGTAAGGATCATGTGCCACTAGTGGTAACAGGCCTTCACAATCTTAATGAAAGTACTCAGCTCGTAGAACCTAAGACCATGTATTTTATTTCTAATGTCAAAGGTATGGCAGAGTGGCTCAGAGCAGAGTTCTGGAGTCAGCAGGACCAGGTAGAATCATGCCCTGCCTCTTACTGGTGGATTCCCACTTACCTTATCTGTAAACTGGGGGACTGTGAGGATGAAGCAAGGCAGCATACTCAAAGCACTTAGCACAATGCCAGGGAAAGATCTGGACTCAGTAAATGGTAGCTATAGCTATTTCTGATCCAAGCAAAGCCAGAGACCTGGCGGGGGAGGACACAGGGTGCCTTGAAGCCATCTTGGAGCCCCATTTCCTGG